>NC_000002.12:201125981-201429011 GCF_000001405.40 Homo sapiens | reverse complement strand
ATGTGCAAAAATCACAAGCATTCCTATACACCAATAACAGACAAACAGAGAACCAAATCATGAGTGAACTCCCATTCACAATTGCTTCAAAGAGAATAAAATACCTAGGAATCCAACTTACAAGGGATGTGAAGGACCTCTTCAAGGAGAACTACAAACCACTGCTCAACGAAATAAAAGAGGACACAAACAAATGGAAGAACATTCCATGCTCATGGATAGGAAAAATCAACATCGTGAAAATGGCCATACTGCCCAAGGTAATTTATAGATTCAATGCCATCCCCATCAAGCTACCAATGACTTCCTTCACAGAATTGGAAAAAACTACTTTAAAGTTCATATGTAACCAAAAAGAGCCTGCATTGCCAAGACAATCCTAAGCCAAAATAATAAAGCTGGAGGCATCATGCTACCTGACTTCAAACTATATTACAAAGCTACAGTAACCAAAACAGCATGGTATTGGTACCAAAACAGAGATATAGACCAATGGAACAGAACAGAGCCCTGAAAAATAATACCACACATCTACAACCATCTGATCTTTGACAAACCTGACAAAAACAAGCAATGGGGAAAGGATTCCCTATTTAATAAATGGTGCTGGGAAAACTGGCTAGCCATATGTAGAAAGCTGAAGTTGGATCCCTTCCTTACAGCTTATACAAAAATTAATTCAAGATGGATTAAATACTTAAATGTTAGACCTAAAACCATAAAAACCCTAGAAGAAAACCTAGGTAATTCCATTCAGGACATAGGCATGGGCAAGGACTTCATGTCTAAAACACCAAAAGCAATGGCAATAAAAGCCAAAATAGACAAATGGGATCTCATTAAACTAAACAGCTTCTGCACAGCAAAAGAACCTACCATCAGAGTGAACAGGCAACCTACAAAATGGGAGAGCGTTTTTGCAATCTACGCATCTGACAAAGGGCTAATATCCAGAATCTACAAAGAACTAAAACAAATTTACAAGAAAAAAATCAAACAACCCCATCAAAAAGTAGGCAAAGGATACGAATAGACACTTCTCAAAAGAAGACATTTATGCAGCCAACAGACACATGAAAAAATGTTCATCATCACTGGCCATCAGAGAAATGCAAACCACAATGGGATACCATCTCACACCAGTTAAAATGGCAGTCATTAAAAAGTCAGGAAACAACAGGTGGCTGGAGAGGATGTGGAGAAATAGGAATACTTTTACACTGTTGGTGGGAGCGTAAACTAGTTCAACCATTGTGGAAGACAGTGTGGTGATTCCTCGAGGATCTAGAACTAGAAATACCATTTGACCCAGCCGTCCCATTACTGGGTATATACCCAAAGGATTATAAATCATGCTGCTATACAGACACATGCACGTGTATGTTTATTGTGGCACTATTCACAATAGCAAAGACTTGGAACCAACCCAAATGTCTATCATTGGTAGACTGGATTAAGAAAATGTGGCACATATACACTCTGGAATACTATGCAACCATAAAAAAGGATGAGTTCATGTCCTTTGTGGGGACATGGATGAAGCTGGAAACCATCATTGTGAGCAAACTATCGCAAGGACAGAAAACCAAACACCACATGTTCTCACTCATAGTTAGGAATTGAACAATGAGAACACTTGGACACAGTGGGGAATATCACATACCAGGGCCTGTTTTGGGGTGCGGGGAGGGGGGAGGGATAGCATTAGAAGAAATACCTAATGTAAATGATGTGTTAATGGGTGCAGCACACCAACATGGCACATATATACATATGTAACAAACCTGCACATTGTGCACATGTACCCTAGAACTTAATAAAAAAGAAATATTAGACAGAAGACATCATCTTTTTATCAGGCCTGAAAGCTAAGGGGGAAGCCGACAGGAGTGCGCATTTGAGTGTCTACTGTATGTTGGGTACCAAACTAGGAATTTGTCATTTTTATTTAGTTCTCATGTCTGACCCTTCTTATAAAGGGTGGTTATTAATATCCCCATCTTGAAAATGAGGAATGAGACTCAAAAATGTTAAATAATGGGCCTAAGGTCAGAAAAGCAGTAAATTAGGTTAAAATTCAGACTTGTCTAATGTCAGGCCACATCCATGGAACTATGTTCAGTACCACTACTCCAAACTGATCTTTCTGAGGAGCTCAGATTTAGACAGGGCATGTCCAAAGGGCTTATTTAGATCTAAAAAGTCTCCAGGAAGAACATACCATTGCCAGATCACCCTGGACTTGGTGCACAGTCTGCAGGCTGAACAGGTTCCTGAATTGCCTTGGAAGTCAGCATTTTTCTGGCATGATTCTTTAGATGGACTTAGTTCTTAGTTCAACTTGGTTTTCTCTATTCTGCTATGCAAGAATTAAGACTAAACCATTAACAAAACCTCCAAAGTTAATTTAAAGAGCAGTTTTCTAGAACAGAGGTCCCCAGCCTTTCTGCCATCAGGGACTGGTTTCGTGGAAGACAATTTTTCCATGGACCAGTGGAGATGAGGAGGGTGGTTTGGGGATGATTCAAGCGCTTTACATTTATTGTGCACTTTATTGCTATTATTATTACACTGTAATATGTAATGAAATAATTATACAACTCACCATAATGTGGAATCAGTGGGAGCCCTAAGCTTATTTTCCATCAAGTAGACGGTCCCTTCTGGAGGTGATGGGAGAGAGTGACAGACCATCAGGCATTCGATTCTCATAAGTGGGCAACCTAGATCCCTCGCACGCGCAGTTCACAGTAAGTTTCGAGCTCCTATGAGAATCTAATGCTGCCGCTGATCTGACAGGAGGCAGAGCTCAGGCAGTAATGCGAGTGATGGGGAGCGGCTGTAAATGCAGATGAAGCTTCACTTACCCACCTCCTGCTATGCAGCCTGGTTCCTGACAGGCCACAGATGGGTACAGTTCTATGGCACAGGAGTTGGGGACCCCTGCTGTAGAACAAAGATGTAGAGTCCTTAGGCGAAACATATAAAATTTTTGTGTTCCTATGTGATATATATAAAAACAAAAATAGGAACTAAAATAAATGGTAAATGTATAATCAAATCAGCTAGTATGTAACAGAGTGGTGGGCATAGTTCTCAAAATTATCATTAGATTTTCGCAGTGGTCTTTGATTCAGATATGATTAAAAGAACCGCAGCTCTGTTTGAGAATCAGTGTGGACCAGTATGAGAGATACTTTGCTTTTATCCTGTTCCTTTTCATCCTTCCCTCCTCACTCTCTCTCTCTCTTTTTCTCTCTTCACAAACAAGTATATAACATTATTTAAAAAAAAAAAGCAATGCTTTCTGGAGTGGGGCACGGTGGCTCATGCCTGTAATCCCAGCACTTTGGGAGGTCGAGGTGGGTGGATCACCTGAGGTCAGGAGTTTGAGACCAATTTGGCCAACATGGTGAAACCCCATCTCTACTAAAAATAAAAAAATTAGCCAGGCGTGGTGGCAGGAGCTGTAATACGAGCTACTTGGGAGGCTGAGGTAGGAGAATCGCTTGAACCTGGGGGGCAGAGGTTGCAGTGAGCCGAGATCGCACCATTGCACTCCAACCTGGGCAGCAAGAGTGAAACTCCATCTCAAAAAATAAAAATATAAATAAATGCTTTCTTAGAAATTGAAAATAACATTTAAATGCACTTACGGATGTAGAAAGTAGAAGTCTGTTGTTTAGTTTACCTAAATTCTGTGGAAATAGTGATCTAATTACAAGTATGTAAATGTGGAAGGAAACCCTTTTTAAGAAGTTAATCTAGGAAATCTTTGATTTAGGTAGGTGGTTATTTTATGACTGAACTATTTTTCTACTGTAGAACAGGTGTTGGTCAACTTTTTCTGTAAAGAGACATAGTATTCTAGGCTCTGTGGACTATGAAGTCCTTAAAATTACTAAGCTCTGCTGTTGTAGCATGAAAGCAACCAATTGACAATACTTAAGTAAGTGTGGCTGTATTCCAATAAAACTTCCTTTGTGGACACTGGAAATTGAATTTCATAATTGTCACATGTTACATAATATTATTCTTTGCCTTCCAGCCATTTGAAAGTATAAAAATCATTCTTAACTCACAGGTTGTACAAAAACAGGTGGCAGGCCGGGCGCAGTGGCTCACGCCTGTAATCCCAGCACTTTGGGAGGCCGAGGCGGGCGGATCACGAGGTCAGGAGATCGAGACCATCCTGGCTAACACAGTGAAACCCCGTCTCTACTAAAAAAAATACAAAAAAAATTAGCCAGGCAAGGTGGCGGGTGCCTGTAGTCCCAGCTACTCGGGAGGCTGAGGCAGGAGAATGGCGTGAACCCGGGAGTCAGAGCTTGCAGTGAGCCGAGATTGTGCCACTGCAGTCCGGCCTGGGCGAAAGAGTGAGACTCTGTCTCAAAAACAAAAAAAAAACAAAAACAAACGAACAAAAAAAACAGGTGGCAAGCCAAATTTGGCTGTGGGCCAAATTTGCTGACCATGCACTAGATAGCCTGTTATACACTAGTGCATAGTTATAAACTAGTGGCCAGTTACAAACGAGTGCATGATTTGCTGATCATTCACTAGATAGCCGGTTATACACTAGCACATTTATTCTTAGATTTCCATTGCCATTCTGTTTTTTTAAAATGTATCACTTGATTCCTAAACTATAAATCTAGGTCTTTGGAGTGTTAGAATTTAAAAGACCTTGATAAAAATTATATGTGACATAAAGACTTACATAGCAGGTGATATTTGGTTCCCTACCTAAAAATGATCATTTCCCCCTTCTTGGTTGGCAGAGGCCCTAGTTCAGATTTTGCTCAGGTAGCCAGTGATTGTGTACTTCAGAGAAGATTGCTTTCTTCTTCCTTCCAAGTTCAAGGTGTGACTCTTTATTGGTTTGATTCATTATAATTCTATTTCCTTTATAGTGACTGGTTTAGGGATGACAATTCTGGACAATACGATATGTGGAAAAGAATTCAGTTGCATACAATGGACTTTTCCTGGAATATGAAAAATGAATTTTTGACAACTGGAATTAAAATTAAAGTATCTGAGTTAATATATTAGAGTTTTACTTCATGTTGCACTGGGTAACACAGATTACTATACTGGCAAACATATTTCAAGAAAATAGTTATGTATATAAAATATAATCTTTTTTTTCTTTACCAAGACTGATTTTATTTAAAATACACTTGGAATAAATGACTATTGATCTAAGAATTTCCCTATCACTTTTAAAATTGTGTATTATATACTTTGTATTATATAGTACAGTACTTAGTTTCAGTAAAAGACATGTAAAATTTGCCATTTTAACCACCTTAAAGTGTATAATTCAGTGAAATTTATTATAGTGTATTTACAGTGTTGTGCCACCATCACCACTAATTCATCAAATTTTTAAAAAAATTTTATTTTTAAGCCAAATTTAGCAGTGAGGGACTATATACCAACTTTAATGACACTAATGTTAATAAGTTCTGATAACCCACTGCCATCGAACCAGCTGTAATTGATGAAATTTTCATCATCCTAAAAGGAATCCCCATACGCATTAAGCAATCACTCCCTATTCTCCCCTCTCCCTAGTTCCTGATAACTACTAATTGGCTTTGTCACTATGGATTTGCCTATTTTGGATATTTTATATAAATGGAATCATGTGGCTGCTTCTTCCACTTAGCGTGTTTTTAGGGTTCACTCACATTTATTCAGCATGTATCAGTACCAGAATCTTAAAGTATTTATTAAAATTTTCTGAGTTCAAATATAGAAAAATTAGGGCTGGGTGCAGTGGCTCATGCCTGTAATCTCAGAGCTTTGGGAGTTGAGGCAGGAGGATCACTTGAGGCCAGGAGTTCAAGGCTATAGTGAGCTATGATTGCACCACTGCACACCAGCCTGGGTGACAGAGCAGCAGAGCAAGACTCTGTCTCGTGTGTGTGTGTGTGTGTGTGTGTGTGTGTGTGTGTGTGTGTGTGTGGTGGTGGTGTTGCTGTTGTTATTCCAACATAAAATTACAAACTCCTTTTTTGGGAAGGACTGCTATTTATTATGTCTCTTTTTCTTTTAGTAAAATGTTTTATCATTTACAAAGTAATAGAAATTGGTAAGAAATGGAAACCCCATGCCAATAACCACAGAAGTGTTTGAAATTTTACCAGTCTGTGGAGATCTGAAAGTCTAGGTGTTAGGAAATCGTGGTCTGTACTCACTAAACTCCACTCTTAGCATCTCACTTACCGACACCTTGCAGCTTGTCTTTGGATCCAATCTCTTGGCTGAACTGGTTTCTGGAAAGTTATCATTGATTTTATGGTCCCTTACCCCTTTTTAAATAAACCGAATTTTCCCTTTGACTTTGTATAACGTTTAATTCTGTTCACATTCTATCTCTGAAACTCTCCTCCCTAGGATTTGCTCAAAGTGCTTCTCTATTCTTCTGCCTCAGTAACCATTTTCAGTCTCCTTTATTTACTTTGTTCCTTTCTACTTCTTGAGGGTAACTCTCTTGTAAAACATTGAATATTTATGATGCCTGTGAAGAGCAGGCATGAGAATGAATTAACTATAAGTAGAAGCCACAAGTTGCCAAGCAGAGACTGTCTTGATATAAATCAAATAAGTAGAATTGAACAGTTTTACTGATGACAGTTCCTGATTTTTTTAAGTATGCACATATATTTAGTACATTGTATTCCTTTGTATGTTCCACTGTTATTAAACCATTTATTTATAGACATTTAGTTCCAGTTGTGTGGTATGTGCTTTTTTTTTCCCCCCAAACCAATACCGTATGGGCATCCTTATCCCTACATCTTAGCACACTTCGTGAGTATATCCATTGTGTAAATTCCTGGTGGTAGAACTGTTAAGTTACAGCATGTGTGCATTTAAAAGTTTGGTAGACATTGCCAAATAGCCTTCTGAAAGCTTGTTCCAATTTGCACCTTTTTTTTTTTTTTTTTTTTGAGACAGAGTCTTGCTCTGTCACCCAGGCTGGAGTACAGTTGGCGCAATCTCAGCTCACTGCAACCTCTGCCTCCCAGGCTCAAGCGATTCTCCTGCTTCAGCCTCCCAAGTAGCTGGGATTACAGGCACCTGCCACCACACCCACCTAATTTTTGTATCTGTAGTAGAGACAGGGTTTCACCATGTTGGCTAGGCTGGTCTGGAACCCCTTACCTCAAGTGATCGGCCCACCTCAGCCTCCCAAGGTGCTGAGATTACAGGCGTGAGTCACCATGCCCAGCCCCAATTTGCACTTTTATCAACAGGGTATAAGAGTGCTTCTTTCTCCACACCATCTCCAGCAAAGAATATAATAAAACTAATGTTTGCTAATCTAGTGGGTGAACTTTTTTTTTGTTTATATTTTTGTTTTAATTGTGAGTGAAGTTGAGCATCTGTTTTATCAGTGGTTCTCAACCAGGGATGAATTTTGCCCCCCCCACCCCAGGGGACATCTGACAATGTCTGGAGACATTTTAGATAAAGCTGGAGAGGGTCTGGGGAAGCGATTCTGCTGGCACTTAGTGGGTAAAAGATCCTACAATGCACATGATGAAGCAATAACTGGCCCAAAATGTTAATTTTCCAAGATTAAAAAACCCTGTTTTGTATTATTCCATTTCGTCTTCTTCATTGGTTTATTATCTGTAATTCTTGAGTTTTTTAATTGGTTGGTTTCAGGTTTATGGTATACTTCTTTAACTTATCACAGTCTATCTTCAAGCCATATGTTACTGTTTCATGTGTAATATAAAAGCCTTACAACAGTATATGCCCATTTCCCCCCTTCTGGCCTTCATGCTACTGCAAAACATTCTACTTCTACATATGTTATAGACTCTACAATATATTATTAGTGTATTACTTTAAACAGTTATCTTTTTAAAAATTAAACACCTTTATTTAAATATAATTAACATGCATCAAATTACACATTTCAAGTGTACAATTTAACCACTTTTGATACGCATTTGTAAAACCATCACCACAGTCAAAATAATAAACATATTCATCATTCCAAAAACTTTTCTCCTGCCCCTTAGTAATTCCTCCCTTAACTCCAGGCAGCCACTGATCTGCTGTCACTATAGATAAGTGGACATTTTCTAGAATTTTATGTAAATGAAGTCATAAACTGTGTACTCTTTTTTTGTCTGACTTCTTTCTTCCAGCATAATTATGAGATTTATCCATGTTGTATGAATCATTAGAAAAACATTTTTCATGATGGACATTTTGATTAATTAGATTCCTGTTGTTAAAGAGCATGCTGAGTTCTAGTCACTTGATGTTTTTGTTTTAGGTCATGACTGTCCAAAGTATGATAATCACATGAGAGTGCTCGTTGCTACGGATGTCATTTGACTCATCAGAGAAAATCTGTCTAAAAGAAAATATCCATGTGACCAAATCCATTTCATTATTGAATGGCTTGATGGATTTCCTTTACTCTGATTCATACCAAAGCTGTCCTTCTCAACCAAAGCAAGAAAGGATCCTGCATGAGTCAATCCCAGAATGCAATTTTTACATCACCAACAGGTGAAGAAAACCTCATGAATAGCAATCACAGAGACTCGGAGAGCATCACTGGTAAGTCCAGTTTAATAAATATTGAAGTGCTATCGCTTATAGGAGAAAATGCAAATGCCTCAGTCCAGCATATATGACCTATCATGATGAAACCCAAGCCTCCCTTTCTAGTCTGATGTCCTCAGGGAAAAACTGAATTAATCTCTCCATCCCCTGTGTCCCCTGACGCATTAACAGAATCTGCCTTTCATGTTATTTCCTGTCTATGTCGGACTCCCCTGTACCCTTGAACCCCCGGTGAGTAGTAGCTGCATCATATCCATCTGATCTCCACAGGGTAAGGACAGAGTTACCTGTGTTTGTATACCCTGCAGGTACCTAACAACAATGCCTGGCACACAAGACTCTTGGGGTGTACAGCATATAACAAACATACATACAGGCCCATAACACCTTATCTGTAAGACTAAATCAAAAAACTCTGAGCAGTCAAAGTTTTTTTCTACACTTTTATTCAGAAACTCATTTGCCCACCAAACCAGACTTTGGCTGTTTCTAGACTTAACTCATTTAGTTTGAATACTCATATTTGCTGAAGATGTATTTATATATTTAAATATGAGGTGCTGCTGCAAAACCAGTTGGGGATGTTATATAACATACAGTTAATGTACAGTGCCACTTTTCTAAAAATCTGAAAAATTCTGAATTCTGAAACCCATCAAAACCCAAAGTTTGTTTTAATTTATTATCATTGGAGGTATGTTTATGAAGATACAATAAAATACACTCATTTTAAGTATACAGTTCGAGTTTTGACAAAAATATGCATTCAGTGTAACCACCAGTACAAACAAGTTAGAGAAGTTTTTATTATCCCACAGAAAGTTCCCTTGTACAGAGATCTCCCCACCCCTCACCTCCAGTTCCAAACAACCACTAATCTGCTTTCTGCCACTTTAAGTTTGCTTGTTCTAGAATTTCATATAAATTGAATGTGTCTTTTGTGTCTGCCTTCTTTTGTACAGCAAAATGTTTTTGAGATTTATCCACTTGTGATAAGTATCAGAAGTTGTTTCTTTTTATTGCTAAGCTGGAACTTACTCATCCCTGCTATTGTAGCAGAAAAGCAGCCTTGGACAGTACATGAAAAAATGAATGTGACTGTGTTTCAATAAAACTTGATTTACAAAAACAGGCGGGGCAGCAAGCCGAAGTTGGCCTGTGGGCTGTCGTTTGCTGACCTCTACTGTACATCAACACTTGGTAATGTCAGTGATTTTGATTTTAGCCATTCTAGTAGGTGTGTACTGGTATCTCTGATTTTAGTTTATATTTTCCTGATGACTCATGATGTTGAGCACCTTTTCATGTGCTTACTGACCATATCTAGATTTTATTTTGAGTTGTTTATTCAAATCATTTGCCCATTAAAAATTTATCTTACTATTGAAATGTAAGTGTTGAATTGTAAGTGTTCTTTACATGTTCTAGATGTAAGTCCTTTGTTAGGTAAATGGACCGTATTTTGTCCCAGACTTTGGCTTGCCTTTTCATCTTCTTACTGGTGTCTTTTGAAGAGCGGTTTTAAATTTTGATGGAGTTATCAGTTTTTGCTACTATAATTCATATTTTTGTGTCGTTTCTAAGAAATCTGCACATAAAAGAAAAAGTTTTATAGTTTTTACTTCTACTTTTAAGTCAGTAGTGTACTTTTTTGAGCATGGAATTAGGTTTGGGTCCAAGTTTTTGTTTTTTGCTTTCCAATTGGATATTTCATTGTTTCTTTACCATTTGTTAAAAATGGTCTCTTTACCCTTATTGAAATACCTTGATAATTTCATTGTCATATGTGTATGGTTCTATTTCTGAACTCTATCCTGTTCCTTTAATCCCTAAGTCTATCTTTACAGAAATACCACATTGTCTTATTTGCTGTAATTCTATAGTAAATCTTGAAATCAGATAATATAAATTCTCCAACTTTACTCTTTTTCAAAAATTATTCTGGCCATTTAAGATTTTTCACATTTTTATATAAATTGTATAATCTGGTTGTCAACACTTGAGCCGAGGAGTTCAAGACCAGCCTGCGCAACATAATGAGACCCCATCTCTACAAAAATAAAAACAGCTGGGCGTGGTGGCATGCACCTGTAGTCCCAGCTACTAGGGAAGCTGAGGCAGGAGGATAACTTGAGCCCAGGAGATTAAGGCTGCAGTGAGCTATGAGTGTGCCATTGCACTCCAGCCTGAATAACAGAATGAGAGAGCCTGTCCCTAATAATAATAACCAGCTTGTCATTTTCTCCCAAAAAAGAATGCTGGAATTTTGAATGGAATTACATAGACTCTGTAGAGAATTGATAATTTAAGAATAGTGAGTCTCCTAATCCATAAACTTGATATATATCTCCATTTACTTAGGTCCTCTTTAATTTCTCTTACCAGTATTTTATAGTTTTTATTGTATAAGTCTTGCACATATTTTGTTAAATTTAGTCTTAAGTATTTTTTTAAATGGCACTGTTTATTTAATTTCATTTTCCTACTGTGTGTTACTACTATATATAAATGAAATTGATTTTTTTAATGTTGACCATATATTCTGCAACTTTGCTTAACTTGCTAGTTTTAGTAACTTTTTGGTAGATTTCTTAGTTTTCTACATACACCATAATGTCTGCAAATGGAGACAATTTTACATATTCCTTTTCAATCTGGATGCCTTTTATTTATTTTTCTTGCCTTATTGAATGAGACATGATCTCAGTATATTGTTGAATAAAAATGGTAAGAGCAAACATCCTTGACGTATTTCCAATCTGAGGAGAAAAGTTACAGTATTTGACCATTAAGTCTCTTGACAATACCCTATATTAAATTGAGAAGATATCCTTCTCTTCCAAATTGGATGAGAAATTTTTAGCATGAATTTTGTCAAATACTTATTTTGCCTCTGTTGAAATGTTCATATGGTTTTTCTTCCTTTGTCTATTAGTGTGGTGAATTCTGTTGGTTTAGTTTTGAATTTTAAACCAGACTTGCATTCCTGGAAAAAACTACTTGGTTATGATATATTATCTTTTTTATATATGACAGGTTATATTTACTAGTGTTTTGTTAGGGAGTGTGTGTATATGTGTGTGTGTGTCTGTGTCCTTCCTAGTCCCATTAATAAGGGTTATTGGTTTGTACTTTTTTCTTTTTTCTTTTCTTTTTTTTTTTTTTTTTTGCAATGTCTTCGCTTTATTTTGATATTGAGGTAATACTGGCCTTGTAAAACGAGTTGTGAAGTATGCCTTTCTCTGTGTTTGGAAAAAGTTTGTGTGGAATTGGTATCATCTTATTTTTCATGTTTTTACTTTTTAAACTCATCTGAATCTTTACATTTAACTGTGTAGTTAATGTGGAGTTACATTTAACTCCACAGATAACTTATAATGGGGTCTTTTCTAAAAAGAAAATCCAGTCTGATCATCTGTACTTTCTATTTGCAGTATTTGGACCATTTAATTTTAATGTAATTATCACTTTAGTTGAGTCTACTGTACTCCTATTTTCTTTTTCTATTTGTTCCGTCTTCCGTTTTTTTCTCATTTTCTTTTTTTAAACTTTTTTTATTTTAATTCTACTGTTGACATATTAGCTATACCTCTTATTTTTCTCACTGCTTGCTCCAGGTTGCAATACATACCTTTAACTTATCAAAGCCCATCTTCAAATAACATTATATTTAATAAAGTGACACTCTTAAAACAGTATTCTTCCATTTCCCCCTACCATTCTACATATTATTATTACTATGCCTTTTACATCTACATATGTTATATACATAATACATTATTACCTTTGCTTTAAATTGCTAATTATGAATTAAATAAATTATGAAAATAAAAGGCTTATGTATTACCCACAGATTTAGCATTCTATTATTTCTTTTGTTGAATGAAGTTCCCATTCCATATCCTTTTTGCCTGTTTAACTTTAACATTTCCTGGGATATGGGTTAGCTGGCAATGAATAGCCATAGTTTTCTGCTTGTGTGAAAAATAAAATTACTTTTTTTTTGAGAAAGGGTCTCATTCTGTTCCCCAGGCTGGAGTACAGTGACACGATCATGGCTCACTGCAGCCTGAACCTCTTGGGCTCAAGTGATCCTCCCATCTCAGCCTCCTGAGTAGCTTGGACCACAGGCATGTGCAAACCCAGCTAATTTTTTCTTCTTCCTTTTTTTTTTTTTTTTTTTTAATGTAGAGTCAGGGTTTCACTATGTTGCCAAGCTGGTCTTGAACTCCTGGGCTCAAGCAGTCCTTTCACCTTGACCTCCCAAAGTGCTGGGATTACAGGAGTGAGCTACCACGCCTGGCCTATTTCACCTTTTTTGAAAGATGTTTTTCACTGACACATGATTCTAAATTGGCTTTTTGTCCATGTGTTTTAATGATGCTGTTCCATTGTCATCTATCTTGAAATGAATAATTTCATTTCAAGTGAATGAAACTTTAATGTTCTTTTTTTCCTATCTCTCTGCTTTTAGGATTTTCTTCTTTATCACTGGTTTTTAGCAATTTTGCTTTGATGTGGTTTTCTTTGTATTTATACTGCATGGAGTTGAGATTCTTTGAACTATAGACTTACTGTATTAATTAAACTTGGAAGACTTCGGCCACCATTTTTTCAAATATTTTTTCTGTTTCTGCCTCTTCTTTCTTCTGGGACTTCAGACTGCTTGATATGACACAGCCACTGATGTTCTGTTCAGTTTTCTCCCCCCAATCTTTTTTTCTCTGTGCTTCATTTTAGATAATTTCTATTGCTATGCCTTCAAGTTTACTGTTCTTTTCTTCTGGAGAATATCTAATCTGTTTATCTTATCTAGTGAGTCTTTCATTTTAGATACTGTACTCTAGTTCTATTTGGGTTTTTAAAATGCAGGCATATCTTCTGTTTCTCTTTCCATTACGTTCATATTTTCCCCTTAAATCTTTGAGCATATTAAAAATAGAGGATATAAAAAATTGCTGCTTATTAATTCTGTTATTTCTGTCATGACGGGTCTGTTTCTGTTGACTCATTTCCCTCCTGGTTATGGATTACATTTTGTTTATTTTTGCATATCTAGTAATTTTGTATGGACTGGTGAATATTATGAATGTTACATTGTTAGGTGTTTAGGTTTTGTTGTCTTCCTTGGAAAAGTGTTAAAATTTATTTTGGCAAGACTTTAAGTTATTTGCTGATAAGGTTAACCCTTTGAGGCTTGTTTTTCATCTGTAGGTCTACAGATCATACTCTAGACCAAGCTCTAGTGTGCTTGATTCTAGCACTGATTTAATTATCTTACCGGTAGGCATGACTGGGAAAAAATGGACATGAAGGAGACATTTGGAGGATAAAATGGTAGAGAAGGAGTTGTCAAGCCTGGGCAAGAGTAATAAATGGAACATTATCAGAATATGGAAGCAAGGTGGAAGAGCTAGTCTAAAGAATATTTAGCTTAATCTACTAAGCCTGGATTGTACACTTATTTTTAATATTACATTTTGGAAGTAGGGAATTATTCTAGTCTAGAAGAGATGCTAGGGACTAGTATCTCTTGTAATGAATGTCACTTTTGTTCTTCATCTCCACTATACCGTTGAATACCTAATAGTCTGTTTTTAGCTCTGCATGTATTTATAGTCAACTTCTCTTCCTGAGTATTAAAATGACAATCTCTATGTAATATATGTGTGGCAGGAAAAATTTGGATAATCACATGGAACTTGTAATAATAGAATTTGGATATATGTTCAGGTCTCCTATTTAAGAGATCTGTAAGGATTGAGAGCTTATTTAGAACCATATTTAAGGTTTTAAATCTGCCTCATCTCTATCTCATTGTGGTGATCAAGCCACTGCTTCTCCTTCTGGGTGAATAGGGATGTCTGATATTGCCAGCCTCCTTTTATTAAACTTATTAAAATGTCATTGTGAAGTCAAGGTCAAGTCGTAGGAATTTACTCTCTTAAGGATTTGTTTTCTTAACCAGTACTTTGTTGTTCTTTGCCAGAGCTAGAGCATGTTTCATTATACTACCCACAAAGGAAATACCACATCTCTTTAAAAGTGAGAGGGTTGATATGACATCCTGTACTTTCGCTATTTTAAGCCCTAGTATTTTAAGCATGTTAACAGAAATAACTCTCCTTTTTTGTAAACAGCTAAGTTTGGGAGGTGTTAAATGATGGGCAGTACTGGGAACAGGAAGATAGTGGCAGATACATAAAAACACAAAAGCTCAGTTTGTTCAGAGATGGGGGTGGGGGTGTTATAGGTGTGCAAGTGAGAGAGTAGTGATGTAAATAGTATTCAGTGAGTACCTGTGATCTGCCAGATACCCTGGGTGCCTTAATTGCTTATTTTAGTTACTTCTTACTACTGTTGTGTGTGATAAATGATCTTTATTTTACAAATGAGAGAAATTAAGGCTCTGAAAGGATGAATCGTGTGTCTAACAATTAGTAGAGGAGTCAGATTCAGAAGCTACGTCTGATGCCAAAACCCATGATCTTTCTAATATTAAGAGTGAAAAATAGGACAATAAGTAGATTAGACACCTGGAGGAATTAGGAGATATGTAGGACTAATACTGTATGTTGGAGACATGATGTGTAGGAACTTGCTTTCTAGGACAAGTTGTCAGCCTTTGTCCTGTAAATGGCAGATAGCAACAAGAATGGGTACAGTGCTGGATAGGAAGTCGAGACCCAGGTCTGGTGGTTCTAGTGTCCTCGGCAAGTTACCCATCTTTAAGTCTCAGTTTCCTTATCTAGGAGGCAGGATTGGATGGTTTCCGAAAGTGTCTTCTACCTTTAATACTCTGTAATTATTTAGATACTATAGCAACCTTATTTTAGCAGTCTTGATTTGATCTCTAGGTGTAAAAACTCAATAGTAATACAGTAATAAAAATAGCTGACAATAGGTCTTTCAGTCTTTTCCCCCCTCCCTTAGTCTTCGTCCCCAATCCCTCCCCTCCCTATCCCTTTCCCTCCTCCAGCTGCCACGTGTGAAGGCAGAGCAGGAACAGCCTGTGTTTAGGGGGGTGGGGAAAAAGAGGCCCAGTTCTGCCCCTCCTGGAAGGAGAGGGAAAAGGTAACTATAACTACCCAATATTGCAGCCATGGAGTCCATGTTTAATAAATTGAAGAGTACTGTTACAGAAGTAACAGCTGATGTCACTAGTGCTGTAATGAGAAATCCTGTCACTAGAGAATTTGATGTTGGTCAGCACATTGCCAGTGGTGGCAGTGGGCTAGCTTGGAAGATTTTTAATGGCACAAAAAAGTCAACAAAGCAGTGGCTGTTTTTGTCTTTGATAAAAAATGATTGACAAATATCAAAAATTTGAAAAGGATCAAATAATTGATTCTCTAAAATGAGGAGTCCAACACTTAACTCGACTTCAACACCCTCGACTTCTTACTGTCCAGCATTCTTTAGAAGAATCCAGGGATTGCTTGGTGTTGTGTACAGAACCAGTTTTTTGCCAGTTTAGCCAGTGTTCTTGGTAACTGGGAAAATCTCCCTTTCCCTATATCTCCAGACATTAAGGATTATAAACTTTATGATGTAGAAACCAAATGTGGTTTGCTTCAGGTTTCTAAAGGATTGTCATTCTTGCATAGCAGTGTGAAAATGGTACATGGAAATATTACTCCTGAAAATACAATTTTGAATAAAAGTGGAGCCTGGAAAATAATGGGTTTTGATTGTTGTGTATCATCAACCAATCCTTCTGAACAAGAGCCTAAATTTCCTTGTAAAGAATGGGACCCAAATTTACCTTCATTGTGTCTTCCAAATCCTGAATATTTGCCTCCTGAATACATACTTTATGTGAGCTGTGAAACAGTCAGTGATATATATTCTTTAGGAACTGTTATGTATGCTGTATTTAATAAAAGGAAACATATATTTGAAGGCAATAAGCAAGACATTTATAAGAGTTTCAGTAGGCAGTTGGATCAGTTGAGTTATTTAGGATCTAGTTCACTTATAAATATACCTGAGGAAGTTCGTGAACATGTAAGGCTACTGTTAAATGTAACTCCAACTGTAAGACCAGATGCAGATCAAATGACAAAGATTCCCTTCTTTGATGATGTTGGTGCAGTAACACTGCAATATTTTGATACCTTATTCCAAAGAGATAATCTTCAGAAATCACAGTTTTTCAACGGACTGCCAAAGGTTCTACTGCCCAAGCATGTCATTGTACAGAGAATTTTGATTTGACTTCAGAATTTGTAAACCCTGACATGGTACCTTTTGTTTTGCCCAGTGTTCTACTGATCGTTGAGGAATGCACCAAAGAAGAATATGTCACATTAATTCCACCTGAACTTGGCCCTGTGTTTAAGCAGCAGGAGCCAATCCAGATTTTGTTAATTTTCCTACAAAAAATGGATTTGCTACTAACCAAAACCCCTCCCAATGAGATAAAGAACAGTGTTCTACCCATGGTTTACAGAGCACTAGAAGCTCCTTCCATTCAATACCAGGAGCTCTGTCTAAACATCATTCCAACCTTTGCAAATCTTATAGACTACCCATCATGAAACATACTTTGATACCAAGAATTAAAAATGCCTGTCTACAAATGTCTTCCCTTGCTGTTCCTGTAAATTCATTAGTGTGCTTAGGAAAGATTTTGGAATACTTGGATAAGTGGTTGGTACTTGATGGTATCCTACCCTTCTTACAACAAATTCCATCCAAAGAGTCTGCAGTCCTCATGGGTATTTTAGGCATTTACAAATGTACTTTTACTCATAAGTTGGGAATCACCAAAGAGCAGCTGACTGGAAAAGTATTGCCTCATCTTATTCCCCTGAGTATTGAAAACAATCTTAATCAGTTCAATTCTTTCATTTCCATCATAAAAGAGATGCTGAATAGGTTGGAGTCTGAACATAAGACTAAGCTGGAGCAACTTCATATAATGCAAGAACAACAGAAATCTTTGGACATAGGAAATCAAATGAATGTTTCTGAGGAGACAAAAGTTACAAATATTGGGAATCAGCAAATTGACAAGGTTTTTAGCCACATTGGAGCAGACCTTCTGACTGGCAGTGATTCCGAAAATAAAGAGGATGGGTTTCAGAATAAACATAAAAGAGCATCACTTACACTTGAAGAAAAACAAAAATTAGCAAGAGAACAAGAGCAGGCATAGAAGTTGAAAGGCCAGCAGCCTCTTAAACCCCAAGTGTACACACCTATTGCTGCTGTTAAACAGACTAAGGACTTGACAGACACATTGATGGATAATATGTCATCTTTGACTAGCCTTTCTGTTAGTACCCCTAAACCTTCTGCTTCAAGTACGTTCACTTCTGTTCCTTCCATGGGCATTGACATGATGTTTTCTACACCAGTTGATAATACAAAGAGAAATTTGACAAATGGCCTAAATGTCAATATGGGCTTTCAGACTTCAGGATTCAACATGCCCGTTACTACAAACCAGAACTTCTACAGTAGTCCAAGCACAGTTGGAGTGACCAAAATGACTCTGGAACACCTCCCACTTTGCCAAACTTCAGTGCTTTGAATGTTCCTCCTGCTGGTGCGAAGCCAACCCAACAAAGACCCACAGATATGTCTGCCCTTAATAATCTCTTTGGCCCTCAGAAACCCAAAGTTAGCATGAACCAATTATCACAACAGAAACCAAATCAGTGGCTTAATCAGTTTGTACCTCCTCAAGTTTCTCCAGCTACGGGCAGTTCAGTAATGGGAACACAGATGAACATGATAGGACAATCTGCCTTTGGTATGCAGGGTAATCCTTTCTTCAACCCACAGAACTTTGCATAGCCACCAACTGCTATGACCAATAGCAGTTCAGCTAGCAATGATTTTAAAGATCTTTTTGGGTGAGGTGTCTATTTTGAAGGATTATTTCAGTTCCAATCATGGGTGAGCTGATTTACATCTTTATGTAGTTGGCTTGGAGGAACTACTTCTATGGGACAGTGAATGGTTCTGTGACAGAAAACATCTGTGTCCATGCCAGCATAGTAGTTGTATGGACTTCTAACCAGTTGAGTTTTTTTAAAGCACTGAGGATTTTTTTCCTCTTACCAACTCCTCTCCAGGTTTTTTGTTTTTTTTTTTTGAGACGGAGTCTTGCTCTGTCGCCCAGGCTGAAGTGCAGTGGCGCGATCTCGGCTCACTGCAAGCTCCGCCTCAGTGGCGGGTTCACGCCATTCTCCTGCCTCAGCCTCCCTAGTAGCTGGGACTGCAGGCGCCCGCCACCACGCCCAGCTAATTTTTTTGTGTGTGTTTCTCGTAGAGACAGGGTTTCACCGTGTTAGCCAGGATGGTCTCGCTCTCCTGACCTCGTGATCCACCCGCCTCGGCCTCCCAGAGTGCTGGGATTACAGGCGTGAGCCACCGCGCCCGGCCCCTCTTCAGGTTTTTAAAGACCCAACCCTTCCCAGTCTCAAAGAGAAAAAGGACAACTGAGTTATCTTGAATAGCTGAATTTTTTAATCAAATGTTTATTTTGGCTTGTGAATCTTGGTGTTATTTAAAAAATTGAGTTGATGGTCATTGCAAGCTCATCTATTTTAAGTACCACATGGTACACAGTCTACCTTCACAAGTCATTAGTGTTCACTTTAATATGTAAAAAATCTTGATGCTGTATTGATTTGCTTGCATTTAAGATGACAGTGAGAAAATGATAAGCATAAAGAGATCAGCTTATTTGCTTTTTCCGAGGTTACTTTTCAGATGAACTAATGTTTAGTACAAAGAGACTGAGCAAATACTACAAAATTTAACTTGACCTACATTTCGTTGGCTAACCATCTTAAATGCAAACTAATCGTTGTAAATTATATTTTAGCATGGTCTGCCTCAAATGGTAATGTATTTTTCTGCCTTCACTTGGATATATTTAGAGTCACTTTGGTATATGCTGATTTGTTTGGATATTTGACAAAGCACTCTGATGTGACTTCCCTGACTACTAACTTCATATTTCATTTCAAATTCAAACTTCTGAGGTTGCAGCATATATGAATTGTGTTTTCAAAAGGAGATTTGTAAGAATTAAACTATATTTAATAAGTAAACTTTTGAGATTTCTGCCGTATTTTTTCAAATGTAATAAACTTCTCTCTCAAAAAAAAAAAAAGCTGACATTGATAGAGTGCCTCCACAGTGTGCAAGGCGCATTGTACTAAATATAAGTATTTTTCATGCATTTGTCTCATTTAATTCATATAACCTAGGAGGTAAGTACCTTCTCCATTTTACAGATGAGGAAACTGAGGGTTAGAGTTTAGGTAACTTACCCAGTGTCACATTGTGGTATATGCAGAGTCAGGACTCAGACCAGGACTATCACTGTACCATAGTAAATTTATGTTATGTGAAGGATAGGGAAGATTTTTTAGAGGAAACTTTTTCCCCTCCCCTTTCCGATTTCCTTCACCTCACATGTTTTGGGATTTAGATGTACCACTTCTTTAAAATAAAAATGATAAAGGACTTATTTCAGTACCAGTGCTCAGTAAAATTTAATGCAATTTTTAAAAAAATTTAATGACTTTGAGAATATACTAAAATGTAATTTTTCCAGATTTTGAAGAATCCTCCACAGAATTCAAATTTTGTCATTACAGAGCATATCATTTTATCCCTTTGGAACTATTTTCTGCTGGTTGCTTTGTATTGCTTTTTCCCCCAGGCATGTAAGTTGAGATCAGACCTCTTTCACTTTATTTTTAAAAAGTATATATCCAATTATTCTGTGTCAATTAAAAATACTTTTAAAAAT
The DNA here is from genome assembly GCF_000001405.40 of Homo sapiens. Lineage (NCBI taxonomy): Eukaryota > Metazoa > Chordata > Mammalia > Primates > Hominidae > Homo > Homo sapiens. Next base: position 201,408,634 of record NC_000002.12, on the reverse strand, counting down.
TCAGCAGGCTGCTGCTGCTTCAGAGACACAGACCTCTTTTAAACCGTACTAAATAGATTGATAGGGAGAAAATATGAAATTTCTACAAATTCTGAACTTTAAAAGCATAGTTATAAAGACAGGAACAACAGACGGGCATATGTGAGGGATGAGCATGGGAAGAGGGAGAGGATCAGAAAAAATAACTGTTGGATTACTAGGCCTGGTACCTGGGTGATGAAATAATCTGTACACCAAACCCCCGTGACATGAGTTTACCTACATAACAAACCTGCACATGGACCCCTGAACCTAAAATAAAAACTTTTAAAAATTAAAAAATTAAAAATTAAAAAAAGCATAGTTATAGTCACTAAGCAATATATTTAGATAGTATGTAATTCAGATTTGTGGTATCTGCATGTTCTCACTCATGTGGAAGCTGACAAAGTTGATCTGCTAGAAGTAGAGAGTAGAATAGTGGTTACTAGAGGCTAGGAAGGGTAGCGGGAAGGAGGGATCAGGAGATGTTAGTTAACAGATACAAAATTACAGCTGGATAGGTGGAATAAGTTCTGGTGTTCTTAAGCACCATAGGGTGGCTATAGTTGGCAATAATTTGTTGTATATTTTCAAATAGATAAAAGGTAGGATTTTGAATGTCCTCAATGCAAAGAAATGATAAATGCTTGAGGTAAGGAATGTGCTAATTACCCTAATTTGATCATTATACATTGTATACAGGTGTCAAAATATCACATGTACCCCATAAATATATTCAATTATTTTGTGTCAATTAAAAATACTTTTTAGAAATTACTGTCAAAAAATGTATGCCATCATTTTTACTTTAGAAGTTCTCTTACTAAAAGAAAAAAAACCTGGAGAAAAAAAAACTATACTACTAGGATATACTAATAAAAATCAGTGGAGAAATGATCTTGTCTAGTATTTCTTTGGTTATCCTACTTTAGAAAAACTAATTTTCATCAATTTTCTCTGTAGCCTAGTAAAAGTTGAAATATATTGGATTCATTTACATAGACTCTCCTCTTTAGATGTCTGCTCCAATGAGGATCTCCCTGAAGTTGAGCTGGTGAGTCTGCTAGAAGAACAACTACCACAGTATAGGCTAAAAGTAGACACTCTCTTTCTATATGAAAATCAAGACTGGACTCAGTCTCCACACCAGCGGCAGCATGCATCTGATGCTCTCTCTCCAGTCCTTGCTGAAGAGACTTTCCGTTACATGAGTGAGTATTTTTTTTACTCTTTTAGTTTGTGCATTAAAGTAATGATCATGGGTATCTTGGTATTGATTTTTAAAGCACTGATGTTTAGTAGCCATTGTTCAGTGTATACCTACTTTTATTTGAACTGATTTCACAGGAAGAGATAATTCTGTGTTATGTCTGAATGCAGAAAGTTTGTCATCCTTATGACTCTCAGTGTCTAGTGTTGCAAACATACTTAGACGTTTTCGTTACTTGATATTTTCCTCAGACTGAGTAGAAAAGGGAACTTTTTAAAAAGCAAAGTGATTTAAAATTTTAATATTCCTTTATAACTGTCAACATTTATTATCCCAGTAGTTTGTTATCCTAAGCTATCAGCTTTTGACTTTTATCTTTATTAATATCGTTGGTAAACACAGTCACAAGAATTATGTCAGCATAACGAAGCATAGTTCTTAGGTACATAAGTAGTTTTAATAATGCCAGGAGAAATAAATATACCCTATATAGTAATCTTCATTATTTAAGGATTCCTAAGTGAGAGACTGAGCCAGATTTGTTCTGAAAATAGGTCTGTTTTACACCAAGCTGTTAGAAAAGACAAATGAATTTTTAAACTTTGAAGTGTGGAGACCTTTTTGCATTTGATCCCAAAAATCTGCATTAAGGCTGAAATTACTTTTCTAAAAATTCATTTGGTAAAAAATGTTGTGTGCACAGTAGCTGTTAGAATTTATAATAAAAGCTTATGAGTTCAATACTGATATGTTTGTGAAATTCCTTTAATTAGAATTAAGTAGGTGATTGCATCAGATCCTGGACATTTTCCCAGTGAGTGCTTTAGTGTTTTAATGCCAGATTGTCGTTGGAGAAGGACTATTGTGCAATACTCATTTTCATAGTAATCACTAACTTGTTTTCAGCACTAGTTTCCTAGAATTTTTTTCTAGTCGTTTCTTAGAACTTATTACTGCTCAAAAAAAATTATAAACATTGTTTCAGCTGAAACTGAAATATCAAGAAGCCCAGTGAGTGTTGTGGTGTTTTAATGCCAGATTGTTACTGGAGAATGTCTACTGTGAAATACTCATTTTCATAGTAATCATTAACTTGCTTTTAGCACCAGTTTCCTACAATTTATTTCTAGTAGTTTCTGAGAACTTAACTGCTCAAAAAAAGTATAAACATTGTTTCAGAAACTAAAATATCAAGAAGCCCAAATACTATTGTGTTTTTGTCCTTAATATTTCTTTTAAATAGCTAAATTAAGTTAAATTAAGGCTCCAAAGGCTTTCTTGACGTTTTAGTTTGAGAATTTGCTTGCTTGAGATTTTTCTGGAAAAACATTTTTAGAAGGAACAGTATTTCTTATTTCTAGTTCCCTTTGTTCATTGAGTGTTTAAATTTCTGAGAACTTTCTTTTCTTTTCTTTTTTTTGAGACGGAGTCTCGTTCTGTTGCCCAGGCTGGAGTATAGTGGCACGATCTCGCCTCACTGCAACCTCTGCCCGCCCCGGGTTCAAGCAATTCTCCTGCCTCAGCCTCCTGAGTAGCTGGGATTATAGGCGGGCGCCACTATGCTGGCTAATTTTTGTATTTTTAGTAGAGACGGGGTTTCACCATGTTGATTGGGCTGGTCTCGAACTCCTGATCTTGTGATCTGCTTGCCTCGGCCTCCCAGAGTGCTGGGATTACAGGCGTGAGCCACTGCGCCCGGCCTAAATTGCTGAGAACTTTCAAACTGAAATTTCATCTGGATAAATTTAGTTTGTCATTATTTTGACAAAGCGTCACAGAAAGTGCCCTTTAGTTTATTTGTTCTTTGTGGACCCCTGCAATCAATGTCACTTGAGAAATTGTTAGAAATTCACATTCTTGGGCCCCCTACTCCACCTACAAAATTAGAAACTCTAAGGGTGAGACAGTCATAGCTGCCTGTGTTTTAAAGAGTCTTCCTGGTGATACTGATGCACACACAAGTTTGAGAACCACTGATACAAAGCATTGCCAACCAAAGCAAATGGCCATTTCACAGTGACATTAATTGGAGAATTAAGGAATCGGAGAGAGTGTATAATTTTGCAGATAAATATGGTCATAGAAATTATTACTTCCAATTGGTAGGTATACTTTTCCTCAGGCTCTGCCCTCAAAAATTATTAACCTGTACTGGCAGAAAAGAACATATGACTGATGAAGTTCAGGAAGCATTAACCATAAACCCAGTCATAGAGGTTAGCAGATTTATTTTTCCCTTAGATAAGCTCTCTCCTTCGGTTCCACAAGAGAATTAAGCTATACACCCTAAGACACTTAGCGTTTATACAGTGGATTACCTTATCACCCATGCATCATGTACTAGCTTTGTACAATTCTTGGGAGAATTGAGAAAATTGTCATTCAAATGGTCTGTAGGGCCTGATTCTCCCCTGGAATCCTGTTGAGAAAGACTGCCCTAGATGGTGTGTATCATCAGTTTCTCTCAGTCATTTTGAAGGCAGAAATGTTTGCTATATCGTAGCAGCAAGGGCTGTGGTCACTGCTTTAGGGTTAAAACCTCAAGACCTGCCTGTAGGTGTCAGGAGCTATTGTAGCTTTTACTATGCCATGTGGGCACTGTTTGTGTTTCATTTCTATTTTGTTGTTGTTTTTGTTGGTTTTGGTGTGGGAAAGTTGGAGAGTGCTGCAAGATTAGAATTCTTTTTGAAATTCTATAGTTGTGGTAAAAACTTTAGATCTTGAGAAGGGACATATGAGAGAACTATCAAGCACCATCTCATGTAAATGACAGATATTAGAATGGATTATCATTGGTGTTTCCCATCCTGAAAATAATGTGAGATTGAGCTAGTTAATGTGAAATTATGCAGGGACAGAACATAAAGTAAGGATTAGTGAAGTGCTTATGTATGTTAAACTCCCACCCTGTATTTTCAGGAACATTAGATTCTCCAAACATTACACCAAAAATGTTGAACATTAATTAACAACCTCTGGAAACCAAGTTGCAAAATTGTTCTGTAAAAATATCTATCGTCTCCCTGATGTATAAATACTTTTTTAGAGAGTTAGGGAAGTCTATGTCTGGAAATAAGCAAGGATCATTGCTAATTTCTGTATCATTTAACATATTTTCAACAACGAAAACTGACGGGAAAATAGGTTTTGATAGGATTGATTTTAACAAAGACAACCTGCTTGGCTACCTCTACATTCCTGGCTACAGAATTATGGTGAAGAACTAGTCTGTGGTTTTTGAAGCATTTAATTACAATGTCTAAATGCCAAGACTTTAAACACTTAAGAGTTTTGCCCTGAGTACTTTTGGAATCATTCCAAGCAGCATGTCTTTATCAGGAGTATTGTGTTAAGGAAGAGAAGACAGAACTGATTCCACTGCAGAGAGAAAAATCCATTGTTCTTTTCCATTGGAAAAGGAAAAATCCATTGTTCCTTTCTGTTTTGTGCCTGACATCTTTCTGTGCAACTGAAGAGGCCCAGCCTTTGTGGATTGGTAGTATCTAGGTTGCGCATTCGACATAAGAATTTGAAAATTCTGATTGCACTATCTAACTTTTTTGCCATAACAAATACTTAGGCATTTTAAAGTTCATTTTTGCTTTTTGAAACTTTTTAACAAAGGTTCCTGGGTTTTTGTGGGTTTTTTTTTTTTTTCTGTTTGGAAAATAACATTTGTTCTATGGAAAACTGGCAAAACGCTGAAAAGAAAACAGATCAGCCATAGTCCTTACCCAGAGATAACCACTATTAACATTTTAATGTATATCCTTTCAGGCTCTGTTGAATATAGATATTTATAGATATGCTCACACTTTAAAAAGCAAAATTGGGATCTATGCTGTTTTATTATATAACATGCATTCACAGGTGTATATGCTGGTATTTCATTAGACAAGGTCTTTTTTATGTTCTTAGTGGGGCTGCGGTAGAAACAGCAGCACAGTGGAAAGAGCTCATTACTGGACTCTTACATCATCTGAGTTTTTTCTAATGACCTTGTGAGATGAGCGTTATTATCATCTCCATACTAAAATTCCAGCTTTGCCACTAATAGCTTTCTTCGTGGTCTTGAACATGCCACATAATTTCTCTCAGAGAAGATTCCTCATACAAGAAAGTGAGATCATTAAACTAGATAACTTCTTAAGGTTCAGCTTTAAATTTTTATGCTGTGACAGATGGTAAGCATTTATAGGAAATATTTTTTCATTTTTCCTCACTAAAACATATTTTATTCTAAACATTTCTTCACTGTATTACTGTGTCCTTCATTTTTTTCTTCCCCTTTCATCATATATGACTTGTGGTTCACAGTTGTTTTTATATCCTTAACTTACTGGTCTTACTCCAAGTTAAATCTGCCACTTCATCTTTAACTCTGGTCAGTCATGTCATGTGTTTGTTAAACTCGTTGTATAAAAACTGATTTTAACTGAGCCTATAGGATGCCTGATTTTTGCTTTGGGTGTTAACCCCAGATTGGTGGTTTTAATTCCTGGCTCCAGGTCATTTTCAACACCTGGGAATCTTCTGCATACTACCAGCGCCACAGGGCTCCCTGAAATTAATTAAATCGGAATCTGGACTTAAGAGCCATTGCTCTATATTACATTTGGGTTTACAACCATTGTCTGGTTTTCTGTAATTAGTTTAGAGCATGGATATATTGATTTTATATTTTTCCCATAATTTTGTTATTGAGACCAGAAGTAAAGGAGACCATTCACTGTAAGTATTTGCCTTAATTATTTAATCCTTTGTTCCCGCTATGCTACCAAATTATATTGTGTCTATTCCTTAGGCCCAAAAGTCTGCTTCCCTTATCACTGTGGTTAAATCATTGTTAGTTTCTCTATTTGTAAATATAAATTCTTTTGGAGTACAAATGTTTATTTCTAGCTTTTAAGAAAAGTTTTTATATTTTCAGTTTAAATCTTTTTTAGTTATCTCCAATACCATCAAGCCAGCACTTTGTTTTACTTTTAACTAGGAATAAGGCTATTATTAATAATTAAGCTATAGGTAATTCCCAGATTCATTTTAGTCAGTGGTGCCAGGGAGAAAATAAGCTCAGATAAAAGTAAAACATATCTAATGATATCCCTTCATACTCAGTCGTGGGCACCCTAAAGTGTTAAGATGGGACTATGGAACTATGAATTACTGCCAATTCAGAGAATTTAAAGTCAGAATCATTTCATACCTACCAGTTCTGTTTAAGGAGTAGTAACTATAAACAGTTATATGATACGTAGCAGTTAACGAATACTTTATTGCTTAGTAGATTATCATGTTTGATCCTCTTAATAACCTCATGAGATGTGTTATCACCTCCATATTTATTATCTGAATCTCAGAAGGGTTAAGTGACTTGTTCCAGCTCACTAAAATTTATGAATTCAGCTTTTCTACTCCAAAGCCCCTGTCCTTTTCACACTTCAAGGCAAACTAGTTATAATAAAAGAGTCTAAGTCAAACACAGAATTATGTTCTGCAGTAACGTATCATGTTCAAAGTCAAAAGAGCCCTCTTTTGTTATGCATTATTAACTTTAAGATACTGTTTAGTGTGACTGGAATCATTGGAGTCATATTTGCCCTTCTCTTTTGAACTAAATTATCCAGGTACATTGACAATTCCTGAACTTGTGAAGTGCAGAAATACAGGGCTTGAATTATACAACTAATAATGTAGCATACAATTTATTTTATAGCTGAGACCTAGATGGGAGAAAGATTTTTATACAAGTAAAGGGTTTTTAATTAAGCCTAAAGGAATTATGGTTCATAACAGAACCAGAAAAAGTCCTTCAAATCCTGTTCCTTGTTTACATTAGCTCACATGGTAGATGATCATAGATGGTTATGATAATCACAGCAGAATTCCAATTAAATTCCTTTATAACAGCATAACCCCTCACTGATACCCCTTAGTAACTTTAATTTAGATTAGACTGTAAAGCAATCAGTAATTTAATCCATTCTCCCAGCCAAGATTCTCATAAGTGAGTGGCCAAACTTCCTGTCTTACCAGGGGAGGAGGAGATAGTCAAGATGTGACTGCCTTTTGATCATTTGATACTTTCTTAATTATTGTGTGGTATACACTTCGTTTGTAATGATTGGACTATTTCTTGAGTGTCTAATACATGAAACATTTCTTTTTTTTCACATATATTTTTATTCTCCTGAATGACTTTTTGTAAAAGGCTGGGGTTTTTGTTGTTGTTATCTCTCAATTCTTATTAATATTTAAATTTTTTCATTATTGCTAAAGCCTATAAATAGTTGTTTTTAACTATATTAGTTCTAGGCACAGACAGGGTGGAGCAGATGACCAAAACTTACAATGACATCGACATGGTTACACATCTCCTGGCAGAGGTAGGAATATCTTTTCTTTCTCCAGTACAAAAAGGTAAAACTTGAGGATCATTTGGAATCTATCAAATTTGCACATCAAATGGAAAATGTTGTACGTGCTCTGGGTTATTTTGTATAAGGTTGTTGCTACTGGAACAACTGACATTTCAAAGTAGAATGTTTCCTAAAGTTTATTATTGTAATGCTATACAGGATTTTTAGTTATTTATTTATTTAATGGTGTTGACTTGCCTCCCCTTCCTAGAAAAGCATTAATCTTAAAAAAAAAATCATTTTAAAATAATGCCTGCTGTTACTTACTCTACAGCAGAGCTGCCCATTCAGAAAGCAGTATCATTATCATTGCAAATCAATACCTGCAGTTTGGAGCATCTCCCCTTTTTTACTTTTAGTTTGGGCTGTGATTTGAGCTCACTTTGTCTATGGCATTTTTAATATGTATAGTGTATCTCCTCTAGTTGGCAATCAGTAGAGGTCTCCCTTTGTACCTGTTTCAGTTGATCTTATGGAAGACAGTCTTTCTTTAACATATCCTTCTCCCCTCTCCCCCCAGCTCTCCAGAATGATTTCTATGTATGCCATTTAGCGATTATTTAAAATGAGCCTTAAAAATGTGGAGATAATCCCTCCATTTTCATATGCCTATGGAGAGAAAGGATAGAAGCTTAATTTTATTTATATAATAATTACTGTAAGCAGATCATATATAAGGCAGTGAGATGTATATTGACAGTTTTCTATCCTATAGAATACAGTCTTCACCACTACCACACAGATGGAATTCCTATGCCCTTGCGAAGTATCACTATCTGCCCAGAAATAATAACTCTGGGTGGAAGCCTATTGCTTGACTTTTCTACAGACTTCCCTGCATTACCACCAGCTTCTTGAGACTTCTTTCTTCTCTATACTCTAGGCAGAATCCTGTGGCCTCAAAATTTCCAGTCTTTTATCTCCTGTTTTATTTCATATCATCATTCTTGAACCAGTTGACAACAGAGCTCTTGGCTGCACTTCCCTCTAAGCTGCTGAATGCACATAAGCTTTGCCCTAAATGGAACTCTTTTTTTACATACGTACCTGATCCATATCTTAAATACCTAATTCTGTATCATTACCATGCTTGATACACAATTGCTTTCAACAAATATTTGTTGAGCTTTTACTGTACAGACCCTATCCTCATTTTTAAAGACTATGTTGATTTTCCAATTCCCCAAAATTGTAAGTTTAAAGTTTGGGTTGCTAGACTCTTAATTTACTAGGATGATCAATAAATCTCACTTGATATCAAGAAAAGAGATGTCCTCTTGCATTTAGAACAGTGGTGGTCATCCATTTGACCAACGTTTTAAAGCACTACCTGTGTGCCAGACCCTGTGTTTATTCATTTTAATGAATGAATGAATCTTGATGCTTTCTAGGACGTTGCTTTTGATTTTACCAAAACTGACCACAAAATTTCTGAACTGCCATTTAACCTTGTTTATACTCAAAGAAAAGGTGTATTTGGTATTTTAACAGAGGGATCGTGATCTGGAACTCGCTGCTCGAATTGGACAAGCTCTCTTAAAGCGGAACCATGTCTTATCTGAGCAGAACGAATCCCTGGAGGAGCAATTGGGACAAGCCTTTGATCAAGTAAGCCTTTGATCAAATGTCTGCAGTATGAAATAATTAGGTTTTATGCAATTGAAAATTTATTTTCCTAGGTGTCCCTGAAATGATGGCAATAGATAAATAACACCAGTACTTGTTCACTTTGTTGGTGTCCATTAAACTAATCAGTAGAGAAATTAAATGTTAATTGTACAGAGGAGAACTCACGTAACTACCTTGGTCAACTTAAAGTCTATATTAAGTATCTGTAATACCTGTGGCACCCTGCTTAGATATTAAAACTATCCATACCCTTTTGTGTAGACTTTGTGTGTGATCTTATCTGAAATTTATTTTTAAAAAATAGGTACCCAAATATGTGGGTATCTTTATTCAAAAACCAAACAAAGGAAGAAAGTAAAAAGAAACTTTGAAAATATATTTATTCTATAGCAATAAACGTTTGTAGTGAGAACTGACTTATTATTAACTTGGATGGTTACATTTCAAATTTTCTGTAACTTGTTATTTTTATCTGGTTTCGTTTGTATTTTATGAATGCATTATGGATGATAGCATTTGAGCCTTTAGGTTGAAACTATTTGTTCCGAGAACTAAAATCAGTACTCCTAGGAAGACATGCACAGTGATATACATCTTAAAATTACAAGCCCTTATGATAAGAGTTTGAAGTAGGGATCTATTCTGATACTTTGAAGGTTCTTCAGTTTTGTCATGTTTTCAACTATGAATGTATTATTATCTTACGTGAATTTTTCTCCTATATTCCTATCATATATATACAATAAGAAAATTAGCTTTTCTTCTCACCTAGGAGGGAAAAAAGCTGTACTGTTGAATTAATGCTCTAAAATTGTAACTTAGGAGGTATCTGGGGTTTGTTATTCTCTTTTTAGTACTTGTTGCGTTAGTCAGTAAAACCTAGCAGCTGATTTTGTGATTTTCTTTTGTGATGAAAAATAATTGTTCCATGAATTAGAAGCTATATTGCTATAAATAATGCAAAATAAAGAACATGAAAATCAAGCATTTTATATGGACAGGTTAATCAGCTGCAGCATGAGCTATGCAAGAAAGATGAGTTACTTCGAATCGTCTCCATTGCTTCTGAAGAAAGTGAAACTGATTCCAGCTGTTCTACACCTCTTCGGTTCAATGAGTCCTTTAGCTTATCTCAAGGGTTGCTGCAGTTGGAAATGCTGCAAGAAAAGCTCAAGGAACTGGAAGAAGAGAATATGGCTCTTCGATCCAAGGTACGTTCAACCTAATTGCCATTTTCCTTTACTTTAAAGGCTATAAAGTTCAGGTCCAGGTACTATTGAGGTGAAATATGGCATAAGTAAGGATTTGCTATTGGCATTCCAATTAGAGAGTCGTGGACAAGGAGCTGTATTTTTCTTGCCTTCCACTGTTCTTAGATCCCACTGAAAAGTGGATAGTAGCAGGTTGACAGTACAATAGTGAAAGTCACAGGATAGAAAATGTATCTTGTGGAGTTTACGCAAGTAACTAAGTAGTTACAACTGTGATAACTTTTACACAAGTAACTAAGTAGTTACAACTGTGATAAGAACTATCTCAGAAAATCACAATATTCTGTGAACTTGTATAGTATGGGCATCAAGGAAGTCCTACTTAAGCAAGGATCATTTTAGCCAAGGCCAGGGATGAGCCAGGTAGAGATGTATGAACAGGTTGTTGGGTTTTTTCCTTTGTAAGTGATGAAATTTAGTCTTCAAATGAGAATTAAAGGTTTTTGTAGTTATTTCTATAAAATCACTAGAAGGTATTGTCACATACTGATTTTTTTCTTGAAGGCTTGTCACATAAAGACAGAAACTGTTACCTATGAAGAAAAGGAACAACAGCTTGTCAGCGACTGTGTTAAAGAACTTCGTGAGTATTAACATATTCTCTTTTGTACCTTTTTGGACAATTCTTTGGTAGGGTATCTCCACCTCGGAAGTTAGATCACTGGTTTCAGTAGAAGCATCTCAAGAAACAATTTTAAATGGTTACTGAAAATCTTAGAATATCACATTGAGCCTACAACCCTAAATAAGATACCATATGTATTTTTAAGAAATATATTTGTTTCAAATTGCAATTATCATTACAGACCTATGTTTTGTAAGTAAGTTATAGCATGTTAGAGTGAAAGGAACCAAAGCTCTCATATTGTTGATGAGGAAATAGTCCTGTAGAGGAAGATGATATGCCAAAGTCAGAAAACTGGTAAGTGGCAGAGCCAGGGCTTAAATGATGGCATAAAACCTAACAATCAATGAGTATAAAGTGCCAGTTATGTTTCTTTAAAGGAATGTGTTTTAGTTTGAGGTAATGTTAACCAATTTTTTAAAACAAGTCAGTTGGAAAAAGATTGGCTTCACTGGAGAAAGATAAATTTAATTTCTCCATAAATACAACAGTTGTCCCTTACCTGCAGTTTCACTTCTCATTGTTTCTGTTAACCGTGGCCAACTGCAGTCTGAAAATATTAAATCAAACATTCCAGAAATAAACAATTCATGAGTTTCAAATCGCGAACCATTCTGAGTAGCGTGATGAAATGTTGTGCCATCCTACTCCATACTTCCCAGGATATGAATCATCCGTTTGTCCAGTATCTCCACGCAGTATATACTACCTGCCTTCAGTCACTTAGTAACCATCTCTTAGTAGCCGTCAGTTACCAGGTCAACTATCGCAATATTGCAGTACTTGTGTTCAGGTAACCCTTATTATACTTAGTAATGGCCCCAAAGTGTGCTGATATATTGTTATAATTATTTTATTATTAGTTATTAATCTCTTACTGTGCCTAATTTATAAATTAAGCTTTATCATCGGTATTTATTTGTAGGAAAACACATAATATATACAGTATAGAGTTCAGTACTATCTGTGGTTTCAGGTACCCACTGCAGGTCGTGGAATGTATTCCCGACAGATAAGAGGGGACTACTGTATATAGCCTTTTACATTGAAAACAATGATATGAAAATATCACATCAATTCATTTGGGCTATGGGCTTCAAAATGTGATATCTTAGAATAGCAGAATACTAGAGAACCGGAAGGAATGTAAATTGAATTTTCTCCTCCACCATGAAAACATTACCCACCTTTTACACTTTAAAATACAGGAAATGACTTGCCCAAGAGCTCTCAGATCCAGATCTCCTGCCTGTGTATCGCCATCCTTTGAAATATTAGAGGCTATCTGTCAATTTTAAAATAGCTTTACATGACACTGAGAAGTAGCTTTTCTGCTTGTATTTACATGTCAAATTTTTCATATGAGATAGAGAGTGAATAAATTCCTAGTGGAATTCTAAAGGCTCTATTTTATGTGCATGTAAGAAGGCCAGGCTATAACAATTGCTCTAGAGGCTTTACTCAGTTTGCCACATATCCCTGAAAGGGGTATGCCAGAAAGTCTGTCTCCTACAGAAGCATTTCCGTAGCTTTATCACATTCTGTTATAGATTGTGACTGTTCCATTCTGGAAATGTTCCTTTGTTAGATTTGTTAAGATTAATTTTCATTGCTTGTGGGATTTTATGTCCCTAAAGAGTTCTCAAAGAAATGAATGAGATTATCTCTTTGCACTTGCCCTCCTTTCAGCCTTCTTTCCTTCATAAAGAAAAAGATTGAGCAAATATCGTTTTCATAAAGAAAACGATTGAAGCAAAACCTTTAGCCTGCTTGCCTTTATAAGTCGTCTCTCTTTTTAGCTTCATTGTCTCCTATTCTGTTCCCAGCATTTGCCTATTTCAGAAGAACTTTTATTTTTCTCTATTGGTTTCTCTGGATTTTTTTTTATGTTTAAGAAAAATCTATTCACGACAGTCCAGTGCTTGTTATAAAACAAGATTTAGCTCACAAGTCATAGTTTGCCAACTCCTTCTCTACATTTGTATTAATTTAAAAAAATTTTTTTTGCTTCCAAGGTGAAACAAATGCTCAGATGTCCAGAATGACTGAAGAATTGTCAGGGAAGAGTGATGAGCTGATTCGATACCAAGAAGAGCTTTCCTCTCTTTTGTCACAGATTGTAGACCTTCAGCACAAACTTAAAGAAGTAGGTTTATTCATTCATTCAACAGATATTTGTTAAGCACTCACATAGTATCTTGCACCATGCTAAGTGCTAGATACAATAAACAAAATAAACATTGTCCCTGCCCTTTTAAAATGCCCTAATCTGATTGCTGTTTTAATCATCTTTATGTCATATAAGATATCATGAATAAATACTTTCAAGTCATTATTTCTCTTTGTAAAATGGGGTTAGTGCTTCCTCAGAAAGTGGTGTAAATTATTGACTCATGCCCATTGTCCTCTGAACACCTTGATAGATTTTGTATTCGAATGCCTATCTTATTTAGCTTTTGAAAGGTTAGCTTTTTGTAGGCTTTAAGATGATACCCCAGAGAGAAATTCTTCACATGTCTTTATAAGAAAGAGAATAGCTATATTTTACTTGGAAAGGCTTCACATGTCTTTTTTAATATGTTGTTAGCATGTGATTGAGAAGGAAGAACTAAAACTTCACCTGCAAGCTTCCAAAGATGCCCAACGGCAACTGACAATGGAGGTAATGAAATCTTTATCTTGTGTAATTCAGGAGGGGAAAGAGTGACTAGTTTCTTTCATCTTCATGAATAAGAATTATTAAAGGGGAATTACCAGATTTAAAAAACAACAACAAAAGGTTAAGATGATATTATGAGATCTAAGAAGTAAAGCATTTTGGCTGGTTGTGGTGGCTCACGCCTGTAATCCCAGCACTTTGGGAGGCCGAGGTGGGTGGATCACCTGAGGTCAGGAGTTCAAGACCAGCCTGGCCAACATGGTGAAACCCCATCACTAATAAAAATACAAAAGTTAGCTGGGCATGGTGGTGGGCATCTGTAATCCCAGCTACCCAGGAGGCGAAGCAGGAGAATCACTGGAACCCAGGAGGTAGAGATTGCAGTGGGCCCAGATGTGCCACTGCATTCCAGCCTGGGCAACAAAGCAAGACTTCGTCTCAAAAAAAAAAAAAGAAAGAAAAAGAATAAAGCATTTTAAAAGTCCTGTCCCTAAAACTAGTAACGTGGTAACATCCTTCTTGATTAATAGGGAAAACCTCAACTTTATAAGATTCTTTAGGAGTATATCACTCTTTTACCAGCTGACCTAAACTAGCTCAACAGTTTTTAAAATAAGATAAGTTCTAGTAGTAAATCTTTGTGCAGGTGTGTCAGGAGAAGAAGCAAAAAATCTCTTACTTTCTATCTACATAAAATTTTATTTATTAAATATAACTTAGTGATTCTTTAGCATGCATTAGTATCACCTGGAGCCAAGCACAGTAGCTCATGCCTGTCATCCCAGCACTTTGGGAGGCCAAGGTGGGAGGATGGCTTGAGCCCAGGAATTTGAGACCAGCCTGTACAACATAAGGAAACCTTCGTCTCTACAAAACAATCAAAAACTTAGCTAGGTGTAGTGGTGCACGCCTGTGGTCCCCGCTATTTGAGAGGCTGAGGTAGAAGGATCACTTAAGCCCAGAAGATTGAGACTGTAGTGAGCCATAATCACACCACTGCACTCAACCCTGGGCAACAGAGTGATATCTTGTAGGAGGGAGGGGGAAAGAATCACCTCGGAGAGCAAGTTTTAAATGGCGATTTCCAGGCACCATCCCAAGAGCTTCTACTTCAAGTGGTCTGGAGTGAGAGCCTAGAATCTGCATTTTTAATAAGCATCTTCAACCCTGGTGATTCTGATGAACTGGGGCATATACTGCACTTGAAGAAATTTTACAGTTAAAATATACTCTGAAAATTATGTACTCTTTTATCAGATGTGTATATCTAGTTGTAAAGAAGGTTCTGAAACAAGGCACGAAGATCTACTTGTTTAGGAGGATTGAGCACACTGACATTGTATATAACACTTTGTAGGCTCTTGATCTTGTCACTTACAGACTTCAGAGTGATGTTTAAAAAGATTAATATTATACTAAACCTAACTTGACTGTAGCTGTTATACTTCCTCTGTTAAGTGTATGAAGCATTCAATATTAAATTGACAGTTCTGGTAGTCTAGCTACGTTTCAGACTTTCAGGAAGTCACATCCGTGTATAATTTTGGCCAAGACACCCCTCCCTAATTCTGGTAGCTCAATATATATATATACGCTTCTTGCTTAGTTTGTTTTAGTCTTTGTATTGAAATGATATTCATAAAGTTAGCTAGCCCTCTGGGTAAAATCAATACTTATCCCAAAAGGTTTCGGGTTTTTTTTCCCTAATGTTGTTTTGGGAAGGCAATAAAGTACACTACCATCCTTTCTTTTAGCTGCACGAGTTACAAGACAGGAATATGGAGTGTCTAGGAATGTTACATGAATCCCAAGAAGAAATAAAGGAACTTCGTAGTAGATCTGGCCCTACTGCTCATCTCTACTTCTCCCAATCATATGGAGCTTTTACTGGGGTAAGCAACTAAGAAAGAT
Source organism: Homo sapiens (assembly GCF_000001405.40). Taxonomy (NCBI): domain Eukaryota; kingdom Metazoa; phylum Chordata; class Mammalia; order Primates; family Hominidae; genus Homo; species Homo sapiens. Next base: position 201,392,889 of record NC_000002.12, on the reverse strand, counting down.
GCTATGTATTTAAAGAAATTTGTTTAAGATTAGTTTGTCCTAAAAGTTTGATGGTTTATGATGGTATAAAACATCTGGAGAAGAGATTTTTTCCTTGTTTCTGGACTCCAATTATTGATTTAGGCCCTAATTTGTATATTGACATCTTCCTTAATACTCTTATTTATTCTAACAGGTGACTTTCCAGATATATTGTATCAATAATACATAAGATGAGCCCTAAGGAAATTCAGTTTAGGACTGTGTACCATAGAACTAGTTAAACTTGGGTCATCCTACCCTAGGCCCACAGCCTGCCACTTACTTAAGTGGTGCTTTGAATATCTAAAACCTCTTTCAATAAATCTTGAGTCTCCTGATATTTTTAACTTGTTAGAATGTAAGCTTCATGAGAACAAGATTCATCTTTGTTTGATTCATTTATAAATGGTATTTTTGTATTAAAAAATTAATAAAAACTTCTGAGTTTATATTAGAATTTGTAATGTTGGTTCAAAGAGTTGTTTTAACAATCTGATTCTTAAACTTCTGTGCAATCCTGTGAACTTTTTTAAAAGACTGAAACTATACATTTTAGTAGATTTTCTTAAAAATAGGGAGGCATAATTTTGTTTTTTATGTTTGAAATAATTTTAAACTTAGAGTAAAGTTCCAAGAGTAGTATAAAGAATTTTTGTATATCCCTCACATCGATTCTTCAGTTTTTAACATATTATTGCTTTTGCCATATCATTCAATCTCTCTTTCTCTTTCTTTCCCCCTGGGCTATTTTAACAGTAAGTTGCTGATATACCTTATTACCCCGTAGTACTTAAGTGTGTATTTACTAAAAACGAGGACATTTGGACACTCTTAAGGACACTGTCCTACATAAACGCACTACAACCATCAGCATCAGGAAGTTGATGTTTATGCAGTATTATCATCTAATCCACAGAGCCCATTCAAATTTTTCCAGTTGTCTCACTAATGTCCTTCAAAGGATACATTGAATTTTGTTGTTTCCATCTGGGACAGTTCTTCTGTCTTTATTTCTCTTTCGTGACTTTTGTAGGATGTCCTCAGTTTAGGATTGTCTGATGCATCCTCATGATTAGATTCCAGTAATGCATTCTTGGCAGAAATCATGCCATATTCTCAGAGCATGGTTTCAAGAGGTGCATAATGTCTGTTTAGCCCATTGCAGGTGGTATTAATTAACTTTGATCTCTTGGTTAAGGTAATCTGCTGGTTTTTTCCACTGTAAAGTTAACGGTAATTAACAGTTAATTAAATTAACACTACTAATTCACCGTGTAGTGATGAAAATCGGCAGATACTACCCCAACCAAGTGATCAAAGTAAACATTTTATGAGAGATACTTTGAGACTAAGTATCCTGTTCCTCATCAAACTATTACCCACTAGTTTTAGCACCCATTGATGGTTCTTATCTGGCAGAGTTATTACAGTGATGACTGCCAAATGGTGATTTTCAAATTTCATCATTTTTCAACATTTATTAATTGGCATTTTTCTTTTGTAAGTTAGTGCATTCCTGTCCCATTTATTTGTTCATTTGTTCACTTAGGTATGTCATGGACTCATGGATTTCTATTTTATTCAATAGATTACAAGCTATTGTTGTATATTCAATCTGTATGTAGGATATTCAGATTGTCCTAGATATGATCAGTAGGATCTCCTTTAAGCTGATCTTGTACTTTTTGTCTCAGCCCTGGAATCAGCCATTTCTCCAAAGAGCTCTGGTTACTTTTATTGAAGAATTGTATTTCGAATCCAAGATCTGGGTGTTAGGTGTGCCCATTGATTGCTACTAGAGTATTGTGGCTTCTAGTCCCTCTCAGCAGGTAGGACTAGGAAATATATGTATTTCATACCTATACCTATACTATATATGTGTATATATATGTTTTCATCCATATATATATAAATATATATAATCATGAGTTCACACCATTGCCTCCAATTCCAGTCATCCTCAGCTGAGTCCCACTGAGCATGTCACCCATATTAGTTGAGTCCTCACCCCTGACCAGAGGAAGAGGAAGCTTGCTTTTTTTTTAAATGATTTTTAATGTTATAAAAGCTATGCATGTTTATTACAGAAAAGTTGGAAATTACAGAAAAGCAAAAAGCAATCGTTAAATACCATTAAATTCCACCCTCCACAGAATCACTGTCAACACTAGATTTAGTCCTCATCCCTGACTGGGGGGAAGAGGAAGCTTGCTTGTTCTTTTTTTTAAGTGATTTTTTAATATTATAAAAGCTATACATTGTTTTTTGTTGGTATTTTTGTTTTTACTTTTTTTTTTTTTTTTTTGAGACGGAGTCTCGCTCTGTCACCCAGACTGGAGTGCAGTGGTGCGATCTCAGCTCACTGAAAGCTCTGCCTCCCGGGTTCACGTCATTCTCCTGCCTCAGCCTCCCGAGTAGCTGGGACTACAGGCGCCCGCCAGCACACCCGGCTAATTTTTTTTTTTTTTTTGTATTTTTTTGTATTTTTAGTAGAGACAGGGTTTCACCATGTTAGCCAGGATGGTCTCGATCTCCTGACCTCGTGATCCACCCACCTTGGCCTCCCAAAGTGCTGGGATTACAGGTGTGAGCCACCGCACCCGGCCAGCTATACATGATTATTATAGAAAAGCTAGAAATTACAGAAAAGCAAAAAAAAAATTGTTAAATACCATTAAATCTCACCCTCCACAGCATCACTGTCAACACTGGGTTTATGGCCTTTCAGACCTTTTGTTTTTGTGTGCCTGCACATATATTTTCTATTTATCATATCAGCTTTTTCCACTACTTTCCTATTTGAAAAGATTATGAAAAGGTAGTTGGTTCTTATTTAAAAGTTATATTTCCAGAATGTCTTTTTTCCCCTGAATGTTAGCCTTGACTATTTCCTTGTATTTTATTATAAAACCAAAAGTATAGGATTGTAGAGACTCTGTTAATTTAAGGGCAACAATCACTTTAGAAATCTCAAACTCTTTTTCTTAGGAATCTTTGGCAGCTGAGATTGAGGGGACTATGCGTAAAAAGCTGAGTTTGGATGAGGAATCTTCTCTCTTTAAACAAAAGTAAGTACAGGTCACATGTGTTGTTACTCAATCATTGGAATAGAAATTAAAAAGAAGCCACAATCCAAAGTGGCAAGTATTACGAGATTCAGTAGTAATTTGCTTACTATTCAGTGTTTTCCTCACAGTGTCCTTTTTTTGTGAGAGAGTTCTCTTGTTTGAAAGCTTATTTTCTGATGATTTCTCCTAAATAGCTCCTCAGGGTGGCTTTATTTCTGATGGACTGCACATACATTCTCTTCTCTAGATGCTTTAGTGGCTAGCAGTGATAATAACGAACACTTCCTTTTTTGACAGAGCCCAACAGAAGCGGGTATTTGATACCGTCAGGATTGCCAATGACACACGGGGCCGCTCTATCTCATTCCCAGCTCTGTTACCCATTCCAGGCTCCAACCGTTCAAGTGTCATCATGACAGCAAAACCTTTTGAGTCTGGTCTTCAGCAAACAGAGGACAAATCACTCCTGAACCAGGGGAGCAGCTCAGAGGAGGTTGCAGGGTAGGAATCCGATGATAACAGTGATTCTGCATTTCTTTTCACATTGCCGCACCAGATTCACATACGCACATTCCAGCATTACTCTACTGTCCCAAGAAGGTTCTGGAACTGTCAGTTTTCCTTCACTTATGATGCCTTGTATCATTATTCATGAGACAGATCATGCCAAAGTCAAATTTTTTTGAATCTGTTTGGTCACTAGCATGAATACATCGGATGACACCTTCTCATAATCCGTGCTCATAATCTCAACCGCTTTGGTGATTTTTAGGATAAATGTAAGTTTGAATACATCTTGAGGACCATCGAGGTGCTGTCGATTTTCTGTTTATTTAAACTTGGATTTTTTTTTCATTCCTTTTATTAATTCAGTACATTGAATTCTATATAACTAGAAGGTAAACAACTTTACTGAAAAGTGAGCTGAAAGCTTTGCAAGATAGATGTTTGGCACCAAAGGGAAATGTTTCCTAACATAAAAATTCATCACACTAGGTTTCAGTTGCATTGCCTGGTCTGTCCTGGGCAGTGTTCTGCACCCACAGCAGCTTTGTGTCCTACTGCCTCACTGTCACACAATTATCTTAGGAGAAGATCTGAAACACATTTATGTGGATTTATACCCCAGTATCCCAGAGTACCCACAACTCAGCTTGCTGATCTTCCATTTGATATCAATTATAAGATAGCTTCCAGTTTCAAAAGTGTTGAAGTCAAAAAATGGGCATCAGACAACTATAAAAATGCAGTATTATATACAAATTTTGTTGTTTCCTTTTAAATGTTCTGCAGTGTTGATGGGTGATTCTGTGACCCAAAGCAAATTTTTTTCATATTTTAATATTTTTTAAATTATTATGTTTTGTAACTGATAGTATGCCTTAGTTTAATCCGTAGCGTTTTTTTCCTTCTTTATGATACATAAAATAATGGTACCTCTTGCAATCTATGATACAGATTCAGCAAAATATAATATTTACTTTCGTGACCACCTAATATGAATTTATAGATGGTTGAATGTGTAGTTTCATAAATTAAATGAAATAGAAAATTCAGAAAACACAGAATATCAATAAAGTATTATCTTGCCTTTCAAGTCATTTGCAATGATCTGTAAAAATGATATATAGTGTTGTTGGTGATTTTGGTTTGTTGTTATTACTTCTATATTCCAGGTATCTAGGAAAATATCATGTTTTTAATATCAGTCTCTTGAATGCTTACCATTATAGAAAGGAGAGGTCTGGGTCATGCTGATGATCCTCAAGATCTAATCAGTGAACGCGATTTTCCTATAGGAGCTCCCAGAAGATGGGCCAACCAGGACCCTCAGGAGATAGTGATTTGGCTACAGCACTGCATCGCCTTAGCTTGCGTCGACAAAACTATTTAAGTGAGAAGCAGTTCTTTGCTGAAGAATGGCAGCGGAAGATCCAGGTTCTGGCAGACCAGAAGGAAGGAGTTAGTGGCTGTGTCACCCCGACAGAGAGCCTTGCCTCTCTCTGCACCACCCAGTCAGAGATCACAGACCTCAGCAGTGCCAGTTGCCTTCGAGGTTTTATGCCAGAAAAATTACAAATTGTCAAGCCCCTTGAAGGTAATAAATCAGTAAGGGCCCTTACTAAGCCATGTGACTTACTGGAAGTTCCTTTCCCTGGAATTGAGATTTGTGTCTTAATTATAGGAACATTATGTGCAGATGATCTTTTTATCCCTTAATCTTGCTGTTTGGGTGGCAAGACTGTAGTACTTTGTGGAAAATTAATGAATGAAGAGAGTTGCATTCTCTGAATCATCAGCCAGCAGTTCTCTTCTGATGTTTTTTAATATAAACGTGAGCAGGGAAGAGGAGTAATCTTTTTCTGTCCTTTGCTAAGGAATATCATTGACAGCAGTTTCCATGGTTAGATGAATAAGATATGATAAATGATAATGATCTAGAGATAATAATTCATCTCCACCTTCCTTTTCAAAAGAGTTTTTTACCCAAAAGTATAATTGACTTAGAGGTGTGTGTGTACCTGTATTTTTCCTTTTTTCAGTTTAGTTTCTATACTCTCCTAAGAAAGAGCTTGAATTCAAAATAAATTCCTTCATTTTCTGGAACAATGACAATCATTGAATGATTCTCTGATATTATCCTAAAAGAGTTCTGCATTAAATGAAATTTTGAGTGTGTAACTTATAAAGACCCCTCAAACTCAAAGATTTTATAACTTAGTTGTATTCATTAATGATCAGTGCAGATATTTGTTGGAGTTGCCATTTTTAGGATGAAATGACTACAGTGACATAATTAGACATTGCATCTGGTGCAATTACTTGGGATGATCATTCACCAGGGTTCTGTAGCCTGGAACCAGTAGAACATATCCTCCTTTTCATTATCTTCTTCATTTTCCTATTCTCCCTGGGAGCCTGGCTTTTGACTTTCACCTTCATAGGCATAGTTCCAGGCCAGAGAAGTATTGACTTTTTTGTCACCTGGGAAAATACAGCCCACCTCTTAGGCACGTATCTTCCATCACTGCCTCAGCAGCTAAGCTCCTTTCCTATTAAGGGTGTCTCCTTGGGTTTTTTTTCACCCCTTTAGGTGTCCTCCTTAACTATTAAAACAGATTATGACTCATACCTTTGACATCTTGTCATCTTCCACTGAAAACTTTAATTTGCAGCTTTTACCAAATTATTAACACCAAATAAATAGTTTTATTGCTGTCATTATTGTTATTACACATATAATTTTAGCTTGTGTTTTAAGATTTGTGGGAAATGTAAAACATGCCTTTCCCCTTCCTTTGTTTTGCATATTCAGGATCACAAACTCTGTATCACTGGCAGCAGCTTGCTCAACCAAACTTGGGAACCATCCTTGATCCACGACCAGGTGTCATTACTAAAGGCTTTACCCAGTTGCCCGGGGATGCTATTTATCACATCTCAGATTTAGAAGAGGATGAAGAGGAGGGTATTACTTTTCAGGTTCAGCAACCTCTTGAAGTGGAAGAGAAACTTTCAACATCCAAGCCAGTAACAGGGATCTTCCTGCCACCCATTACTTCAGCAGGTGGACCAGTTACAGGTGAGAAGAGTGTCTGGTTGAATATGGTATAATAACCAGAAGTACTTTGCATTCTGACTTACTAGACAGTCAGCTGGCTACCTCTGCTCACTGGAGGGTACTTAATCTTGCATATCAGATAATGAAAATCTATAGCATTAGTGGCATTCCTAATTCTCTCCACTTTATCTTAGCCAGCCTGCGTTAGTAGATTGGGTAGAGAGCTGGATGAATTCAAGTCAGTGGTTCACAAACCTTTTGGGCTCAGAAACTCTTTATACTCTAAAAAATCATTGAGAATTCCAGAGAGCCTATCTGTGCAGGTTATATCTATTGACATTTAATATATCATAAATCAAAACTGAAAAACCATAAAAATATGTATTAACTCATTTAAAATAATTGTGTTACACAAATATGTTTAATGAAAAATAGCTAATTTTTTTACATAGTGAGAAAAACAGTTGTTCAAGTCTCTAATTTTTGACTTAATACAAAATAGCTTTATTCTCATTATCAGCATCTGCCTTCAGTCTATTGCAATATGTTGTTTCAGTTGAACAATATGAAGGAAATGCAGCCAGGCACAAACATGCAGTTGGAAAGAGTGTTTTAATAGTCTTTTCAGATATGTGTAGCTATTTTTTGATATTACACTAAAACTAGGTAAGTAGTAGTTTCTTGAACGTTTGTAGCAATGTGAGATCTGAAACCCTAACAATGAACTTTTCATTACTTTGTTAACATTAAAATGCATTGGTCAGGCTGGGTGTGGTAGCTCACACCTGTAATCCCAGCACTTTGGGAGATCGAGGTGGGCAGTCACCTGAGGTCAGGAGTTTGAGACCAGCCTGGCCAACATGGTGAAACCCTGTCTCTACTAAAAAAAAAAAAAAATTAAATTAAATGCATTGGTCGTATCCTACATTTTGAATATATCTTTGAGCCATGCTTGATTTTTAAGATCATGCGTTGGTCATTTAGAAAATGTTGATTGGTTCATGGAGTTATGCAGATTTTCCAAATATTGGCACATTTTATTACGTAAAAATATTAAAATCATATTAATATCACCACCTACTCATCAGAAAAGTCTTCAAGGATGTTCATGCTTTCAGTGGTGGATACGAGTTTTCCAAAACTCACTTTTTCTTGAAAGCTCACATTTTGTTAGCTGTTTTTCTTGAAGGACAGGCTCACTTCATTCATTTTTAACATGTCTGTCTTTCACCCAAGTCTGAATTACTATAGTTTGTCTGTTAGTTCTTTCAAGTAAAAATGGTATTCCATGAGAAAATTTCAAATCAGTTGCACAAGTGTTTTCCTCTAGATAACCACTGTATCTCAGTGTGCAGCAAGAGTGCTTAATACATCCTTCCCATTTTTCATCACACAGAACAGGAAAAAGACTCAACGGCCAAGATCCAAAATTTAATAGATAATTTTTACTGCTACTTCAAGGACATTCTTAAGTGAATATGGCTTTTTAAAAAATACCAAGTGCATAACAATAAAGAAGACTAGTACAACTTGGTGATATTGCCTTGTTTTGTGCTGAGGAGCCATCAATTTTGCCTTCCATTGCTTTTGCACCAGCAGTGCAAATGTCAACCCAGTCAAAAAGAAAAGGCCTCTGTCTTACCATTACTATGAAAGTAGCTTTGACATGTAGACTCCCACAGAGTCTGCAGACCACACTTTGAGAACCACTAGAGTAGATAAATTTGGCTGAATCATTTGGATACTAGATCTTGATTTTTTTAATGTATTTTTTCAGTTTTCTCATTTCTAATCTTTGTTTATGCCTTTTGCTTTACAGTTTTAAAGTATTGGATTCACCTATATACTAACCAGTTGATACTAGTACAATCTTTATGTATATTTATTTCATTTCCAGATTTGGGGATTTTTAATACAAAAGGTACTTGATAAATGCTATATTATTAATAAATAATGATGAGCTTTTTACATTATTAATCTAGACTTTCAATCTTGTATTTGCTCCCTAAAAATCTATTTCAGTTGCAACCGCCAACCCAGGAAAGTGCCTGTCGTGCACAAACTCAACATTCACTTTCACCACCTGTAGAATATTACATCCCTCTGACATCACTCAGGTTACCCCCAGGTAAGAGTGCCTGGGAAATCTGGGGCCTCACTTCTTTCCTCAGCTATATTTTCATGAATTTCTTTTTAAAATTACCTTCATTTTAATTTCCAGAATGTTAATTAATGTTCTGTGATAATGTGTCTTTAGAATATTTTCACATTGCATTTTCTCATTTGATTATTAAAAAAGTAGGCAGGGCAAGTGAGTATGTATTGTGTAGAGTAAACTGAGGCATGGAAGGTTGAGGTGACTGGTCCTAGGGCAGACAACTAATAAATAACGCAGCTGGGGCAATATACCCAGAGTTAGCCAAACTGCAAGATTTACAGGGCCAGTCCTCTGCACAAGCTCACCTTCACTTCTGACAACACCTGCAAGTGCAGAGGGTTCCCAAAACCACTTTCAGGTTCAGCAATTTGCTAGAAGATCTCACAGAACTCACAGCAAGTTGTTATACTTGTGGCTACTGTATTACAAGGAACGAATACAGGTTAAAATTATCCAAAGGAAGAAAGGCATAGGGCAGAGTCTTGGAGAATTCTACACGTGTCCTTAGGATTCATTACTCTCCTGGTATTGATATGTGGCAGTACACACAGAATATTACCAACCAGGGAAGTTCACCCAAGTATTAGTGTTTACAGTCTGTATTGAGGCTTCATTGTGTAGGTATGATTGATTGAACTCAGTTCAACAGAGTTGAACTCAGTCTTCTGGCCAACTGATACTGCATGACTCAAAGGCCCTACCCTAAATCACGTGGTTGGTCTTTTTGGCATGGCCATTCCTCACCCTAAGACTACTGGGTGTGGCCTGGCTCACCCTAAGATTTAGTGTGATCAGCCTCCACTCTAGCCAAAGACACTCCTATTAGTTGTGACATAGATTGCCTCCAAGGAGCAGAGGGCAAAGGCCAGACCTCTCTGGGCAAGGCCAAATTATTTACTACATAGGCTAGAACTTGAATATTCTAATATATAGTCCCTTATTAAGCCATATTGATGCCATTTCTATCCTAACAATTCCCAAAAGGATCTAAGGTAGCTTTTAAAGATATGTAGAACATGTAACAGTGTACAGTTACTGATGTGTTTGTTGCCTGTTCCTTTATATTTACCAAAGATAACTACTATAATTACTTTAAGTGCATTAAATAATAATGTTAACTAGAAGTAGAAAAGAAAGATGTTGCAAAGGGGAATCAAGAGTAAGGATATAAAATGGGTAAAAAAAATAAAGCTAGTGTGCAAATTGTACCATAAAGTCTTATGTTAGCCATGTTAGCTTGCTAAGGTTAGCCATGTATTTGAGTCTTAACTTTCTAGCTGCCAGTGTGGAGGGAAATAAGATTATGATCCACCATGTCTATAAAATAGAAACAAATGGATTATTTACGGAAGCATTTGGATGATATCCACTAAAGATCCCAATAAAGTCTGTAACAAAAAAAATCTGCATTTTTTTCTACATTGTTCTTATAGTCATCAAGATAACAAGTTTTACAAAATTGGTTCTTGAGGAGACTCTTAATACAGGTTGATGCCATTATATGAAGTGTACAGTTTGGGTAAGGACAGGCAGTTCTAGAGTCTAGTAGAAATAGGGAGATTTAGAGACTGGGAATACAATATATAGACTGTTCCATATCAGAGGCTTTTAGTTGGACTGGTTTGACCAGGGAGTCAAACTCATTTGAATTTTGCTGTTCCTATACAAGTTGGTGCTTTAGAAAGTTTGTTAATTTTAAGCTTACATTTTGTTCATAATCTTTAAAATTTTTGATATCTTGATATTTAATATATTGAGTATTTTATGTTGAAGTGAAAGTTGATCTATTAAATACTGGTAACATTTGTTTTGCAGGGAAATTGGCTAAAGAAGTACCATCTCTATTTCATCACTGTTTCCTCAAGTACATGATTCGTTAGTTTTTCTTTTCGACTAAGCATAGAATAAGAATTTTCTCATTTGATTATTATAAAAGTAGGCAAGGCAAGTATGTATTGTGTAAAGTAAACCGAGGCATGGAAGGTTGAGGTGACTGGTCCTAGGGCAGACAACTAATAACCCAGCTGGGGCTATATACCCGGAGTTAGCCAAACTGCAAGATTTACAGGGCCAGTCCTCTGCACAAGCTCACCTTCACTTCTGTATATTCAGTAGTATTACTGAATACTGAAGTAATACTGAAGAAGTATTACTGAATAGTTGTCGAAGCTATTAGTTATTTTTAATTTCCTAAAAACACATGTTTCAGGTCAAGGTTGAGAAAAAATTCATCCTATGGATATTTTTATACCATTATTGTTTGAAATTAACATTTCTTGAGAAAATGAAATTTAACAATTAGAAGTTTTTATTTCTCAATGAAATAAAATTAAAAGATTAAAAAGAAAGAAACTTCTCCCAGAAGAGTTTTCATGTTTAATTGTGAAAGATTGTATTTTTTTAAAAGTTGGTAAACTGTTTACCCATGGATTATTGTCTCAATGTATCTCACTTTATGGAATGGATATATGAATAAACATTCTAAATTACTTTCCTTAATCTTCAAATTTCTTTGCCTTCTATCATAAAATTTAACTGTATTTCTACAGATGTACATTTTAGAGTTAAAATTTAAGAGTAAAGTTATCTAAGAGTACAGCAATACCTTTCATATCCCACTGAAAAGAAATATCTTTTAATAAGTTAATTACTAAGTTATGAATTACAAATAATTAATCATTGAAGTATCATGTCAAAATTTTCATTCCCCAGATCTGTTCCACAGCATACAGTTACGGATGTGTTTGTTGCCTGTTACTTTATATTTACCAAGGATAACTACTATAATTTCTTTAAATGCCAGCTTGGAGCTTGCTTTTTATTCTTAAACACTGTCTCCCACTTTTTTTTTTTTTTTTTAAGCTCTGGGTTCCCTTCATTATCCTGTGGAAGTAGCGGTAGCAGTTCATCCAACACGGCTGTGAATTCTCCTGCCTTGTCCTATAGACTCAGCATTGGTGAGTCCATCACCAACCGACGAGATTCCACTACAACCTTCAGTAGCACCATGAGCTTGGCCAAACTTCTACAAGAGCGAGGCATCTCTGCCAAAGTGTACCACAGCCCAATTTCAGAGAACCCCCTCCAGCCTCTCCCTAAATCCCTGGCTATCCCTTCCACACCACCAAATTCACCATCTCACTCACCTTGCCCTTCTCCTTTACCCTTTGAGCCTCGAGTGCATCTCTCTGAAAATTTTTTGGCCTCTCGACCAGCTGAGACATTCCTCCAGGAGATGTATGGCTTGAGACCCTCCCGGAACCCTCCTGATGTTGGCCAGTTGAAGATGAACTTAGTGGACAGGCTGAAGAGACTGGGGATAGCCAGAGTGGTCAAGAACCCTGGTGCCCAAGAGAATGGAAGATGCCAGGAGGCAGAAATTGGTCCTCAAAAACCAGATTCTGCTGTTTATTTAAATTCAGGTAGCAGTTTATTAGGTGGACTAAGGAGGAATCAGAGTCTTCCAGTCATAATGGGTAGCTTTGCTGCCCCAGTTTGCACATCCTCACCCAAAATGGGTGTCCTGAAGGAGGACTGAGGTTCAGCAGTTAACTGACCTTTTATACAAGTTAGCACATGAAGGATAGATATGCACTGAAACATGTGGTCTGGTCTGACTTGAGAGAAAAGGAATGTTGCACAAGGGTTGTGAATGTGAAAGGGGGAATGGAGGAATGGAAATAAAATTGGGATGAGCCCTAATGGAGGAAGTCGGGCAAATTGAAAGTATAAATGAATGGGCCATGAGTGTTCAGAGGGAGAAAAGAAAGGTTTAATATACTCCTTCAGTTGAGTTTTCTTGTCTTGAACATAAAAAGTGAATACAAATAAATTCAGTAATACTAAAACATACAGAGATACTGAACTTGCTGGCACATTTACTTCTGGTAAGCATAAAGCAGAGAGAACCCAGGTTAGAAGGATGGGAAGAGAAAAGGAGCAGTTTTATTGCTTATAGAAAGCCGTTCTGAGGGGTTGGTGGGGTAAGCTCAGTCTATTACTGAGACAATAGTGAGATGGCTTATATGTTTCCCCTGTTAATATCTGGTTAAATTATGTATCCATCAAATGGTATGCTCGCAGCATTAGCAAAATTAGGAGTTTCATCTTTTTCATTGAATCACAGGTGGAGACTCCTATTTTCCTTTCTGTTTTCAGGCCTTTGAGCCCCTGGGAGCCCAAATACCACTCAATTATTTTGTATTTATGATTAATAAAAGTTCATTTTTTAAATTTGTATTTTTATACAACCTCCAAAAAAAAAAACAACTGGGTAGAGGGTGGGAGGGATTTACTTTTAAGAGGCAAAATGTGAGTAAATTGAAACCAAGAAAACTTGTTTTTAGAATATTTCGTCTGAATAAGTACAGTAGCCAAGGAATACAAACATAATTGCATGTTTTTAAAAATTCCTTGGAGGCTGGAAGGGGTTAAGCCAGAAGTGCAATCAATAGGAATTAGGGAATGTTGTATATTTATATATGTAAACTTTTTTTGTAAGAAAAGTTGGTGACAACTAAACCAACTTTTTCCAAAGTGCGCTATGCATATTTTTAATGAAAGATGACATGTATTTGCACAAAAATTCTCAGGCACATTAAATTATTGTAAACTGAAGTAAAACCCGGGTGCTTGCTTTGAGATTGTGGTTTTTTCTTCCTAATGTAAAATAAAATAAAACACATCTGCCTTCTTGATATTTATAGAATTAGAGAATAAACTTTTTAATGGGGGAGTCAAAGCTTTTTCTTTTTCTCTAAGGTTCTTTTTTTTTATTCAAACTGTATGAAATGGCAAAGTGAGGCTCTGGGGTTAGATTTCAGCATTCAGCAGTTGACACAGGCTAAGAAATGGAAAGAAGTAGATCTGTTTTTTCTCAATGTTGCTGAGCAAAGTCTGCTTCTCATCAGATGACGTGGCTTTGTCTAGACAGCACGCAGTTCAGAAAGAAATGTCTTTATACAAAAGACATGATAGAGAAAAGATGAGAGAGGGGACTAATTATTTTGTTTATGAAAATGGCAAGTAAATTACTTGATCTTTTTGGTGCTTAATTTGCAAATGTTTTGTTCCTTTGTCCTGACTTAAAGGCAGTTTTCTGAAGAACTCTTGACTCTTGCTCCTATGGTTCCCATAGGCACACCTATTCCCAGGCCAAGGAGAGTCCTTCCTCTCCCCTTTTGAGGCATCCCCGCCATCCCCCCACTTAGAGCTATGTGCTCAAAAAGCCAACATGAATGCAGTGGTAAAAATTTGTTAGTTTCTTATACTTTTTAGAATCTCTCAATAAAATTTTTCTAAATAAATTCCACAAAAACAAAGGGTGAAGATGGTCTCTCCCTTTCGTTCCCCTTCACTCAGTTGTGCTGAGGTCAATAGAGTGTAGAGTTTCAGAAAGGATTCCAGCAGGTTTATATGTGAATATAAGTGTCCCTGAATGGGGCAGGCATTAAATAGAAGAATCCCTGCTGTTTAAATTTCCCGCATATTCCAATTCACTTTTAAAAAATACCATTTGAATTTGTATTTCATAAAGTGACTCTGGGGTGCTTACTTTAGTCAATTCTTAAAATTTTTTATTTGTTCCCTAAGAAAGTAATTACTGTTTCTGTTGCCTGGACAGTTACAGTTTCCAGGAAACATCAGGAAGTAGGAAACTGTAGGGCCAGAGAGTAGTACAACGTTAAATTGTCCGATTTATGTGTATTACTTAAAGCTATAAATTGAACTAGATCTTGCCGTGCTCTGTATTGAGTATAATTTGTATACTTTTTTATAATTAATGACTAAATGATCACTTTGGAGGCAGGGTGGTGGGGGTGTATTAGCAGCCAAATAAGCACATCTGATCAAAAAGAACCAGGCTTAGATTTTTTTTAAGTACATTGATGTTGATGTTCCACCAGAAACACCTTAAGTGTATACTGTTGTGTAATGTCTCTAGAAAGGAATCCTGTCTTAAAACTGGGTTTTGCTGTTTTTTGAAGTTTCTACCTAAAATCATTTTTGGTATATCCTGATAATCTCTATAATACTAGAATTGTCTGCAAAATATAGTAAGAAGAATTGGAGCCTAATAGCTGATTCCTCCCAATTTATCTGTTATGTTTTGTCACTATTCACATTTTAGTCTTTTCTACGATAAAAATTGTATGTGTACTTTCATGCCAGTATAGGAAACCTCAATCTTTTTTTTTTTTCGCCTTTAAGAAGGTTTTCAGTGATTATACCTCAGGTATTTCTGAGTGTCCTATTGTCTAATAGGAGAAATATCTTCCCGAGCTCAGAATTAAAAGTTCTCCTAAATTATGAAGATCCCAAATCTTATGTAAATAACCTTAGGCATGAGTCCTTAGGGAGAAGTTAATGACCATTGTTAAAGTGCTTTTTTAGAAAATGTTGTGCTGTATGTTCTTGATTTGACATAAATGAATAGACTTTGGCAAGGGAGGAAATAAGTTAAAAGGCAGCTTACAAGAGCCTATTCCCTATAAAGGGTATAATTTTACACAGTACTCAAAGCTTGTTATCTTTTCTGACCATTTTAGTACAGAATTAGTACTTGGTGGTTACTAACATCAACTTGTGACATCTAGAACTAGGGCTCTTAGTGTTTAGTGGGCCACTTCTCTGATGTCAGATGCATGCAGACCTGTACTCCACATGCAACCCAACAGCAGTGCAGTGTGATAACTGAGCGGTCGCATGGCAGAGGACATCCCCCTCAGAGTGGGCACAAGTGCCCTCTAGGGCAGCCAGGGGAATACTATTGTTCGATACCTGGGATTTGACTTTGTCAAACAGCTCTTTGTGCCCCTATCTTTGTTTTGTCAAATGTAGATCAGTTAATAAACATGAGTAGCTTGAATTTTCATTTGTCTCCCTGTGTCTTTGTCACAGCTGTCTGCACAGGTAATCCTGTACTAAATCTTTTCTGTTATGTTTTTGGTTAGAAAACAACCTCTACTTGTCAAACCAACACATACACAAGAAACCACTAATAGTAATAATAAACAGATCTTAATGTATTTTCCTAGATATTTTTTAAAATAGCATAGACAGTATCTATGTATACCATAATACTTCCTTAGCAAAAGTAACAGCAACATAAAAATAAAATCTAAAGTCATTGATATGCAGATACCAAGTTTGAGAAGATTCGGGAAATATGAAGCAGTTCTTTTCCTGTAGTCCACAGTTTTCTGTTGATGCTCTTAGCTATTTAAAAGTTATTTCCAAGAAGCTAAATTTGAACATTGTTAGACTCTAACAGAAAAGGTCTTTTGATACTTTGTCTTCTTCACAATTTAATTTCTTTTTTTTTTATAATTTCCATTTTTATTTTAGATTCTGGGATATATGTGCAGGGTTGTTACCTGGATATGTTCCATGAGGCTGAGGCTTAGAGTATGATAGATCCTGTTACCCAGATACAGAGTATAGCATCCAATACATAGTTTTTCAACCCTTTCCCCCCTCCATCCCTGCTGTAATAGCCCCCAGTTTCTATTGTTGCCATCTTTATGTCCTTGAGTAGCCAGTGTTTACCTCCCACTTGTAAGTGAGAACATGCAGTATTTGGTTTTCTGTTTCTGTGTTAATTTGCTTAGGATAATGACCTCTACCTACATGCATGTTGCCATGAAGGACATGATTTCAGGGTTTTTTATGGCTGCATACTATTCCATGGTGTATATATACAACATTTTCCTTATCCAGTCCACCACTGATGGACACTTGGGTTGATTCCATGTCTTTGCTATTGTGAATAATGCTGCGATGAACATGAATGCATGTATCTTTTTGTAGAATGATTTATTTTCTTTTGGATGTATACCCAATAGTGGAATTACTGGGTTGAATGGTAGTTCTGATTTAATTTCTTTGAGAAATCTCCAAACTGCCTTCCAAAGTGGCTGAGCTAATTTACATTCCCACCAACGGTGTACGAGCATTCCCTTTTCTCCACAGCCTCGCTAGTATCTGTTTTTTTGTTTATTTGTTCATTATGAGACAGAGTCTTGCTCTGTCACCCAGGCTTGAGTGCAGTCGTGCAATCATGGCTCACTGCAACCTCAACCTCCTGTGCTCAATCGATCCTCCCACCTCAACTTCCCAAGTAGCTGGAAGTGCAGGTGTGTTCCATAAAGTCCAGTTAATTTTTGTATTTTTTGCAGAGATAGGGACTCACCATGCTGCCCAGGCTGGTCTCAAATTCCTGAACTCAAGCGATTCTCCTGCCTTGGCCTCTGAAAGTGCTGGGATTACAGACATGAGCCACTGCATCTGGCACATATTATTATTACTATTATTATACTTTAAGTTCTGCGGTACATGGCAAAACATGCAGGTTTGTTGCATAGGTATACACATGCCATGGTGGTTTGCTGCACCCATCAACCCGTCATCTACGTTAGGTATTTCTCCTAATGCTGTCCCTCCCCTAGGCACCCCCCACCCCCCAACAGGCCCTGGTGTGTGATGGTCCCCTCCCTGTGTCCATGTGTTCTCATTGATCAACTCCACTTATAAGTGAGAACATGCAGTGTTTGGTTTTCTGTTCTTGTGTTAGTTTGCTGAGAATGATGGTTTCTAGCTGCATCCATGTCCCTGCAAAGGAAACGAACTCATCCTTTTTATGGCTGCATAGTATTCCATGGTGTATATGTGCCACATTTTCTTTATCCAGTCTATCATTGATGGGCATTTGGGTTGGTTCCAAGTCTTTGCTATTGTGAACAGTGCTGCAATAAACATACGTGTGCATGTGTCTTTATAGTAGAATGATTTATAATCTTTTGGGTATATATCCAATAATGGGATTGCTGGGTCAAATGATATTTCTAGTTCTAGATTCTTGAGGAATTGCCACACTGTCTTCCACAGTGGTTGAACTAATTTATACTCCCACCAACAGTGTAAAAGCATTTCTATTTCTCCACATTCTCTCCAGCATCTGTTGTTTCCTGACTTTTTAATCATTGCCATTCTAACTGGAGTGAGATGGTATCTCATTGTGGTTTTGATTTCCATTTTCTCTAATGACCAGTGATGAGGTTTTTTTTTCATATGTTTGCTGGCTGCATAAATGCCTTCTTTTGAGAAGTGTCTGTTCATATCCTTTGCCCACTTTTTGATGGGGTTGTTTGTTTTTTTGTTGTAAATTTTTTTAAGTTCTTTGTAGAGTCTGGATATTAGCCCTTTGTCAGATGGATAGATTGCAAAAATTTTCTCTCATTCTCTAGGTTGCCTGTTCTCTCTGATGGTAGTTTCTTTGGCTGTGCAGAAGCTCTTTAGTTTAATTAGATCCCATTTGTCTATTTTGACTTTTGCTGCCATTGCTTTTGGTGTTTTAGTCATGAAGTCTTTGCCCATGCCTATGTTCTAAATGGTATTGCCTAGGTTTTCTTGTAGGGTTTTTATGGTTTTAGGGCTTATGTTTAAGTCTTTAATCCATCTTGAGTTAATTTTTGTATGAGGTGTAAGGAAGGGATACAGTTTCAGCTTTCTGCATATGGCTAGCCAGTTTCCCCAGCACCATTTTATTAAATAGGGAATCCTTTCCCCATTGCTTGTTTTTGTCAGGTTTGTCAAAGATCAGATGGCTGTAGATGTGTGGTGTTAATTCTGAGGGCTCTGTTCTGTTCCCTTGGTCTATATATCTGTTTTGGTACCAGTACCATGCTGTTTTCGTTACTGTAGTCTTGTAGTATAGTTTGAAGTCAGGTAGCGTGATGCCTCCAGCTTTGTTCTTTTTGCTTAGGATTGTCTTGGCTATGCAGGCTCTTTTTTGGTTCCGTATGAAATTTAAAGTAGTTTTTTCCAATTCTGTGAAGGAAGTCAGTGGTAGCTTGATGGGGATAGCATCAAATCTATAAATTACTTTGGGCAGTATGGCCATTTTCACGGTATTGATTCTTCCTATCCATGAGCATGGAACGTTTTTCCACTTGTTTGTGTCCTCTCATTTCCTTGAGCAGTGGTTTGCAGTTCTCCCTGAAGAGATCCTCACATCCCTTGTAAGTTGGATTCCTAGGTATTTTATTCTCTTTGTAGCAATTGTGAATGGGAGTTCACTCATGATTTGGCTCTCTGTTTGTCTGTTATTGGTGTATAGGAATGCTTGTATTTTTGCACATTAATTTTGTATCCTGAGACTTTGCTGAAGTTGCTTATCAGCTTAAAGGAGATTTGGGGCTGAGACGATGGGGTTTTCTAAATATACAATCATGTCACCTGCGAACAAAGACAGTTTGACTTCCTCTTTTCCTAATTGAATACCCTTTATTTCTTTCTCTTGCCTGATTGCCCTGGCCAGAACTTCCAATACTATGTTGAATAGGAGTGGTGGGAAAGGGCATCCTTGTCTTCTGCCAGTTTTCAAAGGGAATGCTTCTAGTTTTTGCCCATTCAGTGTGATATTGGCTGTGGGTTTGTCATAAATAGCTCTTATTATTTTGAGAAATGTTCCGTCAATACCTAGTTTATTGAGAGTTTTTAACATGAAGGGCTGTTGAATTTTGTTGAAGGCCTTTTCTGCATCCATTGAGATAATCATGTGGTTTTTGTCATTGGTTCTGTTTATGTGATGGATTACGTTTATTGATTTATGAATGTTGAACCAGCCTTGCATCCCAGGGATGAAGCCGCTTGATCATGGAGGATAAGCTTTTTGATATGGTGCTGGATTCTGTTTGCCAGTATTTTATTGAGGATTTTAGCGTCAATGTTCATCAGGGATATTGGCCTAAAATTTTCTTTTTTTGTTGTGTCTTAGCCAGGTTTTGGTATCAGGATGATGCTGGCCTCATAAAATGAGTTAGGGAGGATTCCCTCTATTGTTTGGAATAGTTTCAGAAGGAATGGTACCAGCTCCTCTTTGTACCTCTGGTAGATTTCGGCTGTGAATCCATCTGGTCCTGGGTGTTTTTTTGGTTGGTAGGCTATTAATTGCTGCCTCAATTTCAGAACCTCTTATCAGTCTATTCAGGGATTTGACTTCTTCCTGGTTTAGTCTTGGGAGGGTGTATGTGTCCAGGAATTTGTCCATTTCTTCTAGATTTTCTAATTTATTTTCATAGAGGTGTTTATAGTATTCTCTGATGGTAGTTTGTATTTCTGTGGGATCAGTGGTGATATCCCCTTTATCATTTTTTATTACATCTATTTGATTCTTCTCTCTTTTCTTCTTTATTAGTCTTGCTAGCAGTCTATTAATTTTGTTGATCTTTTCAAAAACCAGCTCCTGGATTCATTGATTTTTTGAAGGGTTTTTTGTGTCTCTGTCTCCTTCAGTTCTGCTCTGATCTTAGTAATTTCTTGTCTTATGATAGCTTTTGAATGTGTTTGCTCTTGCTTCTCTAGTTCTTTTAATTGTGATTTAGGGTGTTGATTTTAGATCTTTCCTGCTTTCTCTTGTGGGCATTTAGTGCTATAAATTTCCCTCTACGCACTACTTTAAATGTGTCCCAGAGATTGTGGTATGCTGTGTCTTTGTGTCACTGGTTTCAAAGAACATCTTTGTTTCTGTCTTAATTTTGTTATTTACCCAGTAGTCATTCAGGAGCAAGTTGTTCAGTTTCCATGTAGTTGTGCCGTTTTTAGTGAGTTTCTTATTCCTGAGTTCTAATTTGATTGCACTGTGGTCTGGGACACTGTTATAGTTTCCTTTCTTTTGCATTTGCTGAGGACTGTTTTACTTCCAATTATGTGGTCAATTTTAGAATAAGTGCGATGTGGTGCTGAGAAGAATATATATTCTGTTGCTTTGGGGTGGAGAGTTCTGTAGATGTCTATTAGGTCTGCTTGGTGCAGAGCTGAGTTCAAGTCCTGGATATCCTTGTTAATTTTCTGTTTCATTGATCTGTCTAATATTGACAGTGGTGTGTTAAAGGCTCCCACTATTATTCTGTGGGAGTCTAAGTCTTTTTGTAGGTCTCTAAGACTTGCTTTATGAAGCTGGCTGCTCCTTTATTGGATGCATATATATTTAGGATAGTTAGCTCTTCTTGTTGCATTGATCCTTTTACCATTATGTAATTCCCTTCTTTGTCTCTTTTGATCTTTGTTGATTTAAAGTCTGTTTTATCAAAGACTAGGATTGCAACCCCTGCTTTTTTTTTTGCTTTCCATTTGCTTGGTAAATATTCCTCTATCCCTTTATTTTGAGCCTATGTGTGTCTTTGCATGTGAGATGGGTCTCCTGAATACAGCACACCGATGGGTCTTGACTCTTTATGCAATTTGCCAGTCTGTGTCTTTTAATTTGGGCATTCAGCCCATTTACATTTAAGGTTAATATTGTTATGTGTCAATTTGATCCTGCTATTATGATGCTAGCTGGTTATTTTGCCTATTAGTTGATGCAGTTTCTTCATAGTGACGATGGCCTTTACAGTTTGGTATGTTTTTGCAGAGGCTGGTAGTGGTTTTTCCTTTCCATGTTTAGTATTTCCTTCAGGAGCTCTTGTAAGGCAGGCTTGGTGGTGACAAAATCTCTCAGCATTTGCTTGTCTGTAAAGGATTTTATTTCTCCTTCGCTAATGAAGCTTAGTTTGGCTGAATATGAATTTCTGGGTTGAAAATACTTTTCGTTAAGAATGTTGAATATTGGCCCCCCCTCTCTTCTGTCTTGTAGGGTTTCTGCTGAGAGATCCACTGTTAGTCTGATGAGCTTCCCTTTGTGGGTAACCCAAACTTTCTCTCTGGCTGCCCTTAACATTTTTTCCTTCATTTCAACTTTGGTGAATCTGACGATTATGTATCTTGGGGTTGCTCTTCTCGAGGAGTATCTTTGTGGTGTTCTCTGTATTTCCTGAATTTGAATGTTGGCCTGCCTTGCTAGGTTGGGGAAGTTCTCCTGGATAATATGCTGAAGAGTGTTTCCAACTTGGTTCCATTCTCCCTGTCACTTTCAGGTACACCAATCAAATGTAGATTTGGTCTTTTCACATAGTCCCATATTTCTCGGAGGCTTTGTTCGTTTCTTTTCCCTCTTTTTCTCTAATCTTGTCTTCTCACTTTATTTCATTGAGTTGATCTTCAATCTCTGATATCCTTTCTTCTGCTTGATCGATTCAGCTATTGATACCTGTGTATGCTTCTCGAAGTTCTTGTGCTGTGTTTTTCACCTCCATCAGGTCATTTATGTTCTTCTCTGAACTGGTTATTCTAATTAGCAATTCATCTAACCTTTTTTCAAGGTTCTTAGCTTCCTTGCATTGGGTTAGAACATGCTCCTTTAGCTCGGAGGAGTTTGTTATTACCCACCTTCTGAAGCCTACTTCTGTCAATTCATCAAACTCACTCTCCGTCCAGTTTTGTTCCCTTGCTGGCAAGAAGTTGTGATCCTTTGTAGGAGAATAGGCATTCTGGTTTTTGGAGTTTTCAGCCTTTTTGCACTGGTTTCTCCCCATCTTCGTGGATTTATCTACCTTTGATCTTTGAAGTCGGTGATCTTCGGAGGACGTCTCTGAGAGGACATCCTTTTTGTTGATGTTGATATTATTCCTTTCTGTTTGTTAGTTTTCCTTATAACAGTCAGTCAGACCCCTCTGTTTCAGGTCTACTGGAGTTTGTTGGAGGTCCACTCCAGACCCTGTTTGCCTGGGTATCACCAGCAGAGGCTGCATAACAGCAAAGATTGCTGCCTGTTCCTTCCTCTGGAAGCTTTGTCCAAAAGGGGCACCTGCCAGGTGCCAGCCAGAGCTCTCCTGTGTGAGGTGATAGATGCATGGTCGGCCCCTACTGGGAGGTGTCTCCCAGTCAGGATACACGGGGGTCAGGGACCCACTTGAGGAGGCAGTCTGTCCCGTATCAGAGTTGGAACGCTGTACTGGAAGATCCGCTGCTCTCTTCAGAGCTGCCAGGCAGGGACATTTATGTCTGCTGAAGCTGCGCCCCTAACCGACCTTCCCCCAGGTGCTCTGTCCCAGGAAGGTGGGGATTTTATCTGCAAGTCCCTGACGGGCTGCTGCCTTTTTTTCAGAGATGCGCTGCCCAGAGAGGAGGGATTCTAGAGAGGCGGTCTGGCTGCAGCGGCCTTGCTGAGCTGTGGTGGGCTCCACCCAGTTCAAACTTCCCAGCAGCTTTGTTTACACTGTGAGGGTAAAACCGCCTACCAAAGCCTCAGCAATGGCGGATACCCCTCCCCTGCACCAAGCTCGACCATCCCAGGTCGATCTCAGACTGCTGTGCTGGCAGCAAGAATTTCAAGCCTGTAGATCTCAGCTTGCAGGGCTCTTTGGGGGTGGGACCCGCCAAGCCAGACCACTTGGCTCCCTGGCTTCAGCCCGCTTTCCAGAGGAGTGAGCTGTTCTATCTCACTGGTGTTCCAGGTGCCACTGGGGTATTGAAAAACAAAACAAAACAAAACAAAACTCCTGCAGCTAGCTTGATGTCTGCCCAAATGGCCACCCAGTTTTGTGCTGGAAACCCAGGGCCCTGGTGGCATAGGCACCAGAGGGAATCTCCTGATCTGTGGGCTGTGAAGAGCGTGGGAAAAGCACGGTATCTGGGCTGGAGTGCACGGTACAGTCCCTAATGGCTTCCCTTGGCTAGGAGAGGGAGTTCCCAACCCCTTGGGCTTCCCGGGTAAGGCAACGCCCTACCCTGCTTCAGCTCACCCTCGTTGGCCTGCGCCCACTGTTCAACCAGTCCCAATGAGATGAACCAGGTACCTCAGTTGGAAATGCGGAAATCACCCACCTTCTGCATTGATCTCACTGGGAGCTGTAGACTGGAGCTGTTCCTATTCAGCCATCTTGCCCAGGGCTTCCACATATCTTATTTTTTGACTTTTTAATGATAGCCATTCTGACTGGTGTGAGATGTTATATTCACAGTGGTTTTGATTTTCATTTCTCTTACGATTAGTGATGTTGAGCATTTTTTCATGTTTGTTGTCCACTTGTATGTTTTCTTTTGAGAAGTGTTTGTTCATGTGTTTTGACCATTTTTAAATGGGTTTATTAAGTTTTTGCCCATTCAGTTGTTTAAGTTCCTTATAGATCCTGGATATTAGACCTTTGTCAGATGCATAGTTTGCAAATAATTTTCTCACATTATATAGGTTGTCTGTTTACTATCGAGGGCTTAGTCATAAATTCTTTCCCAAGGCCCATGTCCAAAATAATGTTTCCTAGGTTTCTTCTAGGATTCTTACAGTTTGAGGTCTTATATTTAAATCATTAATCCATCTTTGATTTTTATATATGGTGAAAGGTAAGGGTCCAGTTTCATTCTTCTGCATATGGCTGGCCAGCTGTCCCAACACCATTTATTGAATAGGGAGTCCTTTTCCCACTGCTTATTTTTGTTGACTTTGTCAAAGATCAAATGGCTGTAGGTGTGTGGCTTTATTTCTGGATTCGGTATTCTGTTTCACTGATCTATGTTTTTGTACCAATACAATGCCATTTTGGTTACTGTAGCTTTGTAGTGTAGTTTGAAGTCAGGTAATGAGATGCCTCCAGCTTTTCTCTTTTTGCTTAGGATTGCTTTGGCTATTTAGGCTCCTTTTTGATTCCATATGAATTTTAGAATGCTTTTTTTCTAGTTCTGTGAAAAATGATATTGGTAGTTTGATAAGAATAGTTTTCACTCTGTACATTGTTTGGGGCAGTATGGCCATTGTAATGATATTGAGTATTCCTATCCATTATCATAAAATATTTTTCCATTTGTGTCATCTGTGATTTATTTCAGCAGTGTTTTACAGTTCTTCTTGTAGCTGTCTTTCACCTCCCTGATTAGATGTATTCCTAGGTATTGTGTGTATGTTTGTGTGGCTGTTGTAAGTGGAATTGTGTTCTTGATTCTGCTCTCAGCTTGAATGTTATTGCTGTATAGAAATGCTACTGATTTTTGTATCCTGAAACTTACTGAAGTCGTTTATCAGTTCCAGGAGCCTTTTGGCAGAGTCTACGGTTTTCTAGGTATACAGTCATCATCAGCAAAGAGAAATGGTTTAGCTTAGTTTCCTATTTGGATGCCTTTTGTTTCTTTCTCTTGCCTGATTGCTCTGGCAAAATCTTCCAGTACAGTTTTGAATAGGAGTGGTAAAAATGGGCATCTTTGTCTTGTTGCTGTTCGCAATGGAAATGCTTCCTATATTTGCCTGTTCACTATGATGTTGATTGTGGATTTGTCATAGATGGCTCTCATTATTTTGAGATAATTTCCTGTGATGCCTAGTATCTTGAGACATTTTATCAGGAAGGGATGTTGGATTTTATCAAAAGCCTTTTCTGCATCTACTGAGATGATCATATGATTTTTTTTTTTTTTTTTTTTTTTTTGAGACAGAGTCTCACACTATCACCCAGGCTGGAGTGCAGTGGTGCAATCTCGGTTCACTGCAACCTCCACCTCTAGAGTTCAAACGATTTTCCTGCCTCAGCCTCCTGAGTAGCTGTGGTTACAGGTGTGTGCCACCATGCCCAGCTAATTTTTGTAATTTTAGTAGAGACAGGTTTTCACATGTTGCCCAAGCTGGTTTCAAACTCCTGACCTCAGGTGATCCACCTGCCTCAGCTTCCCAAAGTGCTGGGATTACAGGCATGAGCCACCCTACCCGGCCTGATTTTTGTTTTTAATTCAATTCTTTTTATATGGTGAATCACATTTGTTGATTTGCATATGTTTAACCAACCTTGCATTCCAAGAATGAAGCCTACTTGATTATGGTGAATTAGTTTTTTGATGTGCTGTTGGATTCAGTTTATTAGTATTTTGTTCAGGATTTTTGTGTCTATGTTCATAGGGATTACTGGCCTTTAGTTTTCTTTTTTCATTGTGTCTTTGCCCAGTTTTGGGATTAGAATGATACCAAAACTGGCTTCATACAATGAGTTAGGGAGAAGTCCTTCCTTAGTTTTTTTTAATAGTTTCAGTAGAGTTGGTATCAACTCTTCTTTGTATATCTGGTAGAATTTGGCTGTGAATTCTTCTGGTCTGGGCCTTTTTTTGGTGGTTAAATTTTTTATTACTGATTCAATTTTGGAACTTAATGTTAGTCTATTCAGGCTTTCGATTTCTTCTTGATTTAATCTTGGGAAGTTGTGTGTTTCCGGGAATTTATCCATTTCCTCTAGGTTTCTAGTTTTTGTGCATAGAGGTGTTCATAATAATCTCTGAGGATCTTTTGTATTTCTCTCAGTTATAATGTCACCTCTGTCCTTTCTGACTAGGCTTACTTGGATCTTCTTTTCTTTGTTAATTTAGCTAGCAGTCTATCAGTCTTGTTTATTTTTTTCAAAGAACCAACTTTTGGTTTCATTGATTCTTTGTATGGATTTTGGGGTCTCAATTTCATTCAGTGCTGCTCTGACTTATTTCTTTTCTTTGCTGGCTTTGGGATTAGTTTGTTCTTTTCCTGTTTCCTCTATGTGTGATGTTAGATCATTAATTTAAGATCTTTCTAACTTTTTGAGGTAGGTGTTTACTGCTATAAACTTTCCTCTTAAATATTGCTTTTGCTGTATCCCAGAGATTTTGATATATTGTTTCTGTTTTCATTAATTTCAAAGAATTTTTTTATTTCTACCTTAATTCCATTGTTTACCCAAAAGTGATTCAGGAGCAAGTTGTTTATTTTCCATGTACTTATGTGGTTTTGAACAGTCTTCTTGATACTGATTTCTATTTTTATTCCACTGTGGTCTGAGAGTATGGTTGTTATGATTTTGATTTTTTTTTTAAATTTCTTAAAACTTACTTTATGACCAAGCATGTGGTCAATCTTGGAGTCTGTTCTGTGTGCAGATGAGAGGAATGTATATTCTGTGGTTGATGGGTGGAATATTCAGTAGATGTCTATTAGGCCCAATTGGTCAAGTGTTGAAGTTAAGTCTAGAATTTCTTTGTTGTTTTCTGCCTCAGTGATCTCTCTAATGCTGTCAATGTGGTGTTGAAGTCCCCCACTACTATTGTGTGGCTAAGTCTTTTTGTAGGTCTAGAAGTACCTGTTTTATGAATCTGGTTGCTCTATTGTTGGCTGTATATATATTTAGGGTAGTTAAGTCTTCTTGTTGAATTAACTCTTTATCGTTTGTCCTTTTCTTTACTGTTGTTGGTTAAAAGTGTGTTTTATCTGATATATGAATAGCAACCCCTACCCATTTTTTGTTTTCTGTTTGCATGGTAAATCTTTTTCCAACCCTTTACTTTGAGCCTATGGATGTTATTAATGTGTGACAATGGTCAGTCGAAGGTAGCAAATGGATGGCTTTTGTTTTTTTATCCAACTTGCCACCCTGTGCCTTTTAAGTGAGGTGTTTAAACCATTTACATTCAAGGTTAATATTGATATGCAAGGTTTTGATTCTATCATGAGATTGTTAGCTGGTTGTTTTGCAATTTCTGTGGTGTGGTTGCTTTATAGGATCTGTGGGCTATGTTCTTAAAAGTGTGTTTCTGTGATAGCACATATCATTCTATCGTCTCCGTGTTTTGAACTCCTTTAAGAATCTTTTGTACAGCTGATCTGGTGGTAACATATTCCCTTAGCTCTTGCTTATCTAGAAAATATTTTCTTTCTCCTTTGCTTATGAAGCTTAATTTGGAGGGATATGACATTCTTGGCTGGAATTTCTTGTCTTTAAAAATGCCGAAAAAAGACTTCCAATCTCCCCTGGCACGTAAGGTTTCTGCTGAGAAGTCCATTGTTAGCCTGATGCATTATCTTTGTACACAATCCGACCTTTTTCTCTAGCTGCCTTTAAAATGTTTTCTCCTGGGCGCGGTGGCTCACACCTGTAATCCCAGCACTTTGGGAGGCCAAGGTCAGCAGATCACTTGAGGTCAGGAGTTCAAGACCAACCTGACCAACATGGCAAAACCCGGTCTCTACTAAAAATATAAAAATTAGCTGGCCGTGGTGGTATGCACCTGTAGTCGCAGCTACTCAGGAAGCTGAGGCTAAAGAATCGTTTGAGCCCAGGAGGAGGAGGCTGCAGTGAGCCAAGATAATGCCACTGCACTCCAGCCTGAGTGACAGAGTGAGACTCCATCTTGAAAAATATATATATATATATTTTCTTTAGCATTGACCTTGGACAGTCTGGTGGCTATATACCTTGGTGATGCTCATGTTGTATGGTATCTTGCAGGTGTTCTCTGGATTTCTTGTATCTGGATGTCTACCTCTAGCAAGATTAAGGAAACTTTTTTGAATTATTCCCTCAAATATGTTTTCCAGGTTGTTCACTTTTTTCCTTCTCAGGAATGCCAGTAATTCACAGGTTTGGTTGTTTTACATAATCCCATATTTCTCAAAGCCTTTGTTCACCTTTAAAAATTATTTTTTCCTTATTTTTGTGTAACTGAGTTAGCTCAAAAGATCAGTCTTCAAGCTCTGAAATTCTTTCTTCTGCTAGGTCCAGACTATTGATAAAGCTTTCAATTGTATTTTGAAATTCCCTGAGTGAGTTTTTCAACTTCAGAAGCTCTGATTGATTTCTTTATAAGATGTTTATCTCTTGCTTCATTTCCTGGATTGCTTTAGAAGTTTTGTGTTGTTGATTTTTAACCTTGACTTGGATCTCATTGATCTTCCTTGTAATCCATGCTTTGAATTATTTATCCGTTCTTTCTGAGTTTCTATTTTGGCTATAGACCATTGCTGGAGAGCAAGTTTGATCCTTTGGTGGTGTCACTATATTGAGATTTTTCATGGTGCCAGAATTCTCGCACTGATTCCTTCTCATCTGGAGATGCTGGCATTTTAATTTTATAGTATTTTCATATAGGTTAGGATTATTTATTTTTCCTTCTGTCCCTATAATATTATTGGGGTTTTTTTTCTTTCCCTTTCCCTTTTCCCCCCTCTCTAGGGAGTGTGACTATAAAGAATGCTGGGTAGGGTCTTTTGGCTTTGCTTCTATAACCCTATTCACTTCTGTCAGCAGGTTTTATACTGGGCTGTGCAGTTCAACCTACAAACCAGTAGATGGTGCTAATAGGTAAGAGCCTGCTATGGCCAATGTGACTGAGTATATACTTGATCCTTGTTTATGGGGAAAAGCTCTGTTACCTCAGGCAATGAGCTGATTCATGGGGTGCATAGTGGTCTGAGCTCCCTGCTCAGACACAGGGAGGGAGGGGCCAAAATGAGCAGAGCTGGACTAGGCAGGTCCAACTACAGGTCCCCTGATGGCAGGTACAAGTACCAGCACTGAGGGAGAATGCAGTGGGTAGCCACTACCAAGCACCCAGAGATGCTTGGGAAATTTCCTCGACCCCAAGTTCCCTGCAAAGGGATGGGGGCGGCTTAAACTAATCCAGTAGAGTGACTGCTCCAGATGCCTGGAGCTCTATCTAGGCATGGAGCCCCACTGCACCAGGATCTATGCACAGGAAGGGTGAGGTGCTCAGGCTGCTGTTCCAGGCAAGTGAGTGCTCTAAATGCCTAGAGATCTGCCTGAGCATGGAGGAGAGAGGGCCCCCCATACCAAGACCTCTGCGTAGGAGGGTTTGGGTGACTCAGACTGCTGATCGAGGAAAATGGGTGCTCCGAATGCCTGATGATCTGCCTGGTCATGGAGCAGAGAGGGCCTTGCTGCACCATGATCTATGTCTTGGAATGGGGAGGGGCAGCGGCTCAGGCTGCTGAACCAGATGAGCAAGTGCACCTAATGCCTAGAGATCTGCCGGGGTGCAAAATGGAGAGGGCTTTCCCACACCCAGATCTCTGCACAGGAAAGGTAGGGCACTCAGGCTGCTAGTCCATGTGAGCAGGTGCTCCAAATGCCTGGAGATCTGCCTAGAGTTGGAGTGGAGAGGGCACCCTTGCACCACAATCTATACACAGGAAAGGTAGGACAACTCAGGCTGCTGATCCAAGGAAGGGGGTGCTCCAGATACCTGGAGATCTGCCTGGGTGTGGAGCAGAGAGAGCCACGCTGTACCACAATCTATGTCCATGAAGGGTGAGGCAGCTCAGGCTGCTGGTCCAGACAAGCAAGTGCTCCAAATGCCTGGATTTCTGCCTGAGGGTGGAGCAGAGGGCTCTGCTGCACCACAATCTCAGGGGAGCAGGCTGGGTCACCCTGCAATGACATATGCAGACTAGTTCCAGGTTACCAAGCTAGCCCTGGCTGCAAGTCTCATCACACAGGAGAAACTGCAGCTGTAGCAGCTCTCCTCCCACCTCAGGCCTGCAAAGCGGGAGAGCACAATCCCTGCACCTACTACTGAGGCTCTTTGCACAGTTCTGGCTATGGAGACTCCTACCCTAAGCCAGAGCAGGTGCTCCAATTGCTGACCCAAGACTAAAATGCCTGTGTGGCCACACTGCTAGGTCACCAAAGAATGCCTGGATTAAAAATGGCACCCTGCTTTCAGTCCTGAGTCTGGGAAAATGTTTGCAGCTTTTCTCTATGTCTTTTCCTCACAGTGTTTCCAAGCCGCTTCCCCAAGTTAGCTCCAGAGCTTGCGAGAAACAAAGTGCTCTCCCTCAGCCTGGGTTGCCTGGATCCCAAGTGGAAAGGTGAGTCATAGAGGGAGGCTGTCTGCCTCTCCCATGTACTAGGGCTTCACTCATTTTTATCAGCTGCATGCCATCACTGGGGCTGTTTGTCCACATTCTCCTCCCTGGCATCTGGGGTGTCCTTCACAATTCTAGTGGATTCCCATTTTCCTTTTTGGATAAAAACCCACAGAGATGATCTTTACACACTATCTTGCTATTTCCAAGGAGCCAAGGCACACTGAAAGACTCTAATCTGCCATCTTGGAAAAAAAAAAGAAACTGTTTTTTTAAAAAAACTCAGTATCCATTTAGAATTATGACCATCTTGTGAGAAATGAAGCTTGAGACTCTACTTTGATATCAAATTTAGTGCTATTCTCATCATCTTTAATTGTGTTTTCTTTCACAAATGACTACTAGTGGATGTGTTTAAGTCCAAAAAACCTTCTGATGAGGTTTAAGATTTGGGGCTTTAAGCATCCTGTTGACTTCTATTGTTAGTTTCACTATATTAAATTTGAGTTAGGCTAATAGTAAGTTTTATTTTTCTGTTTTTCATTAGTTTTTATGAGTTAAGGGCCAAAATACCACAAAATTTTCAAATGAGCAAATGTTACTGTGCAAATTCAGAAAAGATGCTGAAATACAACTGTTGGCTGGCAGGTCATGGTGCCAGCAATAGCATGAAGTGTTTTGTTCTTTAGTTTAAGAAGTTATGAAGAAAGCACCCCGAAGGTGTTATGAGATGATGAAAAATACAGAAAACCCAAATATATAAAAATCAAAGTATTGTTTCACAAAATTTGATCGTCTTGCCTTCTCAGAAAAATCACTAAGTTGTTCAAAAGCAAGATTTTCACATCACATTCAAACATTATGATAGGCCAGAAAATGCTATGGAGTATTTTAATTTCATATAATTCACTACCACTTCTATGGCTGTTTTTACCATCTCTCAAACAATCTTTAGATCTATCCAGTAATATGAAGAGTTGGTACCAGGCTTCATGTTCCATCTAGATCTACATATATATAAATGTAAGGGTACTCAGGATGCATATTGCACAATGTTCTTCAGCCACCATATGTAGCTCTTGCAAATACCATTCCTGTATGCGAATACCTGTGGAATTGCAAATTAAGGCATTAAAAGAAGCAAAAAATGGGTGCTCAGCACCACTGGAAAATATATTTCATTATGCACAAATCTTGCATTCATGCTATCTGAGAGGTTTTGACAGGTTACCTTTCCTCTTACCTTACTGCTGCTGCCCCAGTCTTTCCTGCACTCCAAAGCAGTGTCTGTGTCTGATCTCAGCAGCAGCATCACCCACAAACCTTTACAGTATTTGGGCACAGTCATCTTTTGTTTTGAAGGTAAAGGGTAAAAGATGTGGTGAAGCATTCCCTGAGACCTGAATGTGGTTAATGATGAGAGTGAATCTTTAGGGTTATGGTTCCTGCTGTTTCAGAGCTGAGCTCCAGATCAAGGGCCCGTGTGTTTTTGTTTTTGTTTTTGTTTTCTTCCTCTTCTGAGATGGAGTCTTGCTCTATCATCCAGGCTTGAATGCAGTGGCACGATCTTGGCTCACTGCAACCTCCGCCTCCTGGGTTTGTACAATTCTTCCACCTCAACCTCCCGAGTAGCTGGGACTACAAGCATGCACCACCACACCCAGCTAATTTTTTTATTTTTAGTAGAGACGGGGTTTCACCATGTTGACCAGGCTGTTCTTAAACTCCTGACCTCAGTTGATCCACCCACCTTGGCCTCTCAAAGTGCTGGAATTACAGGCATGAGCCACTGCACCCAGCCCGGGCCCACGTATTCTTGAACAAATGTAGGTTTCTGTGTGTGCCTGTCCTATGCAGAGCCCTCTAAAGCCCAGGGCTCAGAACAGTGGCCCCTCTTTCTAGGTGCAAGGGTAGCACTACAGGCTTTCACGGGATTCCTGTGGCTACCTGGTCGGGTCTATTCAGGATGATCCATGGGAGTTAGCATAGCACCACTCTAAAGTCAGATGTTGAAAGCCAAAGATCAAAGAGAGTTGAGCAAGTGAGCAAGTTGGAGATAATTACAAGCTTCTTAAGAGAACACTGTCTTTTCCACACTGGGAGTGTTCTCATAGAGCCACAAATAGCGCTCCACAGATGGAAAGCCTCCGAATGCTCCCAGCTGACCATGTTTGCCACTTCGTGAATGCTGCAGCATCACACAAGAGGATATCTATTTCCCCAAGCCCTGTGCAGACCAATTTTGATAATATTGCTGTCAGAATTAAGTTGCAGTTTCTCTCATTCATTTTTCAACTTATACTTTGTTTTACTATTGGTGGCCTCCTCCACCTCTGTTCCAAATAGTAAGACACTTTGCTTTAGGCGAAGTTACTGAGAATGCCAGCACTTCCCCAATTTCATCCAAGAGAAGAGCACTTAACACTTAGCCCCTAAACACCTTCATTTCCTTCTCCTCAGCTGTTTTGGAACTGGCGAAGCTTTACTCATGTCCAAAAAGATGAAAGGAGAATGGGGATACCCAAGTAGTAGTAATTAGTGCTGAGCCTTTGCCAAGTCGAGTGGCTGGGGTATTCCTTCAGCACTTACTTCCTCTGTATCTCTGTTTTTAGCCATGCTTCACTCAAGACCCAAATCCTGCTGCTTTTTTTTTTTAATCATAAGAAAGGATTTAAATATAAAATTTTACACATTAAACACACTCAAAGTAAATATTCAATCTCTGGATGGAGACAGATTGTCTAGATGACTAATAGAGTCTATCAATTCTTCTCTAAGTTATTTCCCTCCTTTTAATCTTTGAAAGTCTCTCTTCATCTAGCCTGTTCATGGTGCTCAGAGTTGAAGCAGCCATAGTGCAACCAAGACGCTTCCCTCCATCAACACACCGAGGCTGGCATAACAGAGAGATGGAAAGAGCCCAGTTCTCCAAGGACATTGCTGAATCTTTGCACCAACTCTGATAGCACTGCCTCCAGACTCTATTTCATGAGGTTAATAAACCTCTTTGATGTAAGCCACTTGCAATCAAGCAACAGGTCTATGCATTTTAACTACACATGGCCCACACTGAGAAATCTTGTCGTAAATACTGGTGTCCTCAGAGCTCTGTTCTAGACCCTCTTCTCTCCTTACACAATACTCTCTCTATATGTGATCTCACTCGCTCCCTTGGCTTGGAATAGTATCCACTCTGAAGACTCCTAAATCTGCTTCTAGGCCAGAATCTTCCTCTGAACTTCTAAAATATGTAAGAAACTCTAACAGACGTCACCACTTGTCTATTAGTCTCCCTGCACCTCAACATATCCAAAACTGAACTAATAATCTGCTCCCTAGAACCTGTTTATCCCTCCACACTTTCCTATCTCAATAAATGGCACCACGGTCAACTCAATTGCTCGAGCTGGAAAGCCAGGAATCATCACCTTCTCCTTTTCGCTCATCCCAGCATCCAGTCAATCACCAAGTTCTATCATGTCTTCTCTCCATCCCCACTGCTGCTCCTCAGTCAGGGCCATCGTCAGGTCCCATGACGACCACTGCCACAGACTTTTACCTGGTTTTCCTGGCCCTTCCAATTGCTTCCCTATATTGCAGTCAGAATGATCTTTCTGATATGTAGATCTAGTCAGATCTCTTCTCTGTTTAACACTGCTGCCTGACTCACTGGACTAGAAGAGTAACTCCTGCTATGAACTCCCACTGCTTCTGGCAAGTCTCAATATGAGTCATTGTGGCTGCATGGTGACTTACACCTGTAATCCCAGCACTTTGGGAGGCCGAAGCAGGAGGATCACTTGAATTCAGGAGTACAAGACCAGCCTGGACAACATAGCAAGGCCTCATGTATACTAAAAGTCAAAAAAATTAGCTGGGCGGCCGGGCGCAGTGGCTCACGCCTGTAATCCCAGCACTTTGGGAGGCCGAGGCGGGCGGATCACGAGGTCAGGAGATCGAGACCATCCCGGCTAAAACGGTGAAACCCCGTCTCTACTAAAAATACAAAAAAATTAGCCGGGCGTAGTGGCGGGCGCCTGTAGTCCCAGCTACTTGGGAGGCTGAGGCAGGAGAATGGCGTGAACCCGGGAGGCGGAGCTTGCAGTGAGCCGAGATCCCGCCACTGCACTCCAGCCTGGGTGACAGAGCGAGACTCCGTCTCAAAAAAAAAAAAAAAAAAAAAAATTAGCTGGGCATGGTGCTGTGCACCTGTGTAGTCCCATCTACTTGGGAGTCTGAGGCAGAAGGATCGCTTGAGTCCAGGAGGTCAAGGCTGCAGTGAGCTATGCATGCAGCCTGCACTGCCACTGCCACTGCACCGCAGCCTGGGTAACAGAGTGAGCTACTGTCTCAAAGGAAAAAAAAATTAATTATGCTTTTATTGAGCTTTTTTATTGTCTGTTTTCTCATTGGTCTCTAAGTTGTATTGAGTATAAGAACTGAGGTATATCCCCACACCTAGCAATAGTGCCTGGCACACAGTAGACAACAAATGTGAAGTTGAGTGAATAGATGAATTTATAACAATATTTTGTAAGCTAGGGGTTGTGACCCACCAGGATCATGAAATCAATCTAGTGGATTATAATCAGCTTTAATTTAAAGAAGAAAAAGAAATAGAAGAGAATAGCAAATAATAAGAGTATTATTTCATGAAATTTTTTTATTACAAAATTTGTAAAATGTATTTCTTATAATGAGTGGCAGTAAAACTAAAATGAAAGCCACTGGGTTGTAATAAGCAAGTACTTTTTTCTATAGTAAGAAAAAGCAGCTTTATTTAAAAAAAAAAATCGGAAAACCTTGTGACTGCAAAAGATTCCTGCCTTGGGGGATTTTTACTTTCACAGATTTCAAAGCCTTAAACTCGAGGGAAAAAAGTGTCTAGAGTTTTAGGTTTCTGTGAGTAGATCACAGAGGAATTAAAAATCCATCACAGATCCTGCCTGGTAACTATTGCCATAGACCAATGAAGCCTAAAAGTGCTGTTGAATTCTATTTCCTCTGAAGATATATCTTAAACTTTTTTGTCCCATGACTGATGACGAAAGTGGAAATCCAGTGTTAAAAGTATGAATTCTTTGCTGTTGAGGGTGGTCACTGATTTGTGTCTTGGAGAATTTAATTGGCTGTTTCTCCCAACCTTCTCTCTTGAAGAAAAGAGCCCTGAGCCAATGAGGAGCTACTGTTCTGTGTCCATAGCAACAAAATAAACAAACTTTGGCCTGCCATCTCCCAAGGGCAAACCTCACAACTCAGGCCCAAGTCACAGGAATCTGAATGGTGGGGTGACCTTCTCCTCTAGTTTAATTTCATTGCAATACTGAGAAACTTCAACTGTTTTGTCTTTAGAAGGGAAATTCATGTTTGTGCCAGGCCAGCCTTTGTAAAAGCCTTTGATTGGATTCACTAGAAGTCTGTCTTCCCGCAGTACATATACTGTGAATTTTCTCCTTCGGCATTTCAACCACTTGGAATGGCCACTAAAGTGGCTTTTGATCTAAAGTAAACTCTGATTCTGTGTTGATGGGGAACCATTTCTCTCTAACATGGTGGTTTCTTTAAGATGTTTGACTTGGGCCACATGAGAATAACAGATCTTTGGGCAGTCCAAGGTAAGCTCTTTGGAAAAGATGTTTTATATTATTTTTTCTACTGATTATTAATACTAACCAGTAACTTCTCTGAAGCCTCTGCCGGCTCACTGGTGACTATTGTTAGGGCAAGCCTCAGGTAAAATCATCAGGTAGAAGTGCAGGAAAGGGAAAAAAGGGGGAGAAAAAATCCTTACACACACTCACACACCCCTCTATAATTAGAGCTATATGATGTCAAGCCACTGTAAATGCAGATCTATCTGTGATGACATGGAAATATCAACTAGATATCCTGTTACACAAAAAGAACAAGATGCAACATTGTGTGCAAAGTATGCTCTCACTTATGCAAATAATTTAAAAAATCTATTATGCTTCTCTACAGGTTAAGTTCTATATGCAAAACATTTAAGGTTATATGCACTCACAACATTTCTGGAAGGATGCCCCAAAAATCTGTTAGAAGTAGTTCCCACTTAAGAAGCTATGAGAAGTCAAGGGCTGATTTTAGCTACTGAAATATTAAAATACTGCCATATAGGCAGGGCACGGTAGCTCACACCTGTAATCCCAGCACTTTGGGAGGCTGAGATGGGTGGATCACCTGAAGTCAGGAGTTTGAGACCAGCCTGGCCAATATGGTGAAACCCCATCGTTATAAAAATACAAAAATTAGCCAGGCATGGTGGCGGGTGCCTGTAATTCCAGCTACTGGGGAAGCTGAGGCAGGAGAATCGCTTGAACCTCGGAGGTAGAGGTTGCAGTGAGCCAAGACCACACCATTGCACTCCAGCCTAGGCAACAAGAGCAAAACTCCGTCTCAAAACAATAATAATAATAAATAAAATACTGTCATATTGATTGGTAGATGACCATTGTCCAAGCCCCTTGCATGTCCTCCTTGCCACCTTGGTTGTCCCAACTCCTCCCCTGGCACCCCCAGACCACCTCATGATTCAGCAACTAAGGGGTTAATGCCTGGCATGGAGGTGGGAGTGAGATCTCCCAGGACCCTGTTCCAACCCTGGTTGATTATTCAATAGCCTTGTCTTACTGGTTGTTAAATATTTTGAGTATCACTCCCATGGGTGTTCAAAGAAAAAGGCCTTTATTTTTATTTTATTTATTTATTTATTTTTTAGAGACAGGGTCTTGTGCTGTCACCCAGGCTGAAATGCAGTGGTGTGGTCCTAGCTCACTGCAACTTCAAACTCCTGGCCTCAAGTGATCCTCCCGCACCACCTGCCAAGTGGCTGGGACTACAGGCACACTCCACCATACTAGGCTATTTTTAAAATTTTTTGTAGATACAGAGTCTCGATATGTTTCCCAGGCTGGTCTCAAACTCCTAGCCTCAAGCGACTCTCCCACCTCAGTCTCTCAAAGTGTTGGGATTACAGACATGTGCCACCACACCTGTGAGGCCTTCTTTTTTTTTTTTCTTAAGAGCAAAAGAATATATACCAAGACATTGTTTATCATGGGAAAGAGGAAAAGGAAACAACTACACATTCATCAAAGATCATTGAAAATCTATGTAAAACTCCACTGAGTGATTGTATCACCCATACAATTTACCTCTGCTTTCTGGCTTTTGAATGCAAATGTTTAATGTTATTTATAATATGGTAATGACGATTACAACATTTTGGCAGTTTCATCTGTGAATCTCTTTTCTCTTTGTTTTTGTTTTTTGTTTTATTCATTTATTTATTGAGACAGAGTCTTGTTCTGTCATCCAGGCTGGAGTGCAGTGGTGAGATCTCGGCTCACTGCAACCTCCACCTCCCAGGTTCAAGTGATTCTCCTGCCTTAGCCTCCCGAGTAGCTGGGATTACAGGCATGTGCCACCATGCCTGGCTAATTTTTGTGTTTTTAGTAGAGACGGGGTTTCGCCCTGTTGGCTAGGCTGGTCTCGAACTCCTGGCGTCAAGTGATCCTCTCGCCTTGGCCTCCCAAAGTGCTGGAATTACAGGCATCAGCCACCATACCATCTTTTTCTCTTTGTTGAGCTAGCCCCAACCACCATGATGAGCTGATTACAACCACTAAGTTTACTAGTCAGGTAAGAAATATTCATCAAATGCCCGTTGTGGACAAGCCACTTTGCAAGGCTTAGTGGAGGTGTTGAGGCACAGAGAGCACTCCATAGTGGAGTCCTGGCCTTCAAGAAGAGAGAAGGCAGTTGCTAGAAGTGGGCCTGCCTTAGCCTCTCACTTCTTGCCCCATGGACTCCTGCTAAATCTCCCAAGTTCAGGGTTGGCTCCTTTCGTACAGGAAGCAGATACAAGGTTCTAAGCAGAAGCAGTTTCTTTTTTGCTACTGTTGTAGCCTTCTTTCAGACTCTCACCTGAATTCCAGCCCCTTGTAGCATCATCTTCCCACCTGGGCACTCGATCCCATCTGCTTCTCTGACCTCATCTCCTTGACTTGGCCCTAACAGGCCCCCAAACCCAGTGGAGTATGGACAGTTATAAATGGCGGCCCTGTCACCTGCTCTTCAGGCCTTTGCTGTTTAGCCAGTCTCCTGGACTCCTTTCTAGCCCTGGACTCCTTTCTAGCCCTGACCTCTATTGCAGAAGACTCCCTAGTCCCAGGCCTCTGGCCCAGCCAACCCCTGCACACGCTGCCTTTCTTCCAAGGCCAGGTCTCTTGCCTTTGCTCCACTGCTCACTTAGCTCTCTTTCTGCCGACTCCTCTGCTGACTGCAAGCTCCCTGAGGGCAAGGTCCAACCAGCATCTAGCACAGGACTCACAGCACGAGCCTCTAAAGATTTGTACTGTTAAAGCAGCAGTTACAAGTGAGTGAGTTTTAGTATCCTCATATGTAAAACAGATTCAACCTTAAGGTCCTCTGTAGCTCTTAAGGTCATTAGACACCATCAGTGGGTTTCTCAAGCATCAGTCGTGTTGGAGACAAAGGTTGATTTCATTTTTTCAGCAGGTTCTTAAGCAAATGTATTCCAGTGTAATATTGAAAACTAATCATAGACTTAGACATTTGAGTTAAATCTGCTATCACTTTAATGCTTCTGTTAGGCCATTGATTCTTATAACATTTTTGGCATTTGTTTTTATTACTAATGAAATATCCACTGACATGGCTGGGCACAGTGGCTCATGCCTGTAATCCCAGCACTTTGGGAGGCCGAGGCAGGAGAATCCCTTGAGACCAGGAGTGCAAGATCAGCCTGATCAACATGGCGAAACCCAGTCTCTACTAAAAATACAAAACTTAGCCAGGCATAGTGGTGGGCACTTGTAGGAGGCTGGAGGCCTACACCTACAGGAGGCTGAGGCGGGAGAATCGCTTGAACCCAGGAAGCAGACGTTGTAGTGAGCCAAGATTGTGCCACTGCACTCCAGCCTGGGTGACAGAGTGAGACTCTGAAAAGAAAAAAGAAAAGAAAAGAAGAAAAGAGAAAAGAAATATCCACTGACATCATTTAAAAATCAACTAATGTTAAAAATTCATTAAGGAAAAGTCTCAATTTCTGCCCCATCCCCTGACCTGTCAGTTCTACTTCTCAATGTGCTCCTAGAGGCAATTATTTTCAACTCTGCTATCTATTTCTTTGGAATTTTATTTACCTCATACTTCCAAGTAATTTGTCTGTGCTCCGTATGTTAATTTTTCTTTCTGGTACAGCAGATGAGGATTTGGCTCTTATACATCCCCATTCCACTCATTCTTCCCATGTAGTCACAGTTCACTTTTTGGCTAAGTCACTATTAAGTATTTACATTTGATACATATGAGTGTGTGCCATACTATGATTATGTTTACTTTCTCATTCAATATTTTTTAACCTGGAGTAATTGCACATTTTATTTTCTTAGGTTTCTATGTTTCTATTGCCAATCTCTCACCCACACTCCCAAATGCTCTGGTTCTGGTTGCTCTGTAACAAAGTTACCACAAATGTAGTGGCTCAAGCAACAATCTTACAATTCTGAAAGTCAAAGTCCAAAATGAGCCTCACTGAGCTAAAATCAAGAGGTCGGCAGAGCTGCATTCCTTCCGGAGGCTCCAGGGGGAATTCGTTTCCTTGCCTTTTCCAGCTTCTAGATGCTGCCCCGATTCCTTGGCTCCTGGACCTTTTCCTCAATCACTCCTACTTCTTCCTCCATTATCACATCTTCTCTGACTGATAATTCAGGTTAATCTTTCTATCTCAAGATCTTTCATTTAATCACAGCTGCTTTTGCCATGTAAGGTAACATAGTCACACTTTCCAGGGATTAGGACATGCGGTATAGGGAAAGGGACAGTATTCATCCTACCATGTGCTCCTACACATCTACCAGCTGCCTGTCAATATCATCAGGTAATCTACCAGTTCCAAGTCCTGCACCCTCTGGGACCTCTGATGTGTGAATTGGCTCCATCTTGTTCATACCCTGTCTTTGCAGGCACATAGGCTATAGTGAGCTATGGAGAGAGCCCTAGTTACTATGCCAAACATGTACGGACATCCCTTGTGCAATCTTGTCTCCTCTCCCATTTTCTTGCTCTTGTGGAACTAAATCTCTTTTAATGCTGTACTCTAATT
Organism: Homo sapiens; assembly: GCF_000001405.40. Lineage (NCBI taxonomy): Eukaryota > Metazoa > Chordata > Mammalia > Primates > Hominidae > Homo > Homo sapiens. The sequence goes on along the minus strand of NC_000002.12, from coordinate 201,352,446 downwards.
TTAGTTGGATTCTGGAAAAGAAAGAAGATAAGCCAGTGTGGTCAAGCCACCATGTTTATCTGATAGTTTTCTTTCATCAAGATTCTCATAATAGGGGTTTTGTTTTTTGGGAGCCAGGGAAGGAGTTTCCACTCTGTAATTCAAGAAGGTGACCAGGAATGAGAAACGAGGAGATTCATTTGCACTGTAGCTCAAGCAGCAGAACTAATTTTCCAGGAAGTTCTGTGCAGAACTTGCTGTGGGAATTTCTCTTCCCTTCAGTGAGAACTGGTGTGGCCTGCTGGAAAGGAAGGAGCTTGGGAGTCAAAGAGATTTGTGTTTGTTTCCAGCTCTGCAACTTGCTGCCGCCGTGACTTCTCTGAGTCTCAGTAGCTTCATCTATAGTATCAGCATAACAATAATTGAGCAGTTTTACCTGGCTCACAGCAAGGACTCGGCTATGGCAAATTTTATTTTATTTTAATTATTTTGTTTTATTTTTATTTGTATCTTATTTTATTTTTTGAGACGAAGTCTCACTCTTCACCCAGGCTGGAGTGCAGTGGCACAATCTCAGCTCACTGCAACCTCTGCCTCCCAGGTTCAAGCAATCCTCCCACCTCAGCCTCCTGAGTAGCTGGGACTATAGGTGTGTGCCACCATGCCCAGCTAATTTTTGTATTTTCAGTAGAGACGGGGTTTCACCATGTTGGCCAGGCTGGTCTCAAACTCCTGACCTCAAGTGATCCATCCACCTCGGCCTCCCAAAGTGCTGGGATTACAGGCGTGAGCCACCATGCCCAGCCAGTTATGGCAAAGTTTAAATTGCTTTCAAGTCAAGTCTACTGAGTAGAAAGGGATGAGCTGTTAACCTATAGTCAAGACCCTGCACCAGATCAACAGCTTCTGGAATCTACCATTGTTCTTTGGGTCCTCCCTGGGTTCTTCCCAATTCTTCTGTATTTTTGCTTTGATTCTAAATGGTTTAACCTTCTGCTGTTGTTTTTCAATTTCAGCAAGAGCCTCCTGATCTAGCAGCCAAGACTCCCCCTGACCTTTGGCCATGTACCCCAACCCTCTCATCTACTGCACCTGCTGGGACCCCTGGAACTTGGGACCACGGAAGCTAATCAAGACCCCTCAACTACCACGCAAGAACTCCACAGGGAGTTCCAAGTAAGAATTATCTGGGATGGGGTAGGCACAGGGACCTTGGGATCCATTTGTAGCCTCATTTCTCTCACAAGATTTCTAAAACAGCAAGTGTGGCAGGAAAATCCCAGGTGGGCCAGAAAGCCTCGCTTTCCCCAGCTTCCCTGCCAGCTGGTTGGCTGCACCCTCATCTTGCCAGCCCTGCCTGGGGTTTGTGCCATTTTAAATGAGGAAGTCTCAGTGTTGGTGCAACGGCAAAGTGCAGCTTCCAACCAAAGGGCCCTGATGGCAGCTGCCGCCTTCATGTGGGATAAAGAGCTTTGGGAATCGGGGGACAAACTCTTCCTGGGACAGTGAACAAGTGCCAGGGCCTTGGGCCTGAGTTTTAAAGGCCTCAGATTTTAAAGATTCCAGCTATCAGATCATGCATTCCAATTTTGGGTCACTATAGGGATGTACTTAATCTGGGAGTGTTAAAAAGGGTTTCCGAATTTCCAATGTTCTTGTTTTAGTTATTTGTTTTTCACTTTCAGGCTAACTCCTCTTGTACCAGCTCCAAAAAATCACAATTACCTCCAACCAACAAAACCTGTTGTTTCCCCAAAGTAAGTATTGTTTTGTTTTGTTTTGTTTTTGAGATGGAGTCTCACTCTGTTGCCCAGGCTAGAGTGCAGTGGTGTAACCTTGGCTCACTGCAACCTCTGCCTCCCAGTCTCAAGCGATTCTCCTGCCTCAGCCTCTCGAGTAGCTGGGAATACAGGTGTGCGCGCCACCATGCCTGGCTACTTTTTTGTATTTTAGTAGAGACGGGGTTTCACCACATTGCCCAGGGTGGTCTTGAACTCCTGAACTCAGGCAATCCACCCGCCTGAGCCTCCCAAAGTGTTGGGATTACAGGTGTGAGCCACTGCACCAAGCAGTTTGTTTGTTTGAGATGGAGTCTTGCTCTGTCACCCAGGCTGGAGCGCAGTGGTGCCATCTTGGCTCATTCCAACCTCCACCTCCCTGGTTCAAACGATTCTCCTGCCTTAGCCTCCTGAGTAGCTGGGATTACAGGCACCCATTACCATGCCCACGTAATTTTTGTATTTGTAGTAACGACGGGGTTTCACCATGTTGGCCAGGCTGGTCTGGAACTCCTGACCTTAAGTGACCAGCCCTCCTCAGCCTTCAAAGTGCTGGGATTACAGTCGTGAGCCACTGTGCCTGGCCCTAAGTATTTTTATGTCCATGAGGCAGAAATGGTTTCAGGCATGTGAATAAAATAATCTCCCTCTCACCTGGCCTGACTTGAACTAATTGATGCCAGGGATGTTAGAGAATTGCCAGAATCGACCTTGATTTCTTGCAAACCTCAGATCCTACATGTAGATTTTGGGGTCCTCTGCATCCACAGCTTCCAAAGTCATTGCATTGTTTGATTCAAAGTCACTGTATCCACTGCTCTCCACAGGGGTGCCCCCAGTAACTGTCTTCTGCCCTGGAGCCCAAAGCTTGATGTGTGCTATTGTCACAGAGCCTTGGCGACCCTCCCGTGCATTTAGGGTGGTGACTCACTCTTTAGCTGATTACTGTCCTGTGTCTAAGATTTTCTATGGGTTGCATCTTGGTTTTAATCACAAATTAAAATTTTTACTCGCATTTTACAAGCTTAGAAATGTACCTTAGTTTTAGGTCTTTGTATGAATCTTTGTATTCCATTAATTTTTTTGGAAAATATTTATTGACCACCTATTATTTATTAGGCACTGTTTCAGGTGCTGGGAAAAGAGCCAGAAACACAATAAAGTCTCCACTCTCCTGGCACTTATATTCTAGTGGGGAAGGAAGGGGAAGAGGACCATAAACTAGTTATTACATCCGAGGTTGGCAAGTGCTACATAGAAAAAAGATGCAGGCAAAGCAGGTAGGGGCTGTGACGGTGGGGATACTTTACGTAGAGAGGTCAGGGCAAGTGCCTGTGTAAAGGGGGCAAAAGGAGCCTCAATGATGCCTGGGGCAAGCACTCTTGGCAGAGGGACCAGCAAGTCCAAAGGCCCTGGGGTGGGAACTTGCTTGGCATGTCTGACCTCTTCCAGGAAGGCAGAAGCCAGTGTGGCATGAGCGGAGCGAGTGAGCAGGGAGTGGTGGGAGATGAGCTCAAAGAAGGTAACAAGGTGATGGGTGTGGTGGGCAGGACAGTGACCCCCTCCCAAGGACGTCTACACCCTAATACCCAGAGACTGTGAATATGTTACTTGCCAAAGAGGAATTAAGGCTGCAGATGGAATTAAGGTTGCTAATCAGCTGACCTTCAGTTGGAGAGATTATCCTGGATTATCCCAGATCCCATGTAATCACAAAGGTCCTTCTTTGTATGTGAAAGAGGAGGTCACAGTGTCAGAGTCAGAGAAGGAGCTGTGACAACAGAAGCAGAGGTTGGAGTGATGCAATTGCTGCTGGCTTTGGAGCTGGAGGGAAAGGCCACTGTGAACATATACACATATGTGGTATTCATTTTATATATAGCATATATAAAGATTTGAATGAAAAACAAGTTTAACTTCAACATTTGTATCTTAATGGGATACATTTCATTTTCTGGAACATTTGTTTATATAGAATGTTTCATTCTCCAATAAAGAGAGTTCCACACAGTTCCCTGAACTGAGTGTGTGTGTGCCCGTTTGTGTGTAAGGGGGTGGTGGGGGGTGTCACCTGACTCACAGAGCCTTGACTCAGGGAGAATATGTAGGGGTCCCTCTAGCTGGTTTATGCTCCTCCAAAACAGAAGTTGCCCCAACATCATAAGACAAGTCTTTTGCCTCCTTGGGCAGGACCTTTTCATGAGCACCCCTACTTTGGGGCCCTCAGGAGCCCGGCTTCAGTGAGTTCCCCAACTATCCTAGGGATCCCCTAAGAAGGTCAGGTCAGAGAGCAGAAGTCAGATGGTGGCGGCCTCAGGGTTCAGCTCCTAAGCTTTGAACTTCTCTTTGCTGTCTGGTTGCTTTCTGAGCATGTCTTTCTCTTGCAGAATGAAAATCCATTCAGCAAGGCAAGAAGAGACTAATAAATCATTTTATGTGAGTAAAGGCAGGAGAGGGCGGTGGGACTAAAATTTATTGAGTGCCTACTATGTGCAAGCATGGGCCCTTTACATTTTTATACTTACCTTGTCGAATCTTCACAAAGATCCTGGGAGGAGGTGCTGTTAATATTGCACATTATGCACGGCAGGTAAGTGGAAGAACCACGACTTGAACTCAGCTCAGCTAGATTCCAGAGTGGGCATTTAATTGCCACTCTCTCCTGCCTTGCACAAGACAAACAGAGTGTCTCAGAGAAACTGGACATGACAGCTAGTCCAGGCCAGTGAACAGCTCATGCCTAGATGCAGGAAGTGCTCTGCTGACCTAGGGAACTAACGAAAGCTGGGGAGAGGCTGCCGGGACCCCTCAGGGGAGCAGGGGCGGGAGGGCACTGGAGAAGGTGATGAGAACCAAACTCGAAGGCTCTTGACGCCTGCCTGGGAGTGTGGGCCCGACCCTTCTGGTGTCTGGGAGCCTTTACTGGTCTGACGCAGGCACAGGACCAAGTAAGAGTTACATTTCAGAAAAAGCACCCTTTGGTGGGATGTAATCGGTACATTTTACTGTTTTCTGTGTTTATCTAGTTTCTTTTCTTTCTTTTTTTTGTTTTGTTTTTTAGTTTTAGGTCTTTGTATGAATCTTTGTATTCCATTAATTTTTTTGGAAAATATTTATTGACCACCTATTATTTATTAGGCACTGTTTCAGGTGCTGGGAAAAGAGCCAGGGAAAAGAGCCATGCAGTCCTTTAATGGTTAGGGAAAAAAATATACAAGCAAAAATATAATTGCCCTCTAGGTAGAGAGGAGGATGAACTGTGGGGGGAGCAAGACTGAAGGCAGAGAGGCCAGAGCCCAAGAGAAAGATGATGGTGGCCTGGGGCCGTCAGGCAGGGGTGTGGAGAGAGGAGGGTGACTCACAGAGACATGAAGGAGGTGACAACAGCAGGGATCAAGGGGCTGCAGCATGTGCTGCGCAGCTCTCAGAGCCCCAGCCTTGCCCTGGTCCAGGCCAGCAGAGGCCCTGCCCAGGTTTCTGACTTGGCGTCTAATGGGAAAAGGAGGAGGAAATGACATTTTGTTTGCAACCGTCCTAGTCATTTTCTCATATGTTGTTTTGTTTTTCCCTCACAAAAGCCCTTTGAGAAAGAGTTATTAACCCCACTTTCTGATAAGGAAACTGAGGCACAGAGATGCTGGATGGCTACTGTCTGGTGGCAGAGCCAAGATTTACTCAGGCCTCTGTGATTCCAAAACCCGAGCAGTTGCCGCATGCCCACCTCCTCTGGGCTCTGGCCACGAGGGTGAACACAAGTCGGGGGCAGGGGCATCAGTGGCTTGGTTTGGCGCAGAGCTTGAGAGGCCCCTAGGGACACCCAGGAGCCTGCTAAGCATCAGATTTGAGTCGGAGAGATGTGAGAATGAGCTATAATGGGTGAAGGGCCCAGAAGGGCTTGGGCTGTGGAGTCCCAGGTCCCTGTTTTTAAGATGTGAGTGAGGCAATAAGAGAAGATTTGGAAAAATCTCAGCACTCCAAGTCTGCCATTTTATCTTACTTTCCCTTGATGCCTAGGAAGTGATCAACGTGTCACCTGGCTATCAACTTGTTCGGAATCGGGAACAGATTTCTGTCACCTTAGGGGATGAGATGTTTGATAGGAAAAAGCGGTGGGAATCGGAGATCCCGGACAAAGGCAGATTTTCCAGGTAATGCTGTTGCAGCAACATGCAGCTGCTTGGGGCTACTCCCACCCAGCTCAGCCCGGCCTCAGGGACAAGCCAAAGCCGCTATGCCCACACCCAGGCCACTGGTCCCTGCTCTGGAGGGGCCGCAAGGGCACCTCCCTCCTCGCCCCTGCTTCCTGATGATGCATCTCTCCACATCTGCCTCTCTGCTCTGATCCCATCCGTGAGCAGATCCAAGGGGCAGGATGAAGATTGGGAGTTATGTGATTGATCCCAAAGGATAGCAATTGTTCGTGGGGTGAGGAATAGATAGAATAGCCATAAATTAGTCTGAATTTGAGGCATGCAAATTAAGTAAAGTGAGGGTTTCTGGGTGGCTGGAGTGCACTTTTTTTTTTGAGACAGAGTCTCTCTCTGCCACCCAGGCTGGAGTTTAGTGGCACGATCTCAGCTCACTGCAACTTCTGCCTCCCAGGTTTAAGCTATTCTCACGCCTCAACCTCTTGAGTAGCTAGGATTACAGGCTTGCACCATGACGCCCGGCTAATATTTATAGCTTTAGTAGAGATGGGATTTTGCCATATTAGCCAGGCTGTTCTCAAACTCCTGACCTCAGGTAATCCTCTGGCCTCAGCCTCCCAAAGTGCTGGGATTATAGGCGTGAGCCACTGCGCCCAGCCTCTTTTTCATTATGTCCAAAAATACTACTCAGCTCATGCCCCCGGGAGATGCAGTGTGGAAGGTTCTGGCCTGACTCTAACCCATTAGCACAGCTGTCCTGTCTGTCTTCAGGCTCCACCCACTCTCTGTCCTCCAATGCCATATCAAGTATATCTCCATGTCTTTCTTTTTTCATTAACAGATGCAGATTCATCTCTACATCTTTTCATTCTACCCTTTAATCTCTTATTCATATCTTCTTCTCTGATATCCTGCCCATGTTCAGGCATCTTACTTCTTAACTGCACTACTGAATGGCTCTCCAAGTGCCTCTTCCCTCAGGCTGATTTTGCTGTAAGAATTATTTTTTCAACACACAAGTCTAAAAGACCAACAATAGAAAACACACACACACATACACACACACACACACACACACACACACACACACAATCATCTACCTATCTGCTAGTGTATTGGCAGAATTCAACCAAACCGTTAGCAGTGGTTACATCTGGGGAAGGGATTCAGGTTGAGGGTGAGTCTGAAGGCCCCTCAAGTAGAATGAGGCCATGCCATGGAGTCTCCCTGATCTGACCTGGCCCAGAGGGCCACCCAGGGGCCAGGGGCATTCACCCTGCTTATCTTGTCTTCCCACCCAGGGGCATTCAGCCTCTGCTTTCTTTTCCCTGCTTATCCACAGCCCTCTGCAGGAAGAGAATGGGTCATGCACCTATAGTCAAGCTAGCACCGACAGCCACCTCTTGGCCTCACAAGGAAGTTGTCACCAGTTGTGCACAATAAAATATGATAACCTGTGCTTGTTGTATTCCCTGGTAAAGTTGTGGGTGTTGTTTGTATTGAAGATTGTGTTCAAAAGATAGGGGCTCCCTATTATTCAACTTTCTCAAGCCTTTTCTTTCTCTTACCCTTGAACTGTCTCCTCCTGTATCTCCTCTCTTGTTTTATCAGCCCACATTCTCTCTGTGCTCAGTTAGACATGCAAAGTGGTTGGCCAAAGAGGTCAAAGCATCTTGCATTGAGGACTTCCTCTCAGCTCCACTGCACATGGCACCACCTGCTGCCTTGTCACTCTAGCCCAACCAGACAGAGCTAAATAATTTACAGATACCATGGCAGCCTTAGACCCAGAAACACAGAAAACCATGACCTGTGCTGAAAGCCACTCTCTTAAATACCCTCTTAGTCCCATCTCTGGCCCAATCCTTGTCTGTGGTTCACAGCCAGCATCAATCCTATTGCACATCTTCTAATTTCCTAATCCTCTGAACTTCGTCCTCTGTTTCAACTATCATTACCAAATCAAGGTCAAACTCTAATAAATTTCTGACATATTCTTATTTTCCTTCTATTCGGTAGGGCACCAAACCATCCTGTTCAAGTCTAGTGAGCTTACCCACAAGAGCCAGATCTGAGCCTCAACTGCCCTATAGCCAAATGCCTTCTGTAAGACCACCCCTATCCCTCCACCCCCACCCCATAATGATAGAGCAGGTGCAGAACATGGCCAGCTCTCACCAGGCCAGCTCTCACCATGCCAGAGTCAGTCATGCTCAGGGGCCTGAATGGCATGGAATGGTAAGCTTTGTGGATGATAGAAGAATTACTTCTCCTACAGGACCAACATCATTTCTGACCTAGAAGAGCAAATCTCAGAGCTGACAGCAATAATTGAACAAATGAACAGAGACCACCAGTCTGCCCAGAAATTGGTGAGTGACCTTACATTAGCTAACATCTTCATGGACAAAATAAAATTAATATTTTTGAATCACCTATGTGCCAGGCAAAATGCCAAGCACTTTACTCATATGAGCCATGTTGTCCAGGTGACAGGACCCTAAAGATTGGACTGTGTCACTCAGTAGTATTTCTCTGACATCTTTATCTGTAATTCCAAGAACTCAAGTTCTTCCACAAAGCTTAACTCATTTATTTCCAGGAGCTCTCCAAGTACCTCTGTGTGTGTGCAGTGACACTGTCCTCCTCACACTAGGGTGCACTTGTTGTTTTCTGTCTGGCCTTTGTGGTGCAATTAAGTTTCAGAGCTTGTGAGGCTCTCACTAACGACACCAGCGCACTTAATGTGCAGGGCTTACTCTCTGACTGTTAAAGCTGCCCACACATCAGAATCTGCAGATGTCATTTGACACTCTTTGTGATTCCTGAGGATTTCAGTGACACCTTTTTAGCTTTTACCATCTGTTTCATCTGGTGACTTCTTCCTCACCTCAAACAGGTGTGCCTGTTGGCCTGGCCTGGAGTGACAGCCAGTGCTGTGTTCAGAAATATCCTCCCCAGGGTTGTTGAACCCCACCCCATCTGTGAAGTTTTACTTCCCAGAAGGCAGCCTCTCACCCTCTGATATGCCCCAGATGTGTCTGAATCCTACAGTGACCCAGCTTATGACTCAGGCTGGGTCCTATCCTGAGACCACCCTCCTCCGCCTGCCAACTATTGATTCATTACCTTATTTATCTGAAAACACTGCCAGGTTTATGGTCTCCTTCTATAGAAAGGAAAATGAGACTCAGGGAAGTTAAACAATTTGCATACAATCTCTCAACTGAACAGTGGTAGATCATTGGACAAAATGAACATTTTAAGTCATAGGCACAGATCCTGCTGAAGACATATTTAGAGACTATTTCCATGAAGGGATCCTAGACTGTGTTACTGAAAATACTGCCACTTGTGAAGATGCTATTTGTTGTGTGGCCCTGTGGAAGGGAGTAGTGTTGGCTGACGCTGGGCTGTTCTCTGTCTGTCAGAGTGGCTCTGCTGACCACTTGTTGTGTGACACAGTCCCTGGCTTCTCCCCAGTAGTCAGAGAGGTACAAGGACAAGCCCTAAACCCTTGTCCTAGCTGACAGTGGTCACCGACTGATTTGAAGTATTGATTTATCCTGAGACACTGGCCAGAGGATCTGACATGTTAGAATGAAGTATCACCTGAAAGTGAGCAAATCCTGCCTGCTAGAATGGAACTATACTGTCAACAAGGATTAACACTAGATTTTAAGTTCCTCGAAGGCAAGATCTGAGTCTTAGTCCTCCTTGGCTCTTCCAAGCCAAGCCTTTTGTTCAATAAATGATTGCTCAATTGGATTACATATCCAAAAATCTGAAGGCCATGATGTAACAGAAATGACGATCTAGCACAGGAGACCAGACCTACCCAAAAAAAATAGTCAGTGAAAGAGATGCACCAACATTATGAACTGAATAAGTACAAAACAACATAGAGCAAGGCACAAATTGTTCTGTTCCCTTATTAATAATGTGCTCTCTGGCACTGCAGAGCACAGTGGAAGAGGGGTGGGAAGGGGGCTGTGCCCCATGAATTGGAAGGCGGCTGTGCCCCATAAATTGGAAGGCTTTTCAGAAGGTGCAGATCAGAATGGGACAGGGTCCTCAGTCCTGTGTTGTAGATGCTGATTTTGTTTCCAGCTCTCCAGTGAAATGGATCTCCGCTGTGCTGAGATGAAACAGAACTTTGAAAACAAGAACAGGTACACTTTCTGGCATGGACCCTTGTGTGTGTTGATGGCTCTAAGGGTCCCGCATCCTTTGCAGGATTTTAGTTCACTGGGACTTCAAATAGTTCTAAATGGAGTTGGGGGATGAAGGGTGGGGGAGATGAACAAGACACGTGTCTTTGAAGAGCAGAATGGCTTGATTCAAAGCCACTAAAATAAACCACAAAGAAAGTTATTACTGCTTTTACATTTTATCATCCAATCCTTTCATTTCAATTATAATCTCCCTTTTTGTTGGTTACTGAGAAGAGTCATTTTTGTTCTCTATGAGATTTCTGTGATAAATAACTGTTGTTCTCAGCCAAGGCTCCTCCTCCACCATCTCCTCGTTCTTCTCTTCCTCCTCCTCTTTTTCTTTGTCTCACCTCTACTCTCCCTGGCTGCTAGGTCAGGGCCTCAGCAAAATAGGAAGAAAGTATAAGAGAATCAGGAGCAAAGTCAAATCAAGAGAAAATTGAAAGGAGTCCAAATACAGAAAGACAGAGAATAGAACATGGTTACCATGGTCCGGTAGGAGGAAGAAAATGGGGAGATATTGATCAAATCATACAATGTTGCAAATATGTAGGGTGAACAAGTTTATATTGTTTACAAAGATATAATGTAAAAAATGAGAGCTATAGTTAATAATAATGTATGATATTAAGAACTGTTGCTAAATGAGTTTATAGCTGTTCTCACCACAGAGGGAAAATGGTTAACTAAGTGAAATGATGGATATGTTAATTTGTTCCACTCTAGTAAACTTTTTACTATATGTATATAGTAATCTCCACTATTATAACCATTTGTGTATATATATATATACATACATATAAACTCTACCTATATATATATGCTTGTGTAGTGTGAGTGTATATATATAGTAAAAATTATGTGTAATATATATAGTATAATGGTTACTATAGTAGAGATGCATATATATATGATTTATATATATATATATATATGAATCTTATGACATCATGTTGTATACCTCAAATATACACAATAAAATTTATTTTTAAAGGAGTTTTCTTATGTGTATGGGTGAAGATAATCCTACATCCCCTTTCAGGCTACTTGCTGCACACCAGAGCAGCCTTAGAAATCCTGGTGGAGAGATAGCACTCTTAGTTGAGTCATAGCCATTTACACATTTATTTATCTATAGACTTTATCTGTTAGAGCAGTTTTAGGTTTACAGCAAAAATGAGGAGAAAGTACAGAGAGTTCCTGTGCACCTGCTCCTAATCAAATTCAATCAAATTAAACTCAAAGATGAGTACACCAAGACACATAATAATCAAACTATCAAAAATCAAAGACAAAGCAAAAATTCTGAGAGCATCAGAAGGTAAGAAACACGTCACATACAAAGGAGTGCCAATACAATTGTAATTTCTTAACAGAAACCCTGCAGGCCAGGAGTCAGTGTGATGATGTATTAAAAGTGCTGAAGGAAAAAACTGCCTACCAAGAATACCTTAGCAAAGCTGTCTTCCCCAGTTGAGGGAGAAATAGAAACTTTCCCAAACAAAAATTAAGGGAGTTCATTACCACTATGCCTGCCTTACAGAAATTGCAAAAGGAAGTTTTAAAAACGGAAACAGAAAGCTGCTAATAACATGAAACATATGAATGCACAACACTCAATGGTATAAGCAAAATAGAGCCATACTCAGAATACTTTAGGACTGTGATGATGGGATGTAAGACAATTTTATCCCAATATGAGAGTAAAAACACAAAACTATTAATAACAACTATAGCTAAAATAAATTTTCAATGATAAATCATATTATAAAATGATATCAATTCTGACATCAAAAACAAAATGTTAGGGAGGGAGTAAAACTGTTGAGTTATTGCTTGCAACTAAACTTGTTGTCAGCTTGAAATAGCTTATTACAAGAACAAGATATTCTAACTAAGTGTCATGGTAACCACAAAGATAAAAATCTTTAGCAGTAGCACAACACAAAAATAGAAATGATTCAAAGCATACACTACAAAAAACATCAAACCACAAAAGAAGAGACCAAGAGAGGAAGAAAGAATCTACAAAACAACAAAACAAAAATTAACAAAATGGCAGTAGTAAGTTCTTACCTATTAATAATTACCTTGAATGTAAATGGATTAAATTCTCTGATTAAAAAAAATAGAATGCGTGAATGGATTTTTTAAAAACAAGAACCAACTATACGCTGCCTACAAGAGACTCATGTCACCTGTAAGGCACATGAGCACTCCTCCCAGGGTCTGAGATTAAGCCCACTCAACCTGCCGCTACCACCATTGCTGGCACCTATCTGCATGCACCACCTATGGGCCTGAGGACAAGACCACCCAACTTCTCATAGCCATTGCCAATACCAGTGAGTACCACTTGGGTGCTAGAGGGTTGTCCCACTATTGCTACTGCCATCAGCCACAACACACCCACTGCCAATGGGTCCGTGAACCTACCTACCTGCCCAGCCCATAGCTGCCATTCCTGACACCTGAAAAAAACACTAAAAGGCCCAAGAATTGGCCTGCCTGAACCCACTAATACTTAATGCCAGCATATGCCACCCTGGGGCCCAAAGATAGGCACACTTATAAGATTAGAATAAAACTAGAAATCAATAACAAGAAAAACTTTGGAAACTATACAAACGCATGGAAATTAAACAGCATTCTCCTGAATGACCAATAGAACAATGAAGAAATTAAGATGGAAATAAAAAAAATTTCTTGAAACAAAAAAAAATTGAAATACAATATACCAAAGCCTGTGGGATACAGCAAAAGCAGTGCTAAGAGGGAAGTTTATAGCAATAAACACCTACATCAAAAAAGTAGAAAGATTTCAAATAAACAATCTAATAATGCACCTGAAGGAATTGGAAAACCAAGCCCAAAATTAGTAGAAGAAAAGAAGTAATAAAAATCAGACCAGAACTAAACGAAATAGAAACTAAAAAAACAATACAAAGGGTCAGCAAAAAAACAGATTCTTCAAAAAAATAAACCAAATTGATAAACCAGTAGCTAGACTAACCAAAAAAAGACAAGAGAAGACCCAAATAAAATCAGAAATGAAAAAAGAGACATTACAACTGTTGCCACAGAAATACAAGAAATCATCAGAGACTATTATGAACAACTATAACTAACACTAACAAACTAAAAAATCTAGCAAAAATAGATAAATTCCTGAAAAGATAAAATCTAACAAGATGAATCAGGAAGAAATTGAAAATTATTCAAGACCAATAATGAGTAGCAAGGTTGAATCAGTAATAAAAAGTCTCCCAACAAAGAAAAGCCCAGGACCAAATGGATTCACTATCAAATTCTACCAAACATATAAAGGAGAACTAATAGTAATCCTCCTTAAACTATTCAAAAAAATTTGAAGAGGAGGAAATTCTCCCTTACTTATTCTGTGAGGCCAGCATTACCTTAATACCAAAGTCAGATGACAATACAACAACAGGAAAAAGAAAACCACGGATCAATATCTCTGATGAACACAGATGCAAAAATCTTCAATGAAATACTAGCAAACCAAATCCAACAATACATCAAAAATATAATACACCATGACCGAGTGGGACTTATATCAGAAATGCAAGGATGGTTCAGCTTATGAAAATCAATAAACATGATATATAACATCAACAGAATGAAGGACAAAAATCATGTGATCATCCCAATAGATGCAGAAAAAGCATTTCATAATAGTCAACATTGCTTCATGATTAAAAAATAAAACCTTTCAACAAGCTAGATATAGAAGAAACATACCTCAACATAACAAAGGCTGTATATGACAGATCTGCAGCTATCATCATACTGAACAGGGAAAAGTTGAAAACTTTTCCTCTAAGAATTGGAACAAGATAAGGATGGCTACTTTTACCGCTCCTATTCAATATAGTACTGGAAGTCCTAGCCAGAGCAATCCCGCAAAAGAAAAAAATAAAAGGCATCCAAATTGGAAAAGAGGAAGCCAAATGATCTCTCTTTGCCGAAAAACATAATCTTATATATGAAAATCACAAAAAAACTCCATCCAAAAACTCTTAGAACTAATAAATTCAGTAAAGTTGCAGAATATAAAATCAACATACAAATATCAGTTGCATTTCTGTACACCAACAGTGAAATAGCCAAAAGAGAAATCAATAAGGCAATAACATTTACACTGGCTACAAAGCATAAAATAAAATATCTAGGAATAAATTTAACCAAAAAGGTGAAAGACCTTTAGAAGGAAAACTGCAAAACACAGATGTAATAAATTGAAGAGGACACAAACAAATGGAAAGACATTTCACCCATGCTTATGGACTGGAAGAATTAAGATCGCCAAAATGGCCATGCTGCCCAATGCAATCCCTAAATTACCAATGTCACTTTTCACAGAAATAGAAAAAATAATTCTAAAGTTCATATGGAACAAAAGATGAGCCAGAATAGCCAAAGCAATCCTGTGGGGAAAAAAAATCTGGAGTTATCACATTACCTGACTTCAAAATATATTACAAGACCAGGCATGGTGACTCACACCTGTAATCCCAGCACTTTGGGAGGCCAAGGCGAGAGGATGGCTTGTGTCCAGGAGTTTCAGACTAGCCTGCACAACATAGCGAGACACCGTCTACACAAAAGATTAAAAATTAGCCAGGTATTATGGAGTGTGCCTGGAGTCCTAGCTACTTGGGAGGCTGAGGTGGGAGGATCACTTGAGCCCAGATGGTCAAGGCTGCAGTGAGCTATGATCATGCTACTGCACTCCAACTGCACTCCTTGATATAGATCAAGGCTATCATAACCAAAATGGCAAGGTATTAGTATAAAAATAGACATATAAACATAAAGCATGGAACAGAATAGAGAATCCAGAAATAAATTCATGTAATTACAGCCAACTGATCTTTGACAATGCTGTCAAGAACATACACTGGGAACAGGGCACCCTCTTCAATAAATGATGCTGGGAAAACTGAATAACCATATGCAGAAGGGTGAAACTAGACCCCTATCTCTCATCATGTACAAAAATGAACTCAAGATGGATTAAAGTCTTAAATGTAAGATCCAAAGCTATAAAAATACTAGAAGAAAACCTAGGGAAAAGTCTTCAGGACATCGGTCTAGGCAAAGATTTTATGACCAAGACTTTGAAAGCACAGGCAACAAAAACAAAAAAAGACAAATGAGACTATATTAAACTAAAAAGCTTCTACACGCAAAAGAAACCATCAACAGAGTGAAGAGACATTCTCTTAAATGGGAGAAAATATTTGCAAACTACTCATTTGACAGAGGACTCAAACAATTCAACAGTAAAACAAACACAAATTCATTAAAAATGGGTAAAGGACATCTTTCTTAAAAGACATTTCTTAAAAGAAGACATTTCTTAAAAGAAGACATACGAATAGCCAACAAGTATGTGTTCAACATCACTAATCATCAGGGAAATATAGAGCAAAAACACAATAAGATATCATCTTACACCAGTTAGAATGGCTATTATAAAAAGACAAAAAATAACATATATTGACAAAGATGTGGAGAAAAGGGAACTCTTATATACTGTTGGTGGAAATGTAAATTAGTACAGCCATTATGGAAAACACTACAGAGATTTCTCAAAAAATTAAAAATATGAACCAGCAATTCAACTACTGGATATTTCTTCAAAGGATGTGGAGAATAGGAAATGCTATACACTATTGGTGGGGATGTTAATTAGTTCAGCCACTGTGGAAAGCAGTTTGGAGATTTCTCAAAGAACTTGAGACAGAACTACCATTTGACCCAGCAATCCCATTATTGGGTGTATTGTACTCAAAGGAATGTAAATCATTCTACCAAAAAGACACATGCATACGTTTGTTCATCACATCACTATTCACAATAACAAAGATATGGATCAACTTAGATGCCCATCAGTGGTGGACTGGATAAAGAAAATGTGGTATATATACACCATACAATACTACACAGCCATAAAAAAGAACAAAATCATGTCCTTTGCAGCAACATGGATGCAGCTGAAGGCCATTATCCTAAGTGAATTAACACAGGAACAGAAAACCAAATACTGCATATTTTCACTTATAAGTGGGAGCTAAACATTGTGTACACATAGATACAAAGAAGAGAGCAATAGACGGTGGGGCCTACTTGAAGGTGGAGGTTGGGAGGAGAGTGAGGGTTCAAGAACAACCTATCAGGTACTATGCTCACTACCTGAGCAATGAAATCATTTGTACACCAAACCCCAGTGATGTACAATTTACCTATGCAACAAATATATACATGTACATGTACCCCTAAACCTAAAATAAAAACGGAAAAAGAAAAAAATTAGTAGTATTTCTATATACTATCTAAAAAAGAAATTAAGAAGACAATTCTATTTATGACAGCTTAAAAAATAAGATAGCTAGGAATAAATTTAACCAAGGAAGTGGAAGATTTCTACACTGAAAATTATGGAGCATCGGTAAAAGAAATTGAAGAAGCAGCAAATAAATGGAAAGATATTCCATGTTCATGGATTGGAAGAATTAATATTGTTTAAATGATCATGCTACCCAAAGCATTACACAGATTTAATGCAATCCCTATTAAAATACCAAAAATGTTCTTCACAAAAATAGAACAAATAATCTTAAAATTCATATGGACCCACAAAGTCCCCAAATAGCCAAAATGATCCTGAGCAAAAATAACAAAGCTAAAGGCACGTGATTTTAAATGATACTACAAAGCTATAGTAACCCAAACAGCATGATACTGGCATAAAAAAACAGACACATAGACCAATGGAACAGAATAGAGGCCTATAAATAAATTTATACACCCATAGCCAACTGATTTTTGACAAAGGTGCCAAGAACACACACTGGGAAAAAAGATAGCCTTTTCAATAAATGGCTTTTAGTCAAATTAAAAGAAGTAGATAAAACAGAGATCTCAAAGAAGCTAATATTACACCTCACAAAACTAGGAAAGAAGAACGAAATAAGCCCAAAGTATGCTGAAGAAAGAAAATAATAAAGATCAAAGCAGAAATAAATGAAATAGAGTCTAGAAAAACAATATAAAAATCAATGAAGCTAAGAGTTGTTTTTTGAAAAGATAAAAGCAACAAACCTTTAGCTAAACTAAGAATAAAATAGAGAAGACTCAAATAAATAAGATCAGAAATGAAAGAGGAGACATTACAACTGATATGACAAATACAAAGGATCGTAAGAGACTACTGTGAACATTTATATGGCAATGAATTGGATAATCTAGAAGAAACTGATAAATTTCTAGACACATAAAACCTGCCAAGACTTAATCATAAAAACAATAGAAAATCTGAACAGACCAATAAAGATGATATTGAATAAGTAATAAAAAGCCTACCATCCAAAAAAAACCCAGACCTGGTGCCTTTACTGCTTAATTCTACCTGACATTTAAAATAAGAACTAACATCAATTCTTCTCAGATTCTTCTAAAAAAGTGAAGAGGTGGAAGGACTTTCACATGATTTTTTTTTTAGCTTTTTTTTTTTTTTTTAGGCAGAGTTTCACTCTTGTTGCCCAGGCTGGAGTGCAATGGTGCGATCTTGGCTCACCACAACCACCACCTCCTGAGTTCAAGCGATTCTCCTGCCTCAGCCTCCTGAGTAGCTGGGATTACAGGCATGCACCACCACGCCTGGCTAATTTTGTATTTTTAGTAGAGATGGGGTTTCTCCATGTTGCTCAGGCTGGTCTTGAGCTCCCAACCTCAAGTGATCTGCCTGCCTCGGCCTCCCAAAGTGCTGAGATTACAGGCATGAGCCAACGCACCCAGCCTGTTCACACTATTTTTATGAGGCCAGGATTACTCTGATACCAAGTCAGACAAGAACATTATAAGAAAATAAAATTACAGGCCAAAATCCTTAAATGAACTTAGATACAAAAATCCTTAATTAAATATTAGCAAACAGAATTCAGCAACATATTGAAAGGATCATCCACCATGATCCAGTGAGACTGATCCCCTGGGATGCAAGAACGGTTGGACACACACAAATCAATAAATGTGATACCTCACATTAATAGAATGAAGGACAAAACCGTATGAACAGACACTTCTCAAAAGAAGACATTTATGCAGCCAAAAGACCATGAAAAAATGCTCATCTTCACTGGCCATCAGAGAAATGCAAATCAAAACCACAATGAGATACCATCTCACACCAGTTAGAATGGCGATCATTAAAAAGTCAGGAAACAACAGGTGCTGGAGAGGCTGTGGAGAAATAGGAAGAGTTTTACACTGTTGGTAGGACTGTAAATTAGTTCAACCATTGTGGAAGTCAGTGAGTCAGTGTGGTGATTCCTCAGGGATCTAGAACTAGAAATACCATTTGATCCAGCCATCCCATTACTGGGTATATACCCAAAGGATTATAAATCATGCTGCTATAAAGACACATGCACACGTATGTTTATTGTGGCACTATTCACAATAGCAAAGACTTGGAACCAACCCAAATGTCCAACTATGATAGACTGGATTAAGAAAATGTGGCACATATACACCATGGAATACTATGCAGCCATAAAAAATGATGAGTTTGTGTCCTTTGTAGGGACATGGGTGAAGCTGGAAACCATCATTCTCAGCAAACTATCGCAAGGACAAAAAACCAAACACTGCATGTTCTCACTCATAGGTGGGAATTGAACAACGAGAACACATGGACACAGGAAGGGGAACATCACACTCTGGGGACTGTTATGGGGTGGGGGGAGGGGGGAGGTATAGCATTTGGAGATATACCTAATGCTAAATGACGAGTTACTGGGTGCAGCACACCAACATGGCACATGTATACATATGTAACTAACCTGCACATTATGTACATGTACCCTAAAAAAGTATAATAAAAAGTAAATAAATAAATAAATCCAATTAAAAAATGGGTAAGGGACCTGAATAGACATTTCTCAAAAGAAGACATACAAATGGCCAACAGACATATGAAAAAATGCTCAATATTGCTAATCATTAGGGAAATGCAAATTAAAACCATAGTGAGTTATTATCTCACATGGATCAGAATAGCTATTATCAAGAAGGCGAAAGATAACAAGTGTTGAAGATGTGGAGAAAAGGGAACACTTACAAAGTGTTAGTGGGATTGTAAATTAGTATGGCCATTATGGAAAACTGTATAGAGGTTGCTCAAAAAACTAAAAATAGTAATACCATATGATCCAGCAATCCCACTTCCGAGTGCTTACCCAAAATATTTGAAATCAGTTTGTTGAGATGTCTGTATTCCCATGTTCAATTCAGTACTATTAACAACATCCAAGTTATGGAATCAACTTAAGTGTCCATCAGTTGATCAATGGATAAAGAAAATGTGGTATATACATAAAATGGAATACTATTCAGCCTTTAAAAAGAAGGAAATTCTGGCATTTGTGACAACATGGATGGAACTGGAGAGCATTATGCTAAATAAAATAAACCGGGCACAGGAAGACAAATACCACATATTCTCACTTATATGTGGGATCTGAAACAATCAAACTCATAGAAACAGCGAGTAAAATGGTGGTTAAAGAGACTAGGGGGTGGGGGGAATAGGGAGATGATGGTCAAAGGGTACAAAATCTCAATTAGGCAGGAGAAATATGGGATTTTCTTAGATCTATTGCACAGAGTAGTAAATATAGTTAATAATAGAGTATTGGACATTTCAAAATTGCTAAGAATAAATTTCAAATGTTCTCACTGAAAAAACTTTTAGGCTGGGCGCAGTGGCTCACGCCTGTAATCTCAGCACTTTGGGAGGCTGAGGTGGGTGGATCACCTGAGGTCACGAGTTCAAGACCAGCCTGGCCAACATGGTGAAAACCCATCTCTGCAAAAATACAAAAATTGGTTGGACATAATGGCAGGTGCTTGTAATCCCAGCTACTCAGGAAGCTGAGGTGAGAGAATCGCTTGAGCCCAGGAGGCGAAGGTTGCAGTGAGCCGAGATTGCGCCATTGCACTCCAGCCTGGGGGACAGAGCCAGAGACTACGTCTGAAAAAAAAAAAGAAAAAACTTTAAAGTATTTCAGGTGATGACTATGTTAACTAGTTTGGTTTCATTATTCCACATTGTATTCATAAATCATAACATCACTTTTTACCCCATAAATATATATAATTATAAGTTATCAATTTATAATTAAAAAAAGAAATCCTGGTGGAGAGACAGCACTCTTAGCTGAGGCATAAACTTTTATGTACTTATTCATTTATTTATAAACTTTATTTTTTAGAGTAGTTTTAGAGTTTTAGGTTTACAGCAACATTGAGGGGAAAGTATAAAAGATTTCCCATATACTTACTGCCCCCTCACACACATAGCTTCCCCCATTATCAATATCCCCAAAAGTGGTAACATTTGTTATAATCAATGAACCTATATTGACACATCATTATCACCCAGAGTTCATAGTTGACATTAGAGTTCACTCTTGGTACTGTACATTCAATGAGTTTGGACAAATGTGTAATGACATGTATCCACTATTCTAGTGTCATAACAATAGTTTCACTGCCCTAAAAATCTGCTTCGCTCTGCCTATTCATCCTACCTCCCATCCCTAACCTTGGGCAAACACTGATCTCTTTACTGTCTCCATAGTTTGACCTTTTTCAGAATGTCATATAGTTGGAATCATACCCTATGTAGCCTTTTTAAATTGGCTTCCTTCACTTAGTAATATGCTTTAAAGGTTCCTCCATGTCTTTTCATGCTTGATAGCTCATATGGACTCATTTTAATACTCATCATAAACACTGCCAACATTGCTTCCTGGAATGGAGGCTGGAGAGAACTTGGGTTCTAAAATTATCCTGGGTGGCAATGCAGCCCATAGTTTCCCGAGCAAGCTATAGACAAGACTGTGCTGACTATTAGAGGGGAATCTGTGGTCATGCTGGCTCCATTCAAAACAATGATGGTAGAAAAGGGTCCCCTCACCCTTTCTGGATAGATGCCAGGATAATGCTTCAGGAAGTGAAGGCCCCAGGCTGAGTATGGTAGCTCACGCCTGTAATCCCAGCACTTCGGGAGGTCAACGCAGGAGGATTGCTTGAGTCCAGGAGTATTTTGAAACCAGCCTGGACACCATAGCAAGACCCCGTCTCTACAAAAAATTAAAAAATTAGATGAGCATGGTGGCACATGCCTGTGTTCCCAACTACTTGGGAGGTTAAGGTGGGAAGATCACTTGAGCCTGGGAGGTTGAGGCTGCAGTGAGCTGTGACCATGCCACCACACTCACTCTGGGCAACAGAGGGAGACTCTGACTCAAAAAAAAAAAAAAAAGATTTAAAAATTTTAAAAATAAAAAAGTGAGAACCTCACTTCCTGTGGGAGGGTGGAGGGTAGGATCAGATCAGGGTAACAGCTCAGCTCTGGACTTCTTTTTACTAATGATTGTGGCCTTCTCCTGGGGTCCCACAGGGAGCTCAAAGAGGCCCATGAAGCAGAACTCAGTGAGTTGGAGAACAACTACAAAGCAGCCTTGAAGGCAGAGAAGTTGGCTGCCCAAGAGAAGCTAGGTACTGCTGGGACCTGGGAGAATGACCCTGGATGAAGGTCCAGGCAATGGCATTTCTAATAAGCTTCTAGGGTGATTTCCAAGGCACACAAAGGTTTTACTACCTTGGTGATGAGTTTGGGGTGGGGAAGGTGTGCAGAAGAACTCACATTTGAATTTGAAAATGTGCATATCAGAAGACTAATGATGATCCTGTTGTTTTCCTTTTATCCAGAGGAGATGGGAAAAGAATACAAGTATTTGAAGAATATGTTTCGTACGTATCAGGTGAGATACACAGCTCCCTGTTGGATTACAAGAGAAGGAAGGCTCATTCCTGGCTAACATTGGGATAAATCTAGAGCTTTTGTCCAGAAAATAATGTCCTGAGATTCCCAGCATCCTTAGACCTAAGTGGCACTAGCTGCACCCAGGGGGAGGATGAACCCAATGGCTTCCATGCATGACAAGTCAGGCACCCAAATCCTGAAGAGCACTACTGAAAAATATGTTTGTGATTACAAAAGTAATAGCTTCTCATTTTTTGTAATGGAGCAAAAAGAAATATCACCACCCAAAGACAACCCCTGTTAATATTTGTACTTTGTTAGAACTGCAGTTGAGATCATACTGTATATTGTATAACATCTATATATTTTTTATATGTTCTTTATCAAGCATATAAGAAACTTTTCCCTCCTTTATAATGACTTGATATTATCCTAATGAAATTGCCATTGGGTTCTAAAATTTTACTGTTCCCCTATTATTGGGCATTTGAGTTGTTTCCAATTGCTTGCTGTAACAGATAATACCACTTTGAATATCTTTGATTCTAGAAGTAGAGTGCTTGGTCAAAAGGAATGAACTTTAAAAAAAGTCAACTTTCATTTTAGATTCAGGGGATACATGTACAAGTTATTGTGTGATGCTGAGGTTTGGGATATGAATGATCTCATTACCCAGCTGGTGAGCATAGTACCCAATAGTTATTCCACCCTTCCCCCTCTTCCTCTCTCCCAATAGCCCCCAGTGTCTACAAGAACACGTGGCACTTGGTTTTCTGTTCCTGTGTTAATTGGCTTTAGGATAATAGCCTCTAGAGCCATCCATGTTTCTATGAAGGACATGATTTTGTTCTTTTTTATGGCTGCATAGTATTCCATGGTATATGTACCACATTTTGTTTATCCAGTCCACTGTCAGTGGGTACTTAGGTTGATTCCATGTCTTTGCTATTGTGAATTGTCTGTGATTAACATACAAGAGAAGGTGTCTTTTTGGTAGAAAAATTTATTTTCTTTTGGATATATACCCAGTAATGGGATTGCTGAGTCAAATGGTAGTTCTGTTTTAAGTTCTTTGAGAATTTCCAAGCTGCTTTCCACCGGCAATGAACTAATTTACATTCCTACCAACGGTGTATAAGCATTCCCTTTTTCCTCCAACCTCACCAGCATCTGTTGTTTTTTGGCTTTTTAATAATAACCATTCTAATGTGTGTGGGCTGGTATCTCATTATGGTTTTTGATTTGCATTTCTCTGATGATTAGTGACATGAAGCATTTTTTATGTTTTCTGACCACTGTATGTCTTCTTGTTTTTTACACACTATTACATTCTATTTATGACAAGAAATATTTACATGATTGGAAAAAGTAAAAATTGGAGGACAAAAAGCAGATTAGTATTTACCATGGGCTGGACTGGGACTGGGGAAGGGGCTTACTACAAAGGGACAGGAGAGAATTACTGGAGATGTAGTGGTGGTTCCGTAACTATCCGTTTGTCAAACACATTAAAAGTATACTGAACAAGGGCACATTTTACTCAATTAAACTGACATTAAAAAAAGAAGTGAAAAAGAAGAAATTCCATTTAGAATGTTGAAAAACTGTAGATTTAGTTCTAGAATTCTGGGGCTCTATAACTTATTTCAAAATATAGGTTTTCAGCCCATTTTTAACTTATCAAATCTTTATTCAGAAATCCAAAGTTTATATTTAAAAATAGCTCATTTAAATTTGACCATAGGCCGGTGCTGTGGCTGATGCCTGTAATCCCAGCACTTTGGGAGGCCGAGGCAGGCAGATCACCTGAGGTCAGGATTTTGAGACCAGCCTGGCCAACATGGCAAAACCCTGTCTCTACTGAAAATACGAAAATTAGTCGGACATGGTGGCACACACCTGTAATCCCAGCTACTCAGGAAACTGAGGCGGGAGAATCGCTTGAACCTGGGAGGCAGAGGTTGCAGTGAGCCGAGATCGTGCCACTGCACTCTAGCCTGGGCAACAGAGCAAGACTCTGTCTCAAAAAATATATATAAATAAATAAAATAAAAAAGAAATAAATTTGACCCTAAAGCTAACACATGTAAAAATTATATAAAAGAAAAGAAAATTGTTCCAACTTTTTTACTTTGGGGTTTTTAAAAAAGTTTTATTTCAATAGCTTTGGGGATACAAATGGTTTTTTTGTTACCTGGATGAATTATATAGTGGTGAATTCTGAGACTTTAGTGCACCCATCATCTAAGTAGTGTATATTGTACCTAATGTGTAGTTTTGTTTTTTTTTTATCACAAGCCACTCTCCCACCTCCCCCTTCTGAGTCTCTAAAGTTCATTAATGAATATGCCTTTGCATATTCATGACTTAGCTCCCACTTTTAAGTGACATCATACAGTTTTTGGTTTTCCACTCCTGTGTTACTTTGTTTAGAATAATGGCCTCCAGCTCCATCCAAGTTGCTGCAAAAGACATTTCATTCCTTTTAATGACTGAGTAGCAGTCTATGGTGTATATATGCCACATTTTATTTATCCACTCATTAGTCAACGGGCACTTAGGTTGGTTCCACATCTTTGCAACTGTGAATTGTGCTGCTATAAACATACGTGTACAAGTGTCTTTTTCTGTAATGACTCATTTTCCTTTCGGTAGAGATCAAGTAGTGGGATTGCTAGATTGAATGGTAAATCTACTTTTAGCTCTTTAAGAAATCTCCATACTCTTTTCCAAAAGGTTGTACTAATTTACATTCCCACCAGCAGTATATAAGCACTCCCTTTTCCCCACATCCACACCAAAATATATTGTTTTTTTACTTTTTAATAATGACCATTCTTGCAGGAGTAAGGTGGTATCTCATTGTGGTTTTAATTTGCATTTCCCTGATGATTAGTGATATTGAGCACTTTTTCATGTTTGTTGGCCATTTGTATATCTTCTTTTGAGAAATATCTATTCATGTCATTTGCCCACTTTTTAATGGGATTATTTGTTTTTTTCTTGCTGATTTGTTTGAATTCCTTGTAGATTTTGATTACTAGTCCTTTGTCAGATGCATAGTTTGCAAATATTTTCTCCCATTCTGTGGGTTGTCTGTTTATTATTTCTTTTGCTGTACAGAAGCTTTTTAGTTTAATTAGGTTCTATTTATTTATTTTTGGTTTTGTTGCATTTGCTTTTGGGGTCTTAGTCATGAATTATTTGCCTAAGCCAATGACTGGAAGAGTTTTTCTAATGTCTTCTAGAATTTTTATAGTTTCGGGTCTCATATTTAAGTCTTTGATCCATCTTGAGTTGATTTTTGTATAAGGTGAGAAATATGGATCCAGTTTCATTTTTCTACATGTGGCTTGCCCATTCTCCCAGCACCACTTATTAAATAAAGTATCATTCCCCAATTTATGTTTTTGTTTGCTTTGTCAAAGATAAGTTGGCTATACATATTTGGCTTCATTTCTGGGTTTTCTGTTCTGTTTCCTTGGCCTATGTGCCTACTTTTATACCAGTACCATGCTGTTTTGGTAACTATAGCCTTGTAGTATAATCTGAAGTCTAGTAATGTGATACCTCCAGATTTGTTCTTTTTGCTTAGTATTGCTTTGGCTATTCTGGCTCTTTTTTGGTTCCATATGAATTTTAGAACTTTTTTTCTAATTCTGTGAAAAATAATGTTGATATTTTGATGGGAATTGCACTGGATCTGTAATGCAAGATTACTTTGGGCAGTATGGTCATTTTCACAACGTTGATTCTTCCAATCCATGAGCATAGAATGCATTTCCATTTGTTTGTATAACCTATTACTTCTTTCAGCTGTGTTTTATAGTTCTCCTTGTAGAGATCTTTCACCTCCTTGGTTAAGTACATTCCTAAGTATTTTATTTTTTTGTAGCTGTTGTAAAAGGGTATCAGTTCTTTTTTTGATTCTCAGCTTGGTCGTTGTTAGCGTATAGCAGTGCTACTGATATGTGTACACTGATTTTGTAAACTGAGACTTCACTGAATTCGTTTATCAAATCTTAGAGTCTTTGGAGGAGTCTTTAGGATTTTCTAGGTATACAATTATATAATCTTCAAACAGCAATAGTTTGACTTCTTCTTTTCCAATTTGGACGCCCTTTATTTCTTTCTCCTGTCTAATTGCTCTAGCTAGGACTTCCAGAACTATGTTGAATGAGAGTGGTGAAAGTGAAGGTGGCCATCTTGTCTTGTTCCGGTTCTCAAGGGGAATGCTTTCAACTTTTTTCCATTCAGTATGATGTTGGCTGTGGGTTTGTCACATATGGCTTTTATTATTGAGGTAGGTCCCTTCTATGCCTAGTTTGTTAGGAGTTTTAATTATGAAGGATGCTGGATTTTATTAAATGCTTTTTCTGAATCTATTGAGATGATCATGTGTTTTTTGTTTTCAATTCTGTTTATGTGATGTATCACATTTATTGACTTGTGTGTGTTAAACCATCCCTGCCTCCCTGGGACAAAATCCACTTGAATTATCTTTTTGATGTGCTATTGGGGTCGGTTAGCTAGTATTTTGTTGAGGATTTTTGCATCTATGTTCAACATCAGTGAAATTGGTCTGTAGTTTTTTTTATTTGTTGTGTTCTTTCCTGATTTGGATATCAGGGCGATACTGGCTGCATAGAATGATTTAGAGAGGATTCCCTCTTTCTCAATCTTTCGGAATTGTTTCAGTAGGATTGTACCAATTCTTCATTGAACATCTGGTGGAATTCAGCTGTGAATCCATCTAGTCCTGGGCTTTTTTTGTTGTTCTTGGCAATTTTGAAATTACTGATTCAATCTTGCTGCTTGTTATTCACCTGTTCAGGGTTTCTGTTTCTTCCTGATTTAATACAGGAGAGTTGTACGTTTCCAGGAATTTGTCTATTTCCTCTAGGTTTTCCAGTTTGTATGCAAAAAGGCGTTCATAGTAGCCTCAAGTGATCTTTTGTATCTCTGTGGTTCTGTGGGTTGTAATGTCTCCAATTTCATTTCTAATTGAGCTTATTTAGATCTTCTCTTCTTTACTTGTTTAATCTTTTCTTCTTTTCTTGGCTAATCTAGTCTATTTTATTTTTTCAAAGAACCAGCTTTTTGTTTCATTGATCTTTTTATATTTTTTGTTTGAATTTCAGTTAGTTCTGCTCTGATGTTCATTATTTCTTTTCTTCTATCTTTGGACTTCGTTTTTTTTGTTTCTCCAGTTCCTTGCAGTGTGACATTGTCAATTTGTGCTCTTTCAGACTTTTTGATGCAGGCGTTTAGCACTATAAACTTTCCTAGCACTGCTTTTGCTGTATCCCAGAGGTTTTTTTAGTTTTTAGTTTTTTGAGACAGTCTCACTCTGTCAACCAGGCTGGAGTGCGGTGGCACTATCTTGGCTCACTGCAAGCTCTGCCTCCCAAGTTCAAGCAATTCTCGCACCTCAGCCTCCCAAGTAGCTGAGACTGAGACTACAGGCGCCTGTTACCACACCCAGCTAATTTTTGTATTTTTAGTAAAGATGGGGTTTCACCATGTTGGCCAGCCTGGTCTCAAACTCCTGGCCTCAAGTGATCCACCTGTTTGGCCTCCCAAAGTGCTAGAATTACAGGCATGAGCCACCGAACCCCACCTATCCCAGAGGTTTTGATAACTTGTGTCATTATGATTCAATTCAAAAATTTTTTAAATTTCCATCTTGATTTCACTGTTTACCCCAGATATCATTCAGGAATGGATTATTTTATTTCCATGTATCTGTATAGTTTTGAGGATTCCCTTTGAAATTGATTTTTAGTTTTATTCTGCTATGGCCTGAGAAGATACTTCATAGGATTTCAATTTTTAAAAATTAATTGAGACTTGTTTTGTGACCTATCATATGGCCTATCTTAGAGACTGTTCTATGTACCAATGAGAAGAACATACATTCTACAGTTCTTGGGTAGAATGTTCTGTAAATAGCTGTTATGTTCATTTGTTTTAGCATGTCATTTAAGTCCATTTTTTCTCTGTTGGCCTTCTGTCTCAAAGACTTGTCTAGTGCTGTCAGTGGTATATTAAAGTATCCCACCATTACTGTGTTGCTGTCTATCTCATTTCTTAGGTCTAGTAGTAATTGTTTTATGAATCTGCAAGCTCCAGTGTTAGATGCATGTAAATTTAGGATTGTAATATCTTCTTGTTGGATTGATCCTTTTATCATTATATTGACCATCTTTGTCTTGTCTTACTGTTGTTGCTTTGAAGTTTGTTTCGTCTGATATAAGAATAGCTACTCCTGCTTGCTTTTGGTGTCCATTTGCATGGAATATCTTTTTCCACCCTTTTCCCTTGAGTTTATTTGAATCCTTTCATGTTAGGTGAGTCTCTTGAAGACAGCAGATATTTGGATTGTGATTTTTGTTATCCATTCTGTCATTCTGTATTTTTTAAGTGGAGCGTTTAGGCCATTTACATTCAACATTAATATTGAGATGTGAAGTACTCTTCTCTTCATCATGTTAATTGTTATGTATATAGCTTTTCTTTTTTCATTCTGTTATTGCTTTATAGACTTCATGAGTTTTAAGCTTTCAAGAGATTCTATTTTGGTGCGTATTTGGCTTTTGTTTCAATGTTTAAAACTCCTTTTAGCCCACCTTTCTTTCTTTTCTTTCCTTCCTTCCTTCCTTACTTTTTTTTTTTTTTTTTTTGATAGAGTCTGGCTCTGTTGCCCAGGCTGGAGTGCAATGTTGCAATCTTGGCTCACTGCAAACTCTGTCTCCTGGGTTCAAGAGATTCTCATGCCTCAGCCTCCCAAGTAGCTGAGATTACAAGCATGCACAATCACACCTGGCTAATTTTTGTATTTTTTAGTAAAGACAGGGTTTTGCCATGTGGCCAGGCTGGTAGCATTTCTTGTAGTTTGGTTTGCTAGTGACAAATTCCCTCAGCATTTGTTTATCTGAAAATGACTTTTATTTCTCCTTCAATTACAAAACCTAGCTTTACAGGATACAGAATTCTTGGCTGACAGTTTTTTTCTGTTTAAGGAGATTGAAGATAAGACCCCAATACCTTCTGGCTTGTAAGGTTTCTGCTGAGAAGTCTGCTGTTATTCAGATAGGTTTTCCTTTATAGCTTACCTGATGCTTTTGTCTTACTGCTCTTAGAATTATTTCCTTCATGTTGAGTTTAGATAGCCTGATGACTATATGCCTTGGTGAAGATCTTTTTGCAATTAATTTCCCAGGAGTTCTTTGAGCTTCTTGGATTTGGATATCTAGATCTCTAGCCACGCCAGAAAGGTTTTCCTCAATTATTCCCTGAAATAAGTTTTCCAGACTTGTTATTTTCTCTTCTTCCTCTGGAACACCAGTTATTCTTAGGTTTGGCTGTTTAACATAATCCCATATTTCTTGAAGACTTTGTTCATTTCTTTTTATTCTTTTTTCTTTATTTTTGTCTGATTGGGTTAGTTTAAAAACCTTGTCTTCAAGCTCTGAAATTCTTTCTTCTACTTGTTCTAGTCTATTGTTAAAGCTTTCTGCTGCATTTTGTATTCCCTAAGTGTGTCTTTCATTTCTAGAAATTCTTATTGTTTTTTCTTGATAATATCTATATCTCTAGAAAATTTTTCATTCATATCCTGAAATGCTTTTTAAATTTATAATAGTTTTCATCTTTCTCTGAAATCTCCTTGAGTAGCTTAATAATTGACCTTCTGAATTCCTTATCTGGTATTTTAAAGAGTTCGTCCTACTTTGGATCCATTGCTGGAGAGCTAGTGTTATCTTTTGAGGGTGTTATAGAACCCTGTTTTTTCATATTACCAGAGTTCCTTTTCTGGTTCCTCCTCATTTGGGTAGATTATTTCTTCTAATTATCCTTGAATTGATGTTTGATTTGACTGTGTTTCTTTTTGTGTTTGTTTTTTAATTTCTTTTTTCCACTTAAGGATGTGACTTTAATGCTTATCATATTATGGCCTAATTTGGTTTTTGGTGCTTTCAGGGGTGAAGACTCTGTAATAGTTCCTTGGTTATAGAGAGTTTTTTTATGTGGCTTTCTTAGATGCTGGTTGTAGTAGCAATGTGCTTGGTATATTAGCAAGATCACTGTCTCCTATGGGGCTGTAATGATAAGAGGTCTCTTAAAGCTTATCTCATTCCCCTGTGGCATGCCCTTTTTTATTTACGCATTTTCGTCCAGTTTTTTTTTTCTTTTTTTTTTTTGAGGCTGAATCTCACTCTGTTGCCCAGGCTGGAGTGCAGTGTCATGATCTCACTGCAATCTCCGCCTCCTGGGTTCAAGTGATTCTTGTGCCTCAGCCTCCCAAGTAGCTGGGATTACAGGTGCCTGCCACCACACCCAACTAATTTTTGTATTTTTAGTAGAGACAGGGTTTCACCATATTGGCCGGGCTGGTCTCGAACCCCTGACCTCAAGTGATCCACCCGCCTCAGCCTCCCAAAGTTTTGGGATTACAGGCATGAGCCACTGCACCCGGCCTTTTCTCCAGTGTTTTATTTACTAGTTTGATGGTTCCAGCTTCAGGCCAGTAGGGGAGGTGTCCCTGGGTAGGAATCAGCTGTGGCTAAAGCAGGTGGGTAAATGCAATACCCAGTGATGGGCAGAGGTCTCAGCCTTGACAGAGGTGGCTGGAGGAGTGAGTTGCAATGAGGTCTTACCTGGGGTAAGGGTTGGAGCCACCTCAGCTCCCCTGCCAGGTTAGCAGGAAAGTTATCCCTCTCAAACACACTCCTGTTTCAGTGCTCCAGCTTTTCATCTCCAGACAGCCACCTCTTTTCATCTGCAGGAATTTTGATGTTCCAAATAGAGAAAAATTGTGAACGTCTCTCATACAAGCTTGAACCTAGAGGGTGCCCCTCCTATGGGGATGCAGTCACCCTGATGTCTTCCAGAAAGACTGTCTATAGTTGCACTCACACCAAGCTCCAATGGGAGAAGCTCCAACTGTGCCTGCAGTGGTAGACAATGGGTGGGGGGGTTGTCTGTCTGTTGGGTTAGAGCTGAAGACTTTTCCTGCTGAGCCCAGCACTGCAACTGTGCCTCTGCTGAAAGAAACTTCCCACTAGCAGAAAGATCTGGTTCTTAAGTCCTGCTGTCTGGATTATTTTCTCCCACAGGGTGTTCTCTTGATGTGGTGCACTCCCTGTTCCCCTAGGATCAGGGGGATCCCACTCCTAAGGGAACAGGGTCTCTGGGTCTAGCTGTCCAGTGAAGGTACCACACCCCAGGCTGGTGCTAGGGAATATCTGCAAGGGATCCAGTGATGTGACCTCTCTTCAAGTCTCCCAACAGTGGGTAGCAGCACCAGTTCTAATGGGCGTGGCAGGGTAATAGACTCTGTGAGAGTCCTTGGTTATTGATAGCCTTAGTGTGTTGGCTTTCTCGAACACTGGTTTTAGTAGTAATGAACTGGTCATGTGGACAAACTCAGGACCTCCTGGTTAGCCAGAATGGTGCAGGCAGTGGTGATAGCTGAGATTACACAGCCATCTTCTTCCTAGGTGCGTTGTTATTCTACCAGGAGATGCTGTAATGGACTGTGTTGGTTGGCCTCCAGCCAAGAGGTGATGCTTACAAAAGGGAACCAGCTGCAATAGTAGCAATAGGACTTTTGCTTGCTTTATGTTGTCCAGAGGGGTTACTCTGGTTTCTCAGGCAATGAGTGGGGCTATATAGCCCCCAAGAGTTTCTGTCCTTTGTGTTAAACTACCAGGGCAGGTGACGGGGCAAAGCAGGGTGAGGGTTGGTTCAGGTGGGCTTGCGCTCTGAGTCTCCCTGTGCAGGGCAAGCAGCAGCCCCTGTGGAAGCCAGGGGATGGGAGTGGTTCTCAGGCCACTGGGTTGATGTTCCAAAAGGCAGTGTTGCTGGCTTTGCCACACAGAAGGGTTTGTGCAGAGTGAGGAGAAGCAGGTGGCTGTGAGCCCCACACAGATCCCATGCACTTGGCAAGACAGATGCACTCCCACAGTGTTCCACTGGCAGCAGCAAGCTAAGTTCCAGTTAGCCTGCACTCAGAACTTGCAACTGTCCCGAGTCATATACGTTCCCTGCAGAGATAGCAATCACGGCTTTCAGGCCAAGCCCCTCCCTGTCCACTGCAAAGCCAGGCACCCAGTTCCTGCACTGGCAGCTCCTGCACTCATGGCTGCAGCCCACTTTTCACTCTCCTCCACCCTGGCCCTGGCCAAGGGAGTTCATCCGCACCTAAGGTTATATCATGAAACCCAGTTGGAGGCTTCTTTCAACCTGCGACCACTGCCTGAACTTTTTGGCTGTCCTCCACAGGGTTCCCCGTGAGGAACAGTAAGAAATGGCTTCCCTCTCTCCATGCTGAAATCTGGGAGTGTGTGCAAGAATCTTCCTGCCACTGCTCCCACTTTTATATTCCACATCCCTCCCCAAGTCAGTTCCTGTGCTGCATAGGGTTAGGGCTTTCTCCCATGGTCTGGACTTTCAGGGTCCACAGTGGGGGTGTGTATTCCAGGAGTAATGTAGGGTGAGTCCCCCTTCTCACACTCTGGGAACTCACAGCCCTTTGCCTGATTCACAGTGTAACCTGCAGCCTCCTGCTTCCTTCAAAGGGTCTGTAGATTCCTTTGGTTTTCCTGTTCAGTTTCTGCATTGCTCCTTGAAAAAAGTTCAGTGTGAATCTCTACAACTATTTTGTTTTTCCAAGTGGGAGAAGTATGCTAGCAATGCCTCTAATCTGCCATTTTGGAAAAACACAAACAAACTTCTGTCTTCTTTTGAGAAGTGTCTGTTCATGTCTTTTGCCCACTTTTTAATGGGGTTGTTTTTTGCTTGTTCAATTGTTTAAGTTACTTATAGATTCTGGATATTAGATATTTGTCAGATGCGTAGTTTGTGAATATTTTCTCTTTTTTTGTAGGTTGCCTGTTTACTTTGTTGACGGGTTTTTTTGCTGTGCAGAAGCTCTTTAGTTTAATTAGGTCCCACTTGTCAATTTTTGTTTTTGTTGCAGTTGCTTTTGAGGACTTAGTCATAAATTCTTTCCCAAGGCCAGTGTTCAGAATGGTGTTTCCTAGGTTTTCTTCTAGGATTCTTAGAGTTTGAGTTCTTATGTTTAAATCTTTAAGGCATCTTGGGTTGATTTTTGTATATGGTGAAAGGTAGGGGCCCAGTTTTATTTTTCTGCATATGGCTAGCCAGCTATCCCAGCATCATTTATTGAATAGGGAACTCC
Source organism: Homo sapiens (assembly GCF_000001405.40). Classification (NCBI taxonomy): domain Eukaryota; kingdom Metazoa; phylum Chordata; class Mammalia; order Primates; family Hominidae; genus Homo; species Homo sapiens. Next base: position 201,319,261 of record NC_000002.12, on the reverse strand, counting down.
TTCCCCACCACTTGTTTTTGTCTACTTTGTTGAAGATCAGATGGATGTAGGTGTGCAGCTTTATTTCTGAGTTTGCTATTCTGTTCCATTGATCTATGTGTCTGTTTTTGTATCAGTACCAAGCTGTTTTGGTTACTGTAGCCTTATATTTTTTTAAATTTTTTTATTTCTATGGGTTATTAGGAAACAGGAGGTGTTTGGTTACATGAGTAAGTACTTTAGTGGTGATTTGTGAGATTTTGGTGTGCCCATCACCCGAGCAGTATACACTGCACTCAATTTGTAGTCTTTTATCCCTCACCCCCTTCCCACTCTTTCCCCCTGAGTCCCCAAAATCCATTGTGTTATTCTTATGCCTTTGCATCCTCATAGCTTAGCTTCCACTTATGAGTGAGAACATACGATGTTTGGTTTTCCATTCCTGAGTTACTTCACTTAGAATAAGTCTCCAATCTCATCCAAGTTGTGTTGATGCCATTAATTCATTACTTTTTATGACTGAGTAGTATTCTATCATATATATATGGAATTTCTGAATCAAATGGTAGTTCTACTTTTAGTTCTTTAAAGAATCTCTATGCTGTTTTCCATAGCAGTTGTACTAGTTTACATTCCCACCAGCAGTGTAGAAGTGTTCTCTGTTCACCACATCCATGCCAACATGTATTTTTTTTTTATTTTTTGATTATGGCCATTCTTGTAGGAGTAAGGTGGTATCTCATTGTGGTTTTGATTTGCATTTCCCTGATCATTAGTGATGTTGAGCACTTTTTCATATGTTTGTTGGCCATTTGTATATCTTCTTTTGAGAATTGTCTATTCATGTCCTTAGCCCACTTTTTGATGGGTTATTTGTTTTTTCTTGCTAATTTGTTTTAGTTTGTTGTAGATTCTGGATATTAGTCCTTTGTCAGATGTATAGATTGTGAAGATTTTCTCCCACTCTGTGGGTTGTCTGTTTGCTCTGATGACTGTTCTTTTTGCCATGCAAAAGCTCTTTAGTTTAATTAAGTCCCAGCCATTTATCTTTGTTTTTATTACATTTGCTTTTGTGTTCTTGGTAATGAAATCCTTGCCTAAGCCAATGTCTAGAAGGGTTTTTCTGATGTTATCTTCTAGAATTTTTATATTTTCAGGTCTTAGATTTAAGTCCTTGATCCATCTTGAGTTTATTTTTGTGTAAGATGAGAGATGAGGATCCAGTTTCATTCTCCTACATGTGGCTAGCCAATTATCCCAGCACCATTTGTTGAATAAGATGTGCTTTCCCCACTTTATATTTGTGTTTGCTTAGTCAAAGATCAGTTGGCTGTAAGTATTTGGGTTTATTTCTGAGTTCACTGTTCTGTTCCATTGGTCTATGTGCCTATATTTATACCAGTACCATGGTGTTTTGGTGACTATGGCCATATAATATAGTTTGAAATCAGGTAATGTGATGCCTCCAGATTTGTTAGGTTTTTTGCTTTTTGATTTTTTGTTTGCTTGTTTTGCTTTGTTTTGTTTTGCTTAGTCTTGCTTTGGCTATGTGGGTTCTTTTTTGGTTCCATATGGATTTAAGGAGTTTTTTTTCTAGTTCTGTGAAAAACGATGGTGGTATTTTGATGGGAATTGCATTAAATTTGTAGATTGCTTTTGGCAGTATGATCTTTTTCACAATATTGATTCTACCCATCAGTGAGCATGGGATGTGTTTCCATTTGTTTGTGTCATCTATGATTTCTTTAGCAGTGTTTTATAGTTTTCCTTGTACAGGTCTTACAACTCCTTGGTTAGGTATAGTCCAAACATTTTATTTTTCTTTTGCAGCTATTGTAAAAGGGGTTGAGTTCTTGATTTGATTTTCACCTTAGTCGCTGTCAGTGTATAGCAGAGCTACTGATTTGTGCACATTAATTTTGTATCTGGAAACTTTACTGAATTCTTTTATCAGTTCTAGGAGCTTTTTGGAGGAATCTTTAGGGTTTTGTAGGTATACAATTATATCATCAGCAAACAGCAATAGTTTGACTTCCTCTTTACTGATTTGGGTGCCCTTTATTTCTCTCTCTTGTCTGATTGCTCTGGCTAGGACTTCCAGTACTATGTTGAAGAGGAGTGGTGAGAGTGGGCATCCTTGTCATGTTCCAGTCCTCAGTGGGAATGCTTCCAACTTTTCCCCATTCAGTATGATTTTGGCTGTGGGTTTGTCATAGATGGCTTTTATTACATTGAGGTATGGCCCTTGTATGCTAGTTTTGCTGAGAGTTTTAATCATAAAGCATGCTGGATTTTGTCAAATGCTTTTTCCGCATCTATTGAAATGATCATGTGATTTTTATTTTTAATTCTTTTTATGTTGTGTATCACATTTATTGACTTGAGTATGTTAAGCCTATATCCCTGGTATGAAACCCACTTGATTATGGTGGATTATCTTTTTGATATGTTGTTGGATTCAGTTAGCCAGTATTTTGTTAAGGATTTTTGCATCTATGTTCATCAAGGATATTGGTCTGTAGTTTTCTTTTTTGGTTATGTCTTTTCCTGTTTTTAGTATTAGGGTGATACTGGCTTCATACAATGATTTAGGGAGGATTCCCTCTTTATCTTGTGGAATAGTGTTAATAGGATTGGTACCAATCCTTCTTTGAATGTCTGGTAGAGTTCTGCTGTGAATCCATCTAGTCCTGGACTTTTTTGTGTAGGTAATTTTTTAATTATCATTCCAATCTCACTGCTTGTTATTGGTCTGTTCGGGGTATCTAATTCTTCCTGATTTAAGCTAGGAGGGTTGTATCTTTCCAGGAATTTATCTGTCTCCTCTAGGTTTTCTAGTTTATGCACGTAAAGGTGTTCACAGTAGCCTTGAATGATCTCTTGTATTTCTGTGGTGTCAGTTGTAATATCTCCCTTTTCATTTCTAATTAAGCTTATTTGGATTTTCTCTCTTCTTGGTTAATCTTGCTAATGATCTATCAATTTTATTTATCTTTTCAAAGAACCAGCTTTTTGTTTCATTTATCTTTTGTATTTTTTGTTTGTTTGTTTGTTTGATTTCATTCAGTTCTGCTCTGATCTTGGTTATTTCCTTTCTTCTGCTGGGTTTGTGTTTGGTTTGTTCTTGTTTCTCTAGTTCCTTGAGGTGTGACCTTATATTGTCTGTTTTTGCTCTTTCAGACTTTTTTATATAAGTGTTTAGGGCTTTTAGCTTTCCTCTTTGCACTGCCTTTGCTGTATCCCAGAGGTTTTGATAGGTTTTATGTCACTGTTGTCATTCAGTTTGAAGAATTTTTTTAAATTTCCATCTTGATTTCATTGTTGACTCAATAATCATTCAGGAACAGGTTATTTAATTTCCATGTATTTGCATGGTTTTGAACATTCCTTTTGGAGTTGATTTCCAGTTTTATTCCACTGTGGTCTGAGAGAATGCTTGATATAATTTCAATTTTAAATTTATTGAGGCTTGTTTTGTGGCCTATCATATGGTCTATCTGGGAGAAAGTTCCATATGCTGTTGAATAAATGTATATTCTGGGGTTGTTGGATAGAATGTTCTGTAAATATCTCTTAAGTCCATTTGTTCCAGGGTATATTTTAAATCTATTGTTTCTTTGTTAACTTTCTGTCTTCTTGACCTGTCTAGTGCTGTCAGTGGAGTAATGAAGTCCGCCACTATCATTGTGTTGCTGTCTATCTCATTTTTTAGGTCTAGGAGTAATTGTTTTATAAATTTGGGAGCTCCAGTGTTAGGTGCATATATATTTAGGATTGTGATATTTTCCTGTTGGAGAAGGCCTTTTACCATTATATAATGTCCCTCTTTGTCTTTTTTAACTGCTGTTGCTTTAAAGTTTGTCTTGTCTGATGTAAGAATAGCTACTCCTGCTAGCTTTTGGTGTCCATTTGCATGGAATGTCTTTTTCCACCCCTTTCCTTAAGTTTATGAGTTCTTATGTGTTAGGTGAGTCAACTGAAGGCAGCAGATAGTTGATTGGTGAATTCTTACCCATTCAGCAATTCTGTATCTTTTAAGTAGAGCATTTAGGCCATTTATATTCAATGTTAGTATTGAGATGTGAGGTACCATTCCATTCATTGTGCTATTTGTTTCCTGTATGCCTTGGGTTTTTTTGTTTTTGTTTTTGTTTTTGCTTTTTTTTGTATTATAGGTCCTGTGAGATTTATGCTTTAAAGAGGTTCTGTTTTGATGTGTTTCCAGGATTTGTTTCAAGATTTAGAGCTCCTTTTAGCAGTTTTTGTAGTGCTGCCTTGGTAGTGGCAAGTTCTTTTAGCATTTGTTTGCCTGAAAAAGACTGTATCTTTCCTTCATTTATGAAGCTTGGTTTTGCTTGGTACAAAATTCTTGGCTGATAATTGTTTTGTTTAAGGAGGCTGAAGATAGGGCCCTAATCCTTTCTTGCTTGTAAGGTTTCTGCTGAGAAATCTGCTGTTAGTCTGATAGGTTTTCCTTTACAGGTTACCTGGTGCTTTTGCCTCACAGCTCTTAAGATTCTTTCCTTCATCTTAACTTTAGATAACCTGATGACAATGTGCCTAGGCTATGATCTTTTTGTGATAAATTTCTCAAGTGTTCTTTGAGCTTCTTGTATTTGGATATCTAGGTCTCTAGCAAGGGTGGGGAAGTTTCCCTCAATTATTGCACAAATGTGTTTCCAAACTTTTAGATTTCTCTTCTTCCTCAGGAACACCAATTATTTTTACATTTGGTTGTTTAACATCCCAGACTCCTTGGAGGCTTTGTTCATATTTTCTTATTCTTTTTTCTTTGTCTTTGTTGGATTGGGTTAATTCAAAAACCTTGTCTTCAGGCTCTGAGTTCTTTCTTGTGCTTGCTCAATTCTATTGCTGAGACGTACCAGAGCATTTTGCATTTCTATAAGTGTGTCCATTGTTTCCTGAAGTTTTGTTTTTTATTTATGTTATTTCATTGAAGATTTCTCCCCTCATTTCTTGTATCATTTTTTTTTAAATTTCCTTAAATTGGGCTTTGCCTTTCTCTGTTGCTTCCTTGATGAGTTCTTTGTCAGGTAGATCAGGGGTTTCTTCTTGGTTTAGATCCACATCTGGTAAGCTAGTGTGATTTTGTGGGGGATGTTAAAGAACCTTGTTTTTTCATATTACCAGAGTTGGTTTTCTTGTTCCTTCTCATTTGGGTAGGTTCTGTCAGAGGGAAGATCTAGGGCTCAAGGCTGTTGTTCAGATTCTTTTGTCCTATGGCGTGTTCTCTTGATGTAGTACTCTCCCCCTTTTCCTAGGGATGTGCCTTCCTGAGAGCCCAAGCTGTAGTGATTGTTATCTCTTTTTAGGATCTAGACATCCAGCAGTCCTACCAGGTTCCAGGCTGGTATTGGGGGTTGTCTGCACAGAGTCCTGTGATGTGAACCATCTGTGGGTCTCTCAGCTGTGGATACCAGTACCTGCTCTGGTAGAGGTAGCAGGGGAGTGAGATGGACTCTGTGAGGGTCCTTAGTTTTGGTCATTTAATGCACTATTTTTGTGCTGGTTGGCCTCCTGCCAGGAGATGATGCTTTCAAGACAGCATCAGCTGTGGTAGTATGGGGAGGATCAGGCGGTGGGTGGGGCCCTAGAACTCCCAAGAGTATATGCCCTTTGTCTTCAGCTACCAGGGTGAGTAGGAAAGGACCATCAGGTTGGGGCAGGGCTAGGCGTGTCTGAGCTCAGACTCTTCTTGGGCGAGTCTTGCTGCAGCTGCTGTGGGGATGGAGGTGTGGTTCCCAGGTAAATGGAATTATGTTCCCAGGAGGATTATGGCTACTTCTGCTGTGTCGTGCAGGTTGTCAGGGAAGTAGGGGTAAACTGGCAGTCACAGACCTCACCCAGCTCCCACGAAACCCAGAAGATCAATCTCACTCCCACCATGCCCCCAACCCAGTAGTACCAAGTCTGTTTCCAGGCAGTGGGCAAACAGGACTGAGAACTTGCCCCAGGCTACCAGCCTCCCAGCTGCAAAAGCAAGTAGTGCTTTTGTGCTTCCCTGCCTGTGGAGTCTGCACACCAGATTCATGCCTTCCCCCAAGTTCTGGCCAGGAGATTTCCTATTCAGTTGGAATTGTTAGAAAATTCAGCTGGAGTTTTCCTTCTCCCTGTGATGTTTTCTGAGTTCCTCTGGCAGTCCTCCCCAGGTAGCCCTGTGAGACAAGTCAGAAATGGCATCCCTGGGAACCCAGAGAGCCCACAGGGCTTTTCCTGCTACTTCCTTTACCCCTATATTTCACTTGGTTCTCTAAATTGACTCAGCTCCAGGTAAGGTCAGAATCTTCTCCCATGATCTAGACCTTCAGGTTCCCCAGTGAGGTTGTGTGTTTGAAGGTGGACAATCCCCCTTTCCTACTTCCACAGTTTGGGCACTCACAGTATTTGGGGCATCTCCCGGGTCCTACGGGAGCAATCCACTTCCTTCAGAGGGTCTGTGGATTCTCTTGGCTTTCCTGAATTATTCCTGCAGTAGTTCTGGAGCAAAAGTTCACGATGCAAGACTCCACATGCTGCTCTGTCCATCCGAGTGGGAGCTGCAGTCTAGTCCTGCTTCCCGTCCACCATCTCTGTAGCCTTATATTAGTAGTATATTTTGAAGTCAGGTAATGAGATGCCTCCAGCTTTGTTCTTTTTGCTTAGGATTGCTTTGGCTATTTAGACTCTTTTTTGGTTCCATATGAATTTTACAATAATTTTTTTCTAATTCTGTGAAAAATGATGTTGGTAGTTTGACAGGAATAGCATTTAATCTCTTAATTGCTTTAAGTAGTGTGGCCATCTTAATGATATTGACTCTTCTAATCCATGAGCATGGAATGTTTTTCCATTTGTTTGTGTTGTCTCTGATTTCTTTCAGCAGCAATTTATAGTTCTCCTTTTACCTCCTTGGTTAGCTATATTTTTAGGGATTTTATTCTTTTTGTGTCTATAGTGAATGGGATTACGTTATTGATTTGGCTCTCACCTTGGACATTATTGGTGTATAGAAATGCTACTTATTTTTTGTACATTGATTTTGTATCCTGAAACTTTACTGAACTTGTTTATCAGTTCCAGGAGCCTTTTGGCAGATTCTTTAAAGTTTTCTAGGTATGCAATTATGTTATCAGTGAACAGAAAAATTTGACTTCTTCTTTTCCTATTTGGATGCCTTTTATTTCTTTCTCTTGCCTAATGGCTCTGGCTAGTACTTCCAGTGCTATGTTGAATAAGAGAGGTGAGAGTGGGCATCCTTGTCTTGTGCTAGTTCTCAAGGGTAATGCTTCCAGCTTTTGCCCATTCAGTAGGATTTTGGCTGTGGGTTTGTCATAGATGGCTCTTATTATTTTGAAGTAAGTTCCTTTGATAACCTAATTTGCTGAGAGTTTTTATCATGAAGGGATGTTGGATTTTATCAAAGGCTTTTTCCATGTCTATTGAGATGATCATATGGGTTTTCTTTCTAATTCTGTTTATGTGGTGAATCACATTTATGGATTCACGTATGTTGAACCAACCTTGCATTGTGAGAATGAAGCCTACTTGATCATGGTGAATTAACTTTTTTTTTTTTTTTTTTGAGTCAGTGTCTCATTCTGTCACCTGGGCTGGAGTGCAGCAGCACAATCACAGCTCATTGAAGCCTCAACCTCCTGGGCTGGAGTGATCCTCACACCTCAGCCTCCTAAATAGCTGGGACCACTACACCTAGCTAATTTTTTATTTTTTCTGTAGATGTGGGGTCTCATATCATGTTGCTTAAACTCCTGGGCTCAAGCAATTCTCCTGACTCAACCTCCCATAGTGCTGGGATAACAGGTATGAGCCACCGTGCCTGGCCATGAATTAACTTTTTCATGTGTAGCTGGATTCAATTTGCAAGTATTTTGTTGAGCATTTTTTTCAGTCTATGTTCATAGGGATATTGGCCTGTAGTTTCTTTTTTGTCTTTGCCAGGTTTTGGTATAAGGATAATGCCAGCTTCATAGAATAAGTTAGGGAGGAGTCCCTCCTCCTCATTTTTTTGGAATAGTTTCAGTAGAATTGGTACCAGTTCTTCTCTGTACTTTTGGTAGAATTTGGCTGTGAATCTTTCTGGTCCCAGGATTTTTTTTTTTTTTTAGTGTTAGATTATTTTATTACTGAATCAATTTCAAAACTCAATATTGTCTATTTGGGGTTTCAATTGCTTCTTGATTCAATCTTTGGAGGTTGTGTTTCCAGGAATTTATCCATTTCCTCTAGATTTTCTTGTTTGTATGCATACAGATGTTCATAATGATCTCTGAGGTTCTTTTATATTTCTGTGGGATTAGTTGTAATGTCACCTTTGTCCTTTCTAAATGTGCTTATTTGGATCGTCGTTTTTTTCTTTGCTAATGTAGCTAGCACTCTATCGGTCTTGCATTTCCTTTCAAAGATCCAACTTTTTGTTTCATTGATTCTTTGTATGGGTTTTTGAATTTTGATTCCATTCAGTTCTGTTCTGATTTTAGTTATTTCTTTTCTTCTCCTAGCTTTGGGGTTAGTTCTTGTTTTGGAATGAACATTTTTAAGGCCTTTAATATATATGGCCAAATTGCCATCCAAAAAGAATGTATCACTCTGCACTGCCACAAGCAAAGCATGGAGTGCTCCCGTCATCTCAGAATAAAACCCATCCATTTAATCAGCTCATTTGATGAAGGCCCAGGAAAACAAAGTTAGGGCATGATTCTTACTAGGTAGATGAAGAGAGTTAAGAGATGGCTAGTGGGGCGGGAAAGGACTGAAGCCTCAAGCCTTCATCCTGTTTAATTGTGAAGTATAGTGACCAACTAGTTCTAGTTGGCCTGAGACTTTCCAGGTTTTAGCACTGAGAGTCCAGAGTCCCAGGAAACCCCTAAGTGTCAGGCAGACAAGGACACTTGGTCGCTCTATCAAAAGTTAAACACCAGTACCACCTCTAAAGTTCTATTTACCACTTACAATTTCAGTTTTGAGCCTGTGTCTAAAACTCATTTTTTTAAGATACTCCTTGGTATATTCAGGGAAAACATCATAGAACAGAGCCTAAGACGTGTGAGTGGTAAATAGAATAGGTCGGGTGTGAATCCTTCTGCTAACCTGAAAAATAAGGCAGTCAGCGTCCTTGGACCCTACTAGTGTCATCCAGGTCCAGGGCCTTCCCCCTCCTAGGATTCCATGTTCATGAAATCTGAGCCAAGCAACAGTATTGGTATTAGATTAGGCTTATTTAACCTCAACCACAAAAGAAAGTTAGATTTGCTGAGAAAAAGTGGACATTCTCTGAAAAACATCCCCTTATTTTCTAAGTGTTCAAATTAACTACTAGGTATTTCCTTTCTTCTTCTTTTTTTTTTTTTTTTTTTTTTGAGACAGAGTCTCACTCTGTCACCAGGCTGGAGTGCAGTGGCGTGATCTCGGCTCACTGCAACCTCTGCCTTCTAGGTTCAAGCGAGTCTCCTGCCTCAGCCTCCCAAGTAGCTGGGACTACAGGTGTGTGCCACCACGCCCAGCTAATTTTTGTATTTTTAGTAGAGATGGGGTTTCACCATGTTGGCCAGGATGGTCTTGACCTCTTGACCTTGTGATCTGCCTGCCTCCACCTCCCAAAGTGCTGGGATTACAGGTGTGAGCCACTGCGCCCGGCCTCCTTTCTTCTTGTGCTATTGAAGAGGGATTTGTGATTTAGGGGGAGCTAACATATGATCCTTCAACATGGAGAACTCTACCTTTCTTCAAAGGAAGCTCAGTTCTAGTGGGGCAAACACTGTGCATAGTTTGCCCTTGACCTTTGGGTTCCATAAGCTCTCTGTTGGGCTGGGCTGGAATTTACTTCTCACCAGTCACCCATGGAGGACCCACTCAGTGAGGGCCCCAGGTAAGGGAAGATGCACAGAACATGGTGATGGGCCCTGGCCACTGTGCAATGCCAAGAGGAGTCCTCCCTGAGTTGAGTTTTACAGCCTCTCCAGGTCACCTTCATTTTAGGACTCTTTTCTTCATGGTGCCTTTGTACCTCCCCAGGACAGTATTTATGATGAAATGGAAGAGAAGTGGTCAAAACAGAAGGCGAAATGGAAGAAGGATGAGAAGTTCGAGCGAGAAAATATCCTGCTACAGCAAAGTGAGTACAGAAACTCTAGCTTTTTTGATGACAAGTGCATTAAAAAACTGCCATGAAGTTTGGTCTTGACTTGAGGAAGGTGGCCTTGGGCTTACCAAGGGTGATGGGCCACATGCTAGATACCTGAATGGAAGGTGCCCAGAGTTTTCATGAAAGCAAAATGACAACAAGGGTAGGGTCTTTTTTGAAGTTCAGGCATCTGATCTAAGAGAGTCTAAGCCTGTACCTTCTGAAACTCATTTGGTCCAAGTTTGCCCATGATGGCTGGAACAAATGTTAGAATCCCTGTAGGGAGTGCAGACTTATTATCTAGAAACAGATGAACCCAAAGTTCCAAGAGTTCTTTAGTTAGAATGTGAAATGTTCACTTGCATGTGGGCAGGGGGCAGATAGGAACAACACAATCCATTATACTGAGAGCTTCTATATTCCCACGTCTTCCAGAAGGAAGTCACACTTGGTAAATATTTTTAATATTTCCAACAATTAACACAGAGCTTGCACCATACAAAGTATTCTATAGGTGCACCTCCCACCCCCATTGGACTTGTTCATAAAAGGAAAAAAGAAGAGAATTTGTAGAGACTACTCCAGGCCTAGAAGACTAGTTGAGGTAGGAGTGGGACCTCTACAGACCTATTCCGCATTCCACGCCAACCACATTTATTTCAGATTTAGTTGATTTTAACAAATTACTCATTTAAATGCAGATACTCCATGGGAAAATTAATTCACATTCTGGTGGGCACTCTGGACTGCCAGAAGGTAATATGAAGACCCCGGAGTTAAGGCTGGGGAACGGGAGGGGGAGCTGCTCCTGTCTGGGGCTTTACCTAGAATTCTAGTGCAATAGAACCCAAGTCATATCCCAGATTCTAGCTACTCATACGACTCTCATCCCATGTTGCTAAAGTCTAAGTAAAGATGTAACCGCCAGTTTTGGAAGACCAGAATTCAGCTGCTCACCATCCAGCTCAGTCAGAGGCTTACGCTGTCAGACCAGAGACTCCCTGTCCATCCCCAGAATTGCAACACTGAAATCTGTGTTTCCCTCCACCCCTCCTTCCTCTTGTTTGATAATGGGGCTCTACTGGCAGGTTTCCTGCCCAGGAAAAGAGCTGAAGCCTACCTCTACCCCAGCACTAAGTACAGGATGAATTTTATTGCTGGCAAAGTAATGTTAGCCAAGAGCTTTATTTTAAGATAAGGATATCCATGATAGCATAGTGGTTACATCAGCAGAGGGAATGGACAAAATAAAAAGCAACAGATTCAAAATAAACTACACACAAAAGAACCAGAGATGTTGGTGGTAAATCCCATATGACTAATGTGATTGAGGACAACCACCGTGCTCACCTCACCCTCAAGCACCTTCAGGTGAGTGTCAGAGGCCAAACACCAGGCTGCAATGACCTTGAGTCTGACACAGTCTGGAATTGCTTTTATCTTTAGATATTCTGGGTTTCTCATTGCACCTGCTTTTCCCATCTTTACACATATATGTGCTTTCCTGTCACTTCCACAGAAAAAAAGATGACCAAAAAATTCGAAATGGAGTCAGGAGAAGAAGATAAGAAAATAAATGAATCCTGCAGTGCTGTCTTTGAGAACTTCATTCAAGAGAAGGAGGTAACTCAGCCCAAAGCACCTTGGTGATTGAATGGGTAGTCCAGGTGGTACACCCAAGTCCCCAGGTGTGCCTCCATAATTAGGTGATCTTTTTGTCTTTCTGGGCATAATCCTCCTCTCCCAGCTTTCTGGAAATGTATGCAAATAGACTGACAGTCTTGCTGTCCTTTAGCTGGGCAATCTTCCCACAGGCTAGACAGTCTTATCAAAGGGTTCTTAGAACAAAAATTTTAATTAACTGGAAATAACAGAATGCTAAACATGCAGAAACTGAAATTCCTTATTTTGCCAAAATCCCATCTCTGAATATCCTTTTCATTCCTCACTGTAGCTGTTATAGCTGTAGTGCTATTACTGGGCGCTAGGGCAGGTACAGGTTTAACTTTATGGGAACTTGCCAAAACTTATTTTCCAAAGTAGTTGTACCATTTTTTTCTTGCATCTTAGATATATTGGAATTCTAGTTGCTGTATATCCTCCACAACAATTAGTTTTGCTAGTCCTTTAATTTTGGCCATTCCAGTGGGCATGAAGTGGTACTTCATTATGGTTTTAGTTTCCCTGATGACTAATTATGTTGGGCATTTTCTCATATGCTTATTGGTCCATTCATATATGTTCTTCCATAAAGTGCCTGTTCAAGTCTTTTCCCATTTGAAAAAGTAGGAGGTGCTTACATTTTTATTTTTGATATGTAGGAGTACTTTTATATTGTGGATACAAGTTTTTTTTGCCAGATATACATGTTGTAAATATTGTCTGTCAGCCTGTGGTTTGCCTCTTCATTTTATTAATGATATATTTCGATATACAGAAGCTTTAAATTTTGATGAAAGGCAATGATCATTTTTTTACTTTTATGGTTACAGATTTTTGTGTCCTCTCTATAAAATCATTGCCTATTCCAAGGTCATGAAGATATTCTATTTTTTAGAAGCTTTAAAATTTTAGCTTCTATGATTCTCTGATCTATTTTGAATAATTTTTGTGTATGAAGTGAAGTGTAAGAGTCATGGGTCATTTTTGTCTTATGGATATTCAGTTGTCCCAGCATCATTCTTTAAAAATACTTTCCTTTCCCCATTGAGTTGCCTTAGTGTTTGATACAGTTTAGATTTGTGTCCCTGCCCAAATCTCATGTCAAATTGTAATCTCCAATGTTGGAGAAGGGGGTCTGGTGGGAGGTGATTGGATGATGGGGACAGATTCTCCCCCTTTCTGTTCTCGTGATAGTGAGTGAGCTCTCAAAAGATCAGGTTGTAGCACCTCCCCCTTCTCTCTCTTTCTTTTGTTCCAGCTATGTAAGACAGGCCTCCTTCCTCTTTACCTTCTGCCATGATTGTAAGTTTCCTGAGGCCTCCCCAGCCATGCTTGCAGAAATGTGAGCCAATTAAACCTCTTTTCTTTCTTTTTTTTTTTATTCTTTTTTTAATTTATTATACTTTAAGTTCCAGGGTACATGTGCACAACGTGCCAGTGTGTTAAATATGTATACATGTGCCATGTTGGTGTGCTGCACCCATTAACTCATCATTTACATTAAGTATATCTCCTAATGCTATCCTTCCCCCCTCCCCCCACCCCACAACTGGCCCTGGTGTGTGGTGTTCCCCAACCTGTGTCCAAGTGTTCTCATTGTTCATTTCCTACCTACGAATGAGAACACACGGTGTTTGGTTTTCTGTCCTTGCAATAGTTTGCTCAGAATGTTGGTTTCCAACTTCATCCATGTCCCTACAAAGGACATGAGCTCATCCATTATTATGGCTGCATAGTATTCCATGGTGTATATGTGCCACATTTTCTTAATCCAGTCTATCATTGATGGACATTTTGGTTGGTTCCAAGTCTTTGCTATTGTGAATAGTGCCACAATAAACATACGTGTGCATGTGTCTTTATAGCAGCATGATTTATAATCCTTTGGGTATATACCCAGTAATGGGATGGCTGTGTCAAATGGGATTTCTAGTTCTAGACCCTTGAGGAATCGCCACACTGTCTTCCACAATGGTTGAACTAGTTTACAGTCCCACCAACAGTGTAAAAGTGTTCCTATTTCTCCACATCCTCTCCAGCACCTGTTGTTTCCTGACTTTTTAATGATCGCCATTCTAACTGGTGTGAGATGGCATCTCATTGTCGTTTTGATTTGCATTTCTCTGATGGCCAGTGATGATGAACATTTTTTCGTGTGTCTGTTGGCTGCATAAATGTCTTCTTTTGAGAAGTGTCTGTTCATATCCTTCGCCCACTTGTTGATGGGGTTGTTTGATTTTTTCTTGTAAATTTGTTTAAGTTCTTAGTAGATTGTGGATATTAGCCCTTTGTCAGATGGGTAGATTGCAAAAATTTTCTCCCATTCTGTAGGTTGCATGTTCACTCTGATGGTAGTTTCTTTCGCTGTGCAGAAGCTCTTTAGATTATTTAGATCCCATTTGTCAATTTTGGCTTTTGTTGCCATTGCTTTTGGTGTTTTAGACATGAAGTCCTTGCCCATGCCTATGTCCTGAATGGTATTGCCTAGGTTTCCCTCTAGGGTTTTTATGGTTTTAGGTCTGACATTTAAGTCTTTAATCCATCTTGAATTAATTTTTGTATAAGATGTAAGGAAGGGATCCAGTTTCAGCTTTCTACATATGGCTAGCCAGTTTTCCAAGCACCATTTATTAAATAGGGAGTACTTTCCCCATTTCTTGTTTTTGTCAGGTTTGTCAAAGATCAGATTGTTGTAGATGCGTGGTATTATTTTTGAGGGCTCTGTTCTGTTCCATTGGTCTATATCTATGTTTTGGTACCAGTACCATGCTGTTTTGGTTACTGTAGCCTTGTAGTATAGTTTGAAGTCAGGTAGTGTGATGCCTCCAGCTTTGTTCTTTTGGCTTAGGATTGTCTTGGCAATACAGGCTCTTTTATGGTTCCAAATGAACCATAAAAGTAGTTTTTTCCAATTCTATGAAGAAAGTCATTGGTAGCTTAATGGGGATGGCATTGAATCTGTAAATTACCTTGGGCAGTATGGCCATTTTCACGATATTGATTCTTCCTATCCATGAGCATGGAATGTTCTTCCATTTGTTTGCATCCTCTTTTATTTCGTTGAGCAGTGATTTGTAGTTCTCCTTGAAGAGGTCCTTCACATCCCTTGTAAGTTGGATTCCTAGGTATTTTATTCTCTTTGAAGCAATTGTGAATGGGAGTTCACTCATGATTTGGCTCTCTGTTTGTCTGTTATTGGTGTATAGGAATGCTTGTGATTTTTGCACATTGATTTTGTATCCTGAGACTTTGCTGAAGTTGCTTATCAGCTTAAGGAGATTTTGGGCAGAGATGATGGGGTTTTCTAGATATACAATTCATGTCATCTGCAAACAGGGACAATTTGACTTCCTCTTTTCCTAATTGAATACCCTTTATTTCCTTCTCCTGCCTCATTGCCCTGGCCAGAACTTCCAACACTATGTTGAATAGGAGTGGTGAGAGAAGGCATCCATGTCTTTTGCCAGTTTTCAAAGGGAATGCTTCCAGTTTTTGCCCATTCAGTATGATATTGGCTGTGGGTTTGTCATAGGTAGCTCTTATTATTTTGAGATACGTCCCATCAATACCTAATTTATTGAGAGTTTTTAGCATGAATGGTTTTCGAATTTTGTTGAAGGCCTTTTCTGCATCTATTGAGATAATCATGTGGTTTTTGTCTTTGGTACTGTTGATATGATGGATTACGTTTATTGATTTGCGTATGTTGAACCAGCCTTGCATCCCAGGGATGAAGCCCACTTGATCATGGTGGATAAGCTCTTTGATGTGATCCTGGATTCAGTTTGCCAGTATTTTATTGAGGATTTTTGCATCGATGTTCATCAGGGATATTGGTCTAAAATTCTCTTTTTTTGTTGTGTCTCTGCCAGGCTTTGGTATCAGGATGATGCTGGCCTCATAAAATGAGTTAGGGAAGATTCCCTCTTTTTCTATTGATTGCAATAGTTTCAAAGGAATGGTACCAGCTCCTCCTTGTACCTCTGGTAGAATTCGGCTGTGAATCCGTCTGGTGCTGGACTTTTTTTGGTTGGTAGGCTTTTAATTATTGCCTCAATTTCAGAGCCTGTTATTGGTCTATTCACGGATTCAACTTCTTCCTGGTTAAGTCTTGGGAGGGTGTATGTGTCCAGGAATTTATCCATTTCTTCTAGATTTTCTAGTTTATTTGCATAGAGTTGTTTATAGTATTCTCTGATGGTAGTTTGTATCTCTGTGGGATCGGTGGTGATATCCCCTTTATCATTTTTTATTGCGTCTATTTGATTCTTCTCTCTTTTCTTCTTTATTAGTCTTGCTAGCGGTCTATCAATTTTGTTGATCTTTTCAAAAAACCAGCTCCTGGATTCATTGATTTTTTGAAGGGTTTTTGTGTCTCTATCTCCTTCAGTTCTGCTCTGATCTTAGTTATTTCTTGCCTTCTGCTAGCTTTTGAATGTGTTTGCCCTTGCTTGTCTAGTTCTTTTAATTGTGATGTTAGGGTGTCAATTTTAGATCTTTCCTGCTTTCCCTTGTGGGCATTTAGTGCTATAAATTTCCCTCTACACACTGCTTTAAATGTGTCCCAGAGAGTCTGGTATGTTGTGTCTTTGTTCTCATTGGTTTCGAAGAACATCTTTATTTCTGCCTTCATTTTGTTATGTACCCAGTAGTCATTCAGGAGCAGGTTTTTCAGTTTCCATGTAGTTGTGCTGTTTTGAGTGAGTTCTTAATCCTGAGTTCTAGTTTGATTGCACTGTGGTCTGAGAGACGGTTTGTTGTGATTTCTGTTCTTTTACATTTGCTGAGGAGTGCTTTACTTCCAACTATGTGGTCAATTTTGGAATACGTGTGATGTGGTGCTGAGAAGAATGTATATTCTGTTGATTTGGGGTGGAGAGTTCTGTAGATGTCTATTAGGTCCACTTGGTGCAGAGCTGAGTTCAATTCCTGGATATCCTTGTTAACTTTCTGTCTCGTGGAACTGTCTAATGTTGACAGTGGGGTATTAAAGTCTCCCATTATTATTGTGTGGGAATCTAAGTTTCTTTGTAGGTCTCTAAGGACTTACTTTATGAATCTGGCTGCTCCTGTATTGGGTGCATATGTATTTAGGATAGTTAGCTCTTCTTGTTGAATTGATCCCTTTACCATTATATAATGGCCTTCTTTGTCTCTTTTGATCTTTGCTGGTTTAAAGTCTGTTTTATCAGAGACTAGGATTGCAACCCCTGCCTTTTTTTGTTTTCCATTTTTTTGTTAGATCTTACTCCATCCTTTTATTTTGAGCCTCTGTGTGTCTCTGCACGTGAGATGGGTCTCCTGCATACAGCACACTGGTGGGTCTTGACTATCCAATTTGCCAGTCTGTGTCTTTTAATTGGAGCATTTAGCCCATTTACATTTAAGGTTAATATTGTTATGTGTGAATTTGATCCTCTCGATATGATGTTACCTGGTTATCTGTTCATTAGTTGATGCAGTTTCTTCCTGGCATTGATGGACTTTACAATTTGGCATGTTTTTGCAGTGGCTGGTACCGGTTGTTCCTTTCCATGTTTAGTGCTTCCTTCAGGAGCTCTTGAAAGACAGGCCTGGTGGTGACAAAATCTCTCAGAATTTGCTTCTCTGTAAAGGATTTTATGTCTCCTTCACTTATGAAGCTTAGTTTAGCTGGATATGAAATCCTGGGTTGAAAATTCTTTTCTTTAAGAATGTTGAATATTGGCCCCCACTCTCTTCTGGCTTGTAGATAGAGTTTCTGCCGAGAGATCCACTGTTAGTCTGATGGGCTTCCCTTTGTGGGTAACCCAACCTTTCTCTCTGGCTGCCCTTAACATTTTTTCCTTCATTTCAACTTTGGTGAATCTGACAATTATGTGTCTTGGAGTTGCTCTTCTCGAGGAGTATCTTTGTGGCATTCTCTGTATTTCCTGAATTTGAATGTTGGCCTGCCTTGCTAGGTTGGGGAAGTTCTCCTGGATAATATCCTGCAGAGTGTTTTCCAACTTGGTTCCATTCTCCCTGTCACTTTCAGGTACACCAATCAGACGTAGATTTGGTCTTTTCACATAGTCCCATATTTCTTGGAGGCTTTGTTCATTTCTTTTTACTCTTTTTTCTCTAAACTTCTCTTCTTGCTTCATTTCATTCATTTGATCTTCAATCACTGATACCCTTTCTTCCACTTGATCGAATCAGCTACTGAAGCTTGTGCGTGCATCACATAGTTCTTGTGCCATGATTTTCAGCTCCATCAGGTCATTTAAGGACTTCTCTACACTGTTTTTTCTAGTTAGTCATTCATCCAATCTTTTTTCAAGGTTTTTAGCTTGTTTGTGATGGGTTCGAACATCCTCCTTTAACTTGGAGAAGCTTGTTATTACTGATCATCTGAAGCCTTCTTCTCTCAACTCGTCAATTCATTCTCTGTCCAGCTTTGTTCCATTGCTGGTGAGGAGCTGCATTCCTTTGGAGGAGAAGAGTCGCTCTGATTTTTAAAATTTTCAGCTATTCTGCTCTGGTTTCCCCCCATCTTTGTGGTTTTATCTACCTTTGGTGTTTGATGATGGTGATGTACAGATGAGGTTTTGGTGTGGATGTCCTTTCTGTTTGTTAGTTTTCCTTCTAACAGTCAGGACCCTCAGCTGCAGGTCTGTTGGAGTTTGCTGGAGGTCCACTCCAGACCCTGTTTGCCTGGGTATCACCAGGAGAGGCTGTAGAACTGCAGATACTGCAGAACAGCAAATGTTGCTGCCTGATCGTTTCTCTGAAAGCTTCATCTCAGAGGGGCACCCAGCTGTATGAGTTGTCAGTTGGCCCCTACTGGGCGGTGCCTCCCAGTTAGGCTTCTCGGGGGTCAGGGACCCACTTGAGGAGGCAGTCTGTCCATTCTCAGATCTCAGACTCCATGCTGGCAGAACCACTACTCTCTTCAAAGCTGTCAGACAGGGATGTTTAAGTCTGCAGAAGTTTCTGCTGCCTTTTGTTGAGCTATGCCCTGCCCCCAGAAGTGGAATCTACAGAGGCAGGCAGGCCTCCTTGAGCTGTGGTGGGCTCCACCCAATTCGAGCTTTCCAGCCGCTTTGTTTACCTACTCAAGCTTCAGCAATAGCAGGCGCCCATCCCCCAGCCTCACTGCTGCCTTGCCATTCAATCTCAGACTGCTGTGCTAGCAGTGAGCAAAGCTCCGTGGGCGTGGGACCCTCCCAGCCATGCATGGGATATAATCTCCTGGTGTGCCATTTGCTAAGACTGTTGGAAAAGCACAGTATTAGGGTGGGAGTGACCCGATTTTCCAGGTGCCGTCTGTCACGGCTTCCCTTGGCTAGGAAAGGGAATTATCTGACCCCTCGCGCTTCCCAGGTGAGGCGGTGCCCCACCCTGTTTCGGCTCCCGGTCCGTGGCCTGCACCCACTGTCCTGCACCCACTGTCTGACAAGCCCCAGTGAGATGAACCTGGTACCTCAGTTGGAAATGCAGAAATCACCTGTCTTCTGCATCACTCATGCTGGGAGCTATAGACTGGAGGTGTTCCTATTTGGCCATCTTGGAAACTCCCCCTAAACCTCTTTTCTTTATAAATTACCCAGTCTCTCAGGTAGTTCTTCATAGAAATGTGAGATCAGACTAATATAGTGTCTTTGCTGTATTTGGGGTGTTAGGACTCTCCGTTCTGTTTGACTATTTTTCCATACTTAGGTCAACAACACATTGTCTTGACTACTGAAGTTTGAAATCGGGTAGCAAAGGTTATCTAGCTTTGCTATTGTTTTTCAAGATTATTTTGCCTTTCCACATGCTTTGTATTTTTACATAAATGTTAGAACTAGCTTGTCAATTTAGAATTAGCTTATCAAGGAAGTTTGCTGATATTTTGACTGGGATTTCATTGAATATAAAGATCAATCTGTGGCGAGATTAATTCTTAAGAGTATTGAATCTATCCACTGACTTAAGAAAAGCTTTTGATGAAAATATAATTTCTTTTAATATTTGTCAGTGAGATAAGGTTGAACATAATTAAGATTTTCATTAACTTCAACAAGTCATGTCACTAGTTTATAATGTGTGCTTCATTATAGCAGTGTCTAAGCTTTGGTGAATATTATATTCCTGAATCCTAGTCTGGCTTTCTTAACTCCCTAGAAGATGTGCCAGAACCACAGTGCTAACCTTTTCCCAATAAAATTGTTTTTAGGAGCTCTTGAAACAACATCAAAGTGACACCTTGCAATTAGAAGAGCTGAGAAAAACCAAAGAGGTAAGCTTTTTCATCCTTTCCTGTGGACTTGGTATATTACAAATACACCAATAAAATAACAAGCTGTCAGTATAATGGAATCAATGATAATTTCCCCAAAGCCAATAAGAAATGGAAGACCTAAAGCTGAGTTTACTGGATTCAATAAGTTAAAAAGAATTTTTGAAATTATCTGTAAAATAAAGCCAGTGGGTCTTTTTAAAGTCTGATTTGAACAAATAGATCAGCAATATACTATGTGATCTTCAATGTTGAATGACTTTCATTTCTAGCAAGGTTCAAACCACAAATGATCTTTCAGTTATAAAACACCAAGTTCTTCCCTTTGAGCTCTGAAAAGTATAAAACTGTCTCCTTTGAAACTCTGTCACCAAGCCCCTCCTTAAGCTCTGAATGTACCTCACACATGATAACTTCCTCAGGGACTCTATTCTGGGGCAAATTATGGCAGTCTGTGGGAGACAACTGAAGAGGAGCCGTTCAAATCCACAAGGTGATGTGTGATTCTTCCATCACTGAAAATTTGACTTGGATCCAGAATGGACACGTTTGAGAAAACATTAGTCATTATAAAGGCATTGTAAATGAATTCTATCTTAGAGCCCAGGCAGGGCTTCAGCATTATGGAAAGGCAAACAGACTGTGGTGTCCTACAAGTTCAAGAAATGGGCTTTGGAGGAAGATATACCCAGTGTATTATAATAACTATTTTCATGAGCTTGTCTACGAATTCTGTCATTTGTGTCATGTCTGGGCCTGTTTCTCTTCATTGATTTTTCTCCTCATTTATGGTCATATTTCCTTGTTTGCATGCCTGGTAAGTTTGGCTTGGATGTCAGTCATTTTGGTGTTTACCTTGTTGGGTGCTGAATATTTTTATATTCCTTTAGATATTCTTAAGCTTTGCCCTGGGATGCAGTTAAGTTGCCTGGAAACAGTTTGATCCTTTCAAGCCTTGCTTTTTAAGCTTCGTTGGGCAGAACTAAAGCAGTCTTTAGTGTGGAACTAATTTTCCCCACTATTGAGGTAATACCCTCTGAGTACTTGACACCACACCCTCTGTATGAGAAGGATTTTCTACTCTGCCTGGTGGGACCATGAACTATTCCCAGCCTTGTGTTGGCCCTGGGGATTGTTCCACCTGCTCCTTGCTGATGTTTCCTTCCTCTAACCTTGTCTCTTTCTATTTCTTCCCTACATCACTCCACCCCAGAGGCACTTGCCTCCTTGCTGTTCCCTTAACAGGCCAGGATGTTCCTACCTGGGGGTCTTTGATGTTCTCTCTTCCTGAAAAGCTCTTTCCCGGATATCCACATGACTAACTTCCTTTCCTCCTCCTGTTCTTTATTCAAATGCCACCTTCTCAGAAGGTGCCCGATTTAAGGGCTCCGCTCCCTGCCCAACACTTGCTTTTCTCCAAATGGGATGCCACTGGAGGTTTTTGAGGAGAGAGTATCATTTGGGAAAATAACTGTGGCAGCAATGTGAAGGAGAATCTGAAGAGGCAAAATGATGGGAGGCAGAACCTATTAGAAGGGTCACCTCCCCTTTACACCTCAACCTGACTTCTGCTCCAATCCCAGCCATGGAAACTGTTCTTGTTAAAATCACAAGTAAATTCCGAGTTGCCAAATCCAAGGAATGCTTCACCTCACTGGACATGAGCAGTATCAGGTGCGATTGATCATTCTCTCCTTGCAACATTCACCTGTCTTAGCTTTCATGGGCTTCTGGTGTTTCCTTCACCTCATTGGTCACACCTTCTCAATCTCCTTTACTAGAACTAGAACTCTGCTTAAAACCCTTCAATGGCACCCCACTGTTCTCCCACCTACTTTCTAAGTCCTGGAGTATTTTGAGGCTTGTTCCCAGGCCCCACTTATCTTCTTTATCTCCCGTTTCTCCTTTGGTGAGCTCATCTGTTCACACAGATGTAAAAGCCATCTCTGTACTGATAACTTGGTTTGATACCTCCAGCCTTGCCTCTCTCCTGAGCTCCAGGCTTGTACATCCAACTGCCCATTTGACATTTCAACATAGGTGACATACAGACACCTCAAAATTAACATGCCCAGTTCCACACTCTCAATTTTCCACCAGAGATTTAGCCCCCAAATTGTCAACTCCCTCAGCTGTTCTAAGCCTAGACCTGAAGTCATCCTTGATTTCTTCTTTCCTTTCACTCTCCCAAATTCAACCCAGCAGCCTCAGCCAATCCTCTATAACATAATCCAAATTCATCCACGTCCCTCCAACTCTGTTGTCACCTTACCCTAGTCCATTATTTCTCACCTACACGACTGTAGTATTCTCCTCCTTAGTTCCGTTGCTTTCCCTCTTGCCCTTCCAATCCATCCCCATGGAGCATAATGTAAACAGTAAGATACGTGCATTCACTTCTCTGCTTAAAACCCTTCAGTAGGTCCCCATTGTTCTTAGGTTACCTTGTCCTCTCAGGTGCCACCAGACTTCCCTGTATTTCCTCACCATGGCCCTCTATCCTTACTATCTCTATTCCAGCCATATTGGTGTTCCTTTGGGTCCTCAAACAGAATGAGAATTTTGCATTTTTTTTATTATACTGTAAGTTTTAGGGTACATGTGCATAATGTACAGGTTTGTTACATATGTATACATGTGCCATGTTGGTGTGCTGCACCCAGTAACTCGTCATTTAACATTAGGTATATCTCCTAATGCTATCCCTCCCCCCTCCCCCCACCCCACAACAGGCCCCGGTGTGTGATGTTCCCCTTCCTGTGTCCATGTGTTCTCATTGTTCAATTCCCACCTCTGAGCAAGAACATGTGGTGTTTGGTTTTTTGTCCTTGCCATAGTTTGCTCAGAATGATGGTTTCCAGCTTCATCCATGTCCCTACCAAGGACATGAGCTCATCATTTTTTATGGCTGCATAGTATTCCATGGTATATATGTGCCACATTTTCTTAATCCAGTCTATCATTGTTCGACATTTGGGTTGGTTCCAAGTCTTTGCTATTGTGAGTAGTGCCGCAATAAACATACGTGTGCATGTGTCTTTATAGCAGCATGATTTATAATCCTTTGGGTATATACCCAGTAATGGGATGGCTGGGCCAAATGGGATTTCTAGTTCTAGATCCCTGAGGAATCGCCACACTGACTTCCACAATGGTTGAACTAGTTTACAGTCCCACCAACAGTGTAAAAGTGTTCCTGTTTCTCCACATCCTCTCCAGCACCTGTTGTTTCCTGACTTTTTAATGATCGCCATTCTAACTGGTGTGAGATGGTATCTCATTGTGGTTTGATTTGCATTTCTCTGATGGCCAGTGATGATGAACATTTTTTCATGTGTCTTTTGGCTGCATAAATGTCTTCTTTTGAGAAGTGTCTGTTCATATCCTTTGCCCACTTGTTCATGGGGTTGTTTGTTTTTTTCTTGTAAATTTGTTTGAGTTCATTGTAGATTCTGGAATATTAACCCTTTGTCAGATGAGTAGGTTGCAAAAATTTTCTCTCATTCTGTAGGTTGCTTGTTCACTCTGATGGTAGTTTCTTTTGCTGTGCAAAAGCTCTTTAGTTTAATTAGATCCCATTTGCCAATTTAGGCTTTTGTTGCCATTGCTTTTGGTGTTTTAGACATGAAGTCCTTGCCCATGCCTATGTCCTGAATGGTATTGCCTAGATTTTCTTCTAGGGTTTTTATGGTTTTAGGTCTAACATTTAAGTCTTTAATCCATCTTGAATTAATTTTTGTATAAGGTGTAAGGAAGGGATCCAGTTTCAGCTTTCTACATATGACTAGCCAGTTTTCCAAGCACCATTTATTAAATAAGGAATCCTTTCCCCATTTCTTGTTTTTGTCAGATTTGTCAAAGATCAGATAGTGTAGATATATGGCATTATTTCTGAGGGCTCTGTTCTGTTCCATTGGTCTATATCTCTGTTTTGGTACCAGTACCATGCTGTTTTGGTTACTGTAGACTTGTAGTATAGTTTGAAGTCAGGTAGCGAGATGCCTCCAGCTTTGTTCTTTGGCTTAGGATTGACTTGGCAATGCGGGCTCTTTTTTGGTTCCAGATGAACTTTAAAGTAGTTTTTTCCAATTCTGTGAAGAAAATCATTGGTAGCTTGATGGGGATGGCATTGAATCTATAAATTACCTTGAGCATTATGGCCATTTTCACGATGTTGATTCTTCCTATCCATGAGCATGGAATGTTCTTCCATTTGTTTGTATCCTCTTTTATTTCGTTGAGCAGTGGTCAACGAAGAGGTCCTTCACATCCCTTGTGAGTTGGATTCCTAGGTATTTTATTCTCTTTGAAGCAATTGTGAATGGGAGTTCACTCATGATTTGGCTCTCTGTTTGTCTGTTATTGGTGTATAGGAATGCTTGTGATTTTTGCACATTGATTTTGTATCCTGAGACTTTGCTGAAGTTGCTTATCAGCTTAAGGAGATTTTGGGCAGAGATGATGGGGTTTTCTAGATATACAATCATGTCATCTGCAAACAGGGACAATTTGACTTCCTCTTTTCCTAATTGAATACCCTTTATTTCCTTCTCCTGCCTCATTGCCCTGGCCAGAACTTCCAACACTATGTTGAATGGGAGTGGTGAGAGAGGGCATCCCTGTCTTTTGCCAGTTTTCAAAGGGAATGCTTCCAGTTTTTGCCCATTCAGTATGATATTGGCTGTGGGTTTGTCATAGATAGCTCTTATTATTTTGAGATTCGTCCCACCAATACCTAATTTATTGAGAGTTTTTAGCATGAACGGTTTTCGAATTTTGTTGAAGGCCTTTTCTGCATCTATTGAGATAATCATGTGGTTTTTGTCATTGGTTCGGTTTATATGCTGGATTACATTTATTGATTTGCGTATGTTGAACCAGCCTTGCATCCCAGGGATGAAGCCCACTTGATCATGGTGGATAAGCTTTTTGATGTGCTGCTATATTTGGTTTGCCAGTATTTTATTGAGGATTTTTGCATCGATGTTCATCAGGGATATTGGTCTAAAATTCTCTTTTTTTGTTGTGTCTCTGCCAGGCTTTGGTATCAGGATGATGCTGGCCTCATAAAATGAGTTAGGGAGGATTCCCTCTTTTTCTATTGATTGCAATAGTTTCAAAGGAATGGTACCAGCTCCTCCTTGTACCTCTGGTAGAATTCGGCTGTGAATCCATCTGGTCCTGGACTTTTTTTGGTTAGTAAGCTATTAATTATTGCCTCAATTTCAGAGCCTGTTATTGGTCTATTCAGGGATTCAACTTCTTCCTGGTTTAGTCTTGGGAGTGTGTATGTGTCCAGGAATTTATCCATTTCTTCTAGATTTTCTAGTTTATTTGCATAGAGGTGTTTATAGTACTCTCTGATGGTAGTTTGTAGTTCTGTGGGATCGGTGGTGATATCCCCTTTATCGTTTTTTTTTGCGTCTATTTGATTCTTCTCTCTTTTCTTCTTTATTAGTCTTGCTAGCATTCTATTAATTTTGTTGATCTTTTCAAAAAACCAGCTCCTGGATTCATTGATTTTTTGAAGGGTTTTTTGTGTCTCTATCTCCTTCAGTTCTGCTCTGATCTTAGTTATTTCTTGCCTTCTGCTAGCTTTTGAATGTGTTTGCTCTTGCTTCTCTAGTTCTTTTAATTGTGATGTTAGGGTGTCAATTTTAGATCTTTCCTGCTTTCTCTTGTGGGCATTTAGTGCCATAAATTTCCCCTACACACTGCTTTAAATGTGTCCCAGAGATTCTGGTATGTTGTGTCTTTGTTCTCATTGGTTTTGAAGAACATCTTTATTTCTGCCTTCATTTCATTATGTACCCAGTAGTCATTCAGGAGCAGGTTGTTCAGTTTCCATGTAGTTGTGTGGTTTTGAGTGAGTTTCTTAATCTTGAGTTCTAGTTTGATTGCACTGTGGTCTGAGAGACGGTTTGTTGTGATTTCTGTTCTTTTACATTTGCTGAGGAGTGCTTTACTTCCAACTATGTGGTCAATTTTGGAATATGTGCGATGTGGTGCTGAGAAGAATGTATATTCTGTTCATTTGGGGTGGAGAGTTCTGTAGATGTCTATTAGGTCTGCTTGGTGCAGAGCTGAGTTCAATTCCTGGATATCCTTGTTAACTTTCTGTCTCGTGGAGCTGTCTAATGTTGACAGTGGGGTGTTAAAGTCTCCCATTATTATTGTGTGGGAGTCTAAGTCTTTTTGTAGGTCTCTAAGGACTTACTTTATGAATCTGGCTGCTCCTGTATTGGGTGCATATATATTTAGGATAGTTAGCTCTTCTTGTTGAATTAATCCCTTTACCATTATATAATGGCCTTCTTTGTCTCTTTTGATCTTTGTTAATTGAAAGTCTGTTTTATCAGAGACTAGTATTGCAACCCCTGCCTTTTTTTGTTTTCCATTTGCTTGGTAGATCTTCCTCCATCCCTTTATTTTGAGCCTCTGTGTGTCTCTGCATGTAAGGTGGGTTTCCTGAATACAGCACACTGATGGGTCTTGACTATCCAATTTGCCAGTCTGTGTCTTTTAATTGGAGCATTTAGCCCATTTACATTTAAGGTTAATATTGTTATGTGTGAATTTGATCCTGTCATTCTGATGTTAGCTGGTTATTTTGCTCGTTAGTTGATGCAGTTTCTTCCTAGCCTCGATGGTCTTTACAATTTGACATGTTTTTGCAGTGGCTGGTACCGGTTGTTCCTTTCCATGTTTAGTGTTTCCTTCAGGAGCTCTTTTAAGGCAGGCCTGGTGTGACCAAATCTCTCAGCATTTGCTTGTCTGTAAAGTATTTTATTTCTCCTTCAATCATGAAGCTTAGTTTGACTGGATATGAAATTCTGGGTTGAAAATTCTTTTCTTTAAGAATGTTGAATATTGGCCCTCACTCTCTTCTGGCTTGTAGAGTTTCTGCTGACAGATCTGCTGTTAGTCTGATGGGCTTCCCTTTGTGGGTAACCCGAGCTTTCTCTCTGGCTGCCCTTAACATTTTTTCCTTCATTTCAATTTTGGTGAATCTGACAGTTATGTGTCTTGGAGTTGCTCTTCTCGAGGAGTATCTTTATGCTGTTCTCTGTATTTCCTGAATCTGATTGTTGGCCTGCCTTGCTCGGTTGGGGAAGTTCTCCTGGATAATATCCTGCAGAGTGTTTTCCAACTTGGTTCCATTCTCCCTGTCACTTTCAGGTACACCAATCAGACGTAGATTTGGTCTTTTCACATAGTCCCATATTTCTTGGAGGCTTTGTTCATTTCTTCTTATTCTTTTTTTTCTAAACTTCTCTTCTTGCTTCATTTCATTCATTTGATCTTCCATCACTGATACCCTTTCTTCCAGTTGATCGAATCGGCTACTGAGGCTTGTGCATTTGTCACATACTTCTTGTGCCATGGTTTTCAGCTCCATCAGGTCCTTTAAGGACTTCTCTGCATTGGTTATTCTAGTTAGCCATTCGTCTAATCTTTTTTCAAGGTTTTTAACTTCTTGGCCATGAGTTCGAACTTTCTCCTTTAGCTCGGAGTAGTTTGATCATCTGAAGCCTTCTTCTCTCAACTCGTCAAAGTCATTCTCCATCCAGCTTTGTTCTGTTGCTGGCGAGGAGCTGCATTCCTTTGGAGGAGGAGAGGCACTCTGATTTTTAGAATTTTCAGTTTTTCTGCTCTGTTTTTTCCCCATCTTTGTGGTTTTATCTACCTTTGGTCTTTGATGACAGTGACGTACAGATGGGGTTTTGGTGTGGATATCCTTTCTGTTTGTTAGTTTTCCTTCTAACAGTCAGGACCCTCAGCTGCAGGTCTGTTGGAGTTTGCTGGAGGTCCACTCTAGACCCTGTTTGCCTGGGTATCAGCAGCGGAGGCTGCAGAACAGCAGATATTGGTGAACAGCAAATGTTGCTGTCTGATTGTTCCTCTGAAAGTTTTGTCTCAGAGGAGTACCCAGCCGTGTGATGTGTCAGTCTGCCCCTACTGGGGGGTGCCTCCCAGTTAGGCTACTCAGGGGTCAGGGACCCACTTGAGGAGGCAGTCTGTCCATTCTCAGATCTCAAGCTGCGTGCTGGGAGAACCATTACTCTCTTCAAGCTGTCAGACAGGGACATTTAAGTCTGCAGAGGTTTCTGCTGCCTTTTGTTTGGTTATGCCTGCCCCCAGAGGTGGAGTCTACAGAGGCAGGCAGGCCTCCTTGAGCTGCGGTGGGCTCCACCCAGTTCGAGCTTCCTGGCCACTTTGTTTACCTACTCAATCCTCAGCAATGGTGGGCGCCCCTCCACCAGCCTCACTGCCACCTCGCAGTTTGATCTCAGACTGCTGTGCTAGCAATGAGCAAGGCTCCGTGGGCGTAGGACCTTATGAGCCAGGCATGGGATACAATCTTCTGGTGTGCCGTTTGCTAAGACTGTTGGAAAATGCAGTATTAGGGTGGGAGTGACCTGATTTTCCAGGTGCCATCTGTCACCCCTTTCCTTGGCTAGGAAAGGGAATTCCCTGACCCCTTGCACTTCCCGGATGATGTGATGCCTCGCCCTGCTTCGGCTCATGCTCAGTGCACTGCACCCACTGTACTGCACCCACTGTCTGACAATCCCCAGTGAGATGAACACGATACCTCAGTTGGAAATGCAGAAATCATACGTCTTCTGCATCGCTCACGCTGGGAGCTGTAGACTGGAGCTGTTCCTATTCGGCTGTCTTGGCTCCACCCCTGAGCATTTTGCATTCTAAGGACCTTTGCACAGGCTTCTATTCATTCTTTAGTGGAAGTTTGTGTGTTTGTTTCAAGAAGCTACTTTTTAGAGCAGTTTTAGGTTTACAGAAAAATTGAGCAGAAAGTACAGAGAGTTCCCATATACTACCCCACCCCACCCTACCCCACCACTAGTTTCCTTTATTATTAGTATCTTGCATTGGGATGGCACATTAGTTGCAATTGATGAGCCAATGTGGATGCATTCTTATTAACTAAAGTCCATAGTTTACATGAGGGTTCTCTCTTTGTGTTGTACATTCTGTGGGTTTTGCCTAATATGTCATGTCATGTATCCACCATTATAGTGTCATACAGAATAGTTTCACTGCTCTAAAAGTGCCCTCTATCCCACCTATTCATCCCTCCCTTCCCCTCCAAATCCCTAGAAACCACTAATCTTTTTTCTCTCTCTATAGTTTTGCCTTTTCCAGAGTGTCATATAATTGGAATCGGTAGTAGGTATTTAATAAAGACTTGCTTAGTGAATGAATAACTGATTGCCATTAGAACCATTCATATGAGCTCTGGTGAGGCTGAAGAGAAGGATATAGATGGGTGAGACAGAGAGGAGGCAGGACTGACAGGGTGTGAGTGGCCATGAGTGATGCAAAAGTAGCTCAGGTTGCTCCCTTTCATCATAGTCCAGGTGCCCTGGAGAAGAGACCAAATAAATAGACATTGGCATGATGTCCTGCAACAGCTTCTTCTTATGCAGGTCATGCAGGAAGAATTGCATGCACAAGCCCTTATCCTAGAGTCACTGAACACAAACCTCTACTATACCCAGTTGGAACTCCAGAAAGAGGTGAGTCCCTACTGGAGTGGGGATGGGGGTTGGGGGAAGAACCCAGGTCTCCATCCAGCTCTGCCATATAGCTCTGCCCTGGATGGCTCTGGGTTGGGGAAGATGGCTATTAAAATGTATGTCTTTCAGAAAGCTATAGTGGGAAATCTGGAGAAAATGCTTCAAACCAAGTTTGCTGAAACTGAAGAAAAGTATAAGCACACCATACAGATCCTGACGGAAGAGAACATTCATCTGAAGTGCGGCTGCTGCTGAAAAAGACATAGCTGAGTTCTCTTTAGGAGTGGGAAGGAGTTTGAGTGAGGAATGGGTTAGGAAGATAGACCAACTGCTCCCTAGTTATGTCAAGGCACAGGTGTTTTCGGGAGGGAGGTATGTCACTCTAGGCCAGTGACACAAAGCCAGATAGTTCACTTGAGGTGGAGTGGAGATGTGTCTATACTTCTCCCATTCACCTGTGTCCTTGTTTCTATGCAAAACAACACAGGACATTTGTCTTCCAGTTTCTGAGTTTGCTCAGTTCTATGACTGAGGGTGGTTTTTAAATCCATCTCCCCTGGGAGTCTGATGGTCTTGCCATTACATGCAGCTGCTTCTGGTTCCTATGGAAATCACCTTTGGATCAGAAGGTGTACTGTTACCTGAAGCTGCATCTTAAATCATTAAAATAAATTTTGGTCAATACTTTAATAGAAGAAAGTTATTTATTGCATTGATTTAGTAGAAAATTCCTCGTATAGGACTTTAGTCACCTGAACACCATACCTCACTAAATTCAAAACCACTGCAAGTAATGAGTGAGAGACTGCTGTGGTGAAGGAACGAAGGCACATTTCTCTCCCTGCACTCCAAATATCCTATACCCTTTCTAGCTTTTGAGTTGACATTGATACATCTTTCCTTTCTTTTTACAGGCAAAAGATAATTTCTAAGAATGAAGAAATTTGTGAAGGATGTTCTGGGAGATTGGCCTCTATTACTGTTTCTAAGGATGATTCTGACACTGTGCAAGATGGTAGCAAGAAAGGACAAGAATCATAAACAAAAAGTTGCTCTGCATTGTTGAAGATGGTTGGCACACCATTTCTGTAGGCCCAGGAAACTCCTGGGAGGGTTTTCTTGAGAAAATGCATATAATGAGTTTAGTTCTTGGGTTGCTCTGACTCTCTGAATGTCTGAAAATGTTTGAATTCGCATCTGAATTTCACAGCTTATCACGGACTCTTCACTGAAAAATGATGCTCTCCATACTGGGAGCTGAGCTTTCTCTGAGTTTTGTACTATTTTTCTTCTACCTTGACGTATTTCGTTAGAAAGAAACTGATTTGAAGGCCTTCTTCATATTGAACTTTTACTATATTTGGGAGGTGTACCTTTGTCCCCTGGGGCATTTAGGTAGCAAAAAAAGATGATGTGTTGATTTTACTCTAAAATATTTTTCTCTCACACCCATGCCCCCTACTTCCCTACCTCTCAATCATGTTCCCTAACCTATGACTTAGGAAGGGTTTCTGATGATTCTTACCACCTCCTCTGGACCATCACCAGAATTCAGACACCCACAGTGCAGGCAACATAAATAAGTGAAGTGGGCTAGACATAAGGAAAACAATTGCCCAAGCACAGTGATAAGTGGCAACCAACAGCAGCCTCAGTAGAGGGGCTTGGGCAGGGCTGGGGCACAGCGGATGGGGAAGAGTGACCCACAGAGCACTGTCCCATCTGAAGAAGGTGCTTCTCAGACCTTTGCCATGCAAAAGCATGAGGTCAATATTGTCAGATAGTATGATTTTTTAAAAGAAGTTATTCTGGTTTTTATGTGATATCTCCTAATTTTTAAACATTGACAACAAATTTTAAAAATACAACTGTGTGTGCCGATCATGGGAGACTCAAGTAGAACATGTCTGTAGTCCAGATGTTTTCCACCTGTGAGATGTCATTGGCAGAAACCAAAACCAAACACAAAAAATCTCCAAGGAGCAATAAGATCAAATTATATTTTATTCTATTAAAAAATGTTTTTGAAAAAAGATACTTAAATTTTAAAGATAACTTAATTCCTAATGATTTAAAATAATCCAAGCAGAGATGAAAGAGCAAATGCAAATGCATAAAAAGACCCCAGAGCATTGTTAGCAAAAAGCAAATATAGTTAGCCAAGCATATATATATCATAAAAGCAATAAGAAGGCATAAAGCAAGTTTGGGGAGAGCTTATTTAAAACTTGTAAAAATCATTTGAATTTTTAAAAGATTTCAAACAAATTTTGTTTTATTAAAAAAAAAATTTTTTTTGAGACGGGGTCTTGTTCTGTCACCCAAGCTTGAGTGCAGCGGTGTGAACATGGCTCACTGCAGCCTTGACCTCTTGGGTTCAAGCAATCCTCCCACCTCAACCTCCCAAAGTGCTGGGATTATAGACATGAGCCACCATACGTGGCTACTTTCTAATTTTTTTAATGTGGTAGTGTGGAATTTAGCTTTGAAAGAGAATTAAAGTTAATAGAATATTAACAGTGGGCTTATAGTTGATAGATAACAATCTGAATCATAAGCCCTCTATATTCATAGCTGGATTTTGTACGTGTCTGGTATTTATTGCCACCAGCTAAAAACATTCCCAAAGCCTTAAGCATAAGAGAAAGGAGACAGTGTTATTGTTGTTAATATCCTATTTAACTTTAGCTCTTATAAAAAAGTGCAAAACAATTAATAAAGTAGAAAATCTAGAAAATTAGTAAATAAACATAGTGTTATATCTAAATAGTACCATCGGCCAGGCGCGGTGGCTCACGCCTGTAATCCCAGCACTTTGGGAGGCCGAGGTGGGTGGATCACGAGGTCAGGAGATCAAGACCACCCTGGCTAACACAGTGAAACCCTGTCTCTACTAAAAATATTTTTAAAAAATTAGCCAGGTGTGGTGGCGGGCCCCTGTAGTCCCAGCTACTCGGGAGGCTGAGGCAGGAGAATGGCCTGAACCCGGGAGGCGGAGCTTGCGGTGAGCCGAGATCACGCCACTGCACTCCAGCCTGGGCGACAGAGCGAGATTCTGTCTCAAAAAAACAAAACAAAACAAAACAAACAAAATAGCACCATCAATCAGAAGGGAAGACAAGTTTTTTTCTTAGTGTGAAAGTAGGCTGAGGCATCTGTTTCCCCATGTTTTTCTTGTCATCCTTGTTGCTTACTTCATAGTTCACTTCAGTCAGGATGGTGAGAATATCATCGCCTCTGAAATACATCACATAATATTGTGACTGTCTGTGGGGGAAAGCA
Source organism: Homo sapiens (assembly GCF_000001405.40). Taxonomy (NCBI): domain Eukaryota; kingdom Metazoa; phylum Chordata; class Mammalia; order Primates; family Hominidae; genus Homo; species Homo sapiens. The sequence continues at coordinate 201,286,413 of NC_000002.12, read as the reverse complement.
ACTGATGAACTGTCTCCTCTGCTGTGCTCAGAGATAGTTCTGTAGTTCTTTCTCTCAAAATATCAGTCATTTGAAACAATAAGGTGCGAAACCAAGACCTACCCCAGCTTTCCTGGTAAATGGGTTGTCTCAGAGCTTAATAACTTACTTTTGGTTTATTCAGGAACTCTTTTGACCATCAGAAACCTCGGTGTCAGTATTAGAGTTGGTTTCTTTCTCTCCTGACCTGTGTGTCTCTCACTCTTCTCCACGTTACTTGGCTCCCCATTGCTTCAATGCCCCCCAATACTCTCTGCCTCGAATTGACATCGCATCTGCGGATTCATCTTTGATGCAATTAAACTTAAGGCAAGTGAAAGTATAACGTCTCCTGCAGCTACTCCCACCTTCTTCTCACCAGGATCTCTTAGCATTTTTGTTAGGCAACCTCTTCTTCTACCTTGGTAGCTAGCCGCGGAAACCTTGCAGGATTCATGATCTAAGTTACGAAATCTAAGTTAGATTCATGATCTAAGTTACGGGAAATTCTCACTCTTCATATACTCAAAACATGAAATACAGGGCTAGAAGGAACCTGCTATTTATCTCCCATAATGCACCAAGAGGTTTTGAGGATGGTTTGCTATTATAGAACTTTTGACAGAGTTGGAGGATGTTTAAACATTGAATTGGGTTACTGCCTTCTTGGAAGATTTCCAAAACTAGTTGAATTGGCTCAGTCATGTTTTGGCCTAAAGACAGAGAGCTGGAGTATATGACTTTCCTATCCTTTCCTGCTCTGTGATACCCTGATTGTCCTTTGAGGTGCTGAATAAAGGAATAAAGCATCTCAGCTTTTCCATCTATAAACTAAGGATGTTAACACTTGCCACTCTCCCACTTTGTAACTGACCTGGGAAATGCAGCTATGTGATCTACAGCTAGACATTTAGAGTTGAACGGAAACCACTCCCCTTGGACAGTTCTCTGACCTGTTAATGTGATCTAAATCACATAGCACTTTCTAATAGGCTCTGAATATGAGTAGATAGTAGTGTGATGGAGTAGGGGGGGAAGGTAGTGTAACAGTGAGGAGGGCTGAGTAGGCAAAACTTACCGAGGACATCGCTCTCTCAGGCTCTGGCAAAGTGACTGGATGTACCAGGTTCCCTCTGCAGGGTTTCGGTAGGAAACACAGTTATTCACAGTGGCCATCCCCAGCAGAAAGTCAGCCTCATCCGGGATATATCTCGTTTGAGGTGATGATAAATCCATTTCTAAATAGGGTTGCTCCTCTGAATCAGTCTCAACAGGTATACCTTTCTGGTAGTTATCCCCCTGACAAGCCTGAATAAAAAACACTTTGGGTTTTCCAGCAAGGGAAGGGCACTTCAAACCAGTGAACTGAGATGTCAGCTCATAGATGGGGGCCTCCTGTCCATCAGTGCCATAGATGATGCCCTTGTCTCCATGGGAGAGGATACAGCAGATGAAGCAGTCCATGTTACTGTGGTCCATGAGTTGGTAGATTTTCAAAATCTCATAGATTTGCTCTACTGTGCAGTCATCGTGGGGCTTGATCTCAAAATGAAGCTCTTCAAAGGTCGTGGTCAAAGCCCCTGAAAAGTGAAATTTGAACAGTCACGTTATACCACAGTAATTCACAGACCACAGCTGGAGAGCACAGTGGGCATAACATTGATAGATAAGAATTTGACCCCTCTCCCTCTCCCTCTCCCCGTCTCCCTCTCCCTCTCCCTCTCCCCGTCTCCCTCTCCCTCTCATGCCGAGCCAAAGCTGGACGGTACTGCTGCCATCTCGGCTCACTGCAACCTCCCTGCCTGATTCTCCTGCCTCAGCCTGCCGAGTGCCTGCGATTGCAGGCGCGCGCCGCCACGCCTGACTGGTTTTCGTTTTTTTTTTGGTGGAGATGGGGTTTCGCTGTGTTGGCCGGGCTGGTCTCCAGCTCCTAACCGCGAGTGATCCGCCAGCCTCGGCCTCCCGAGGTGCCGGGATTGCAGATGGAGTCTCGTTCACTCAGTGCTCAATGGTGCCCAGGCTGGAGTGCAGTGGCGTGATCTCGGCTTGCTACAACCACCTCCCAGCCGCCTGCCTTGGCCTCCCAAAGAGCCGAGATTGCAGCCTCTGCCCGGCCGCCACGCCGTCTGGGAAGTGAGGAGCGTCTCTGCTTGGCCACCCATCGTCTGGGATATGAGGAGCCCCTCTGCCTGGCTGCCCAGTGTGGAAAGTGAGGAGCGTCTCTGCCCGGCCGCCATCCCATCTAGGAAGCGAGAAGCGCCTCTTCCCCGCCGCCATCCCATCTAGGAAGTGAGGAGCGTCTCTGCCCGGCCGCCCATCGTCTGAGATGTGGGGAGCACCTCTGCCCCACCGCCCTGTCTGGGATGTGAGGAGCGCCTCTGCTGGGCCGCAACCCTGTCTGGGAGGTGAGGAGTGTCTCTGCCCGGCCGCTCCGTCTGAGAAGTGAGGAAACCCTCTGCCTGGCAACCGCCCCGTCTGAGAAGTGAGGAGCCCCTCCGTCTGGCAACCACCCCGTCTGGGAAGTGAGGAGCGTCTCCGCCCGGCAGCCACCCCGTCCGGGAGGGAGGTGGGGGGGGTCAGCCCCCCGCCCGGCCAGCCGCCCCGTCCGGGAGGTGAGGGGCTCCTCTGCCCGGCCGCCCCTACTGGGAAGTGAGGAGCCCCTCTGCCCGGCCAGCCGCCCCGTCCGGGAGGGAGGCGGGGGGGGGTGGTCGGCCATCCGCCCCGTCCGGGAGGTGAGGGGCGCCTCTGCCCGGCCGCCCCTACTGGGAAGTGAGGACCCCTCTGCCCGGCCAGCCGCCCCGTCCGGGAGGGAGGTGGGGGGGTCAGCCCCCCGCCCGGCCAGCCGCCCCGTCCGGGAGGTGAGGGGCTCCTCTGCCCGGCCGCCCCTACTGGGAAGTGAGGAGCCCCTCTGCCCGGCCAGTCGCCCCGTCCAGGAGGGAGGTGGGGGGGTCAACCCCCCGCCCGGCCAGCCGCCCAGTCCGGGAGGGAGGTGGGGGGTCAGCCCCCCGCCTGGCCAGCCGCCCCGTCCGGGAGGTGAGGGGCGCCTCTGCCCGGCCGCCCCTACTGGGAAGTGAGGAGCCCCTCTGCCCGGCCAGTCGCCCCGTCCAGGAGGGAGGTGGGGGTTCAACCCCCCGCCCGGCCAGCCGCCCAGTCCGGGAGGGAGGTGGGGGGTCAGCCCCCCGCCTGGCCAGCCGCCCCGTCCAGGAGGTGAGGGGCGCCTCTGCCCGGCCGCCCCTACTGGGAAGTGAGGAGCCCCTCTGCCCGGCCAGCCGCCCCGCCCAGGAGGGAGGTGGGGGGGTCAGCCCCCCGCCCGGCCAGCCGCCCCGTCCGGGAGGGGGGAGGGGGGGTCAGCCCCCTGCCCGGCCAGCCGCCCCGTCCGGGAGGGAGGTGGGGGGGGTCAGCCCCCCGCCCGGCCAGCCGCCCCGTCCGGGAGGGAGGTGGGGGGATCAGCCCCCTGCCTGGCCAGCCGCCCCGTCCGGGAGGTGAGGGGCGCCTCTGCCCGGCCGCCCCTACTGGGAAGTGAGGAGCCCCTCTGCCCGGCCAGCCGCCCCGTCCGGGAGGGAGGTGGGGGGGTCAGCCCCCCTTCCGGCCGGCTGCCCCGTCCGGGAGGTGAGGGGCGCCTCTGCCGGGCCGCCCCTACTGGGAAGTGAGGACCCCTCTGCCCGGCCAGCCGCCCCATCCGGGAGGGAGGTGGGGGGAACAGCCCCCCGCCCGGCCAGCCGCCCTATCCAGGAGGTGAGGGGCGCCTCTGCCCGGCCGCCCCTACTGGGAAGTGAGGAGCCCCTCTGCCTGGCCAGCCGCCCCGTCCGGGAGGGCGGTGGGGGGGTCAGCCCCCCGCCCGGCCAGCCGCCCCATCTGGGAGGTGAGGGGCGCTTCTGCCGGGCCGCCCCTACTGGGAAGTGAGGAGCCCCTCTGCCCGGCCACGACCCCGTCTGGGAGGTGTGCCCAGCGGCTCATTGGGGATGGGCCATGATGACAATGGCGGTTTTGTGGAATAGAAAGGCGGGAAGGGTGGGGAAAAAATTGAGAAATCGGATGGTTGCCGGGTCTGTGTGGATAGAAGTAGACATGGGAGACTTTTCATTTTGTTCTGTACTAAGAAAAATTCTTCTGCCTTGGGATCCTGTTGATCTGTGACCTTATCCCCAACCCTGTGCTCTCTGAAACATGTGCTGTGTCCACTCAGGGTTAAATGGATTAAGGGCGGTGCAAGATGTGCTTTGTTAAACAGATGCTTGAAGGCAGCATGCTCGTTAAGAGTCATCACCACTCCCTAATCTTAAGTACCCAGGGACACAAACACTGCGGAAGGCCGCAGGGTCCTCTGCCTAGGAAAACCAGAGACCTTTGTTCACTTGTTTATCTGCTGACCTTCCCTCCACTATTGTCCTGTGACCCTGCCAAATCCCCCTCTGCGAGAAACACCCAAGAATGATCAATAAAAAAAAAAAAAAAAAAAAAAGAATTTGAACCAGAAATTCAAGAGCAAAACCCTCTATATTCGTAGCTGGATTCTGCAGGCTTCTAATATTTATTGCCACCAGCTAAAAACATTCTCAAACCCTGAAGCAAATGAGAAAGGAGAGAGTGTTATTGTTGGTCTGTTTTCTCTAGTAAACTAGTTTACAAGATGGGTAAGCTATCATTTAGGCTTACTACTGAACCAATTTTAAAAATGATTATATTATTTACATAATCAGAAAAAAACAAAACAATTTTTGAATAAAAGATCCAACTTATTTTATCCTAAACCTTCTCAAAATTATTTATGTATAGCAAAATAAAAGATATGAATTAATAAGATAGAACTAGAAGACCTTATACAAAAGGTTATCCCCTCTCTATCCCTCCCCATTACCTAGTCACATTCCATGAAGGCAACCACTTTCAGTTTTTAACCACTTTTTTCCACATTGAGCTCCATTTTGTAATGAATTTGGGTACACTGCTAATTACTCATTTATAAATTTTAGACTTTCGCATTGAGTTCTTATTATGGAGAATAAGCATTTGGGCTCTTACTCAATTATTTACAAGTTTTGGTTGAATCCATAGTAATATTTTTATTTTTTTAATTTTTTTTAGAAAAGGTCTCACTCTGTCACCCAGGCTACAGTGCAGTGTCACAATCTCAGCTCACTGCAACTTCTGCCCCCCAAGTTCAAGCAATTCTCCTGCCTCAGCCTCCCAAGCAGGTGGGACTACAGGCACGCACCACCACACCCAGCTAATTTTTGTATTTTTAGTAGAGACAGGGTTTCGCCATGTTAGCCAGGTTGGTCACAAACTCCCAGCCTCAAGTGACCCACCCACCTTGGCCTCCCAAAGTGCTGGGATTGTAGGCATGAGCCACCACCTCCGGCCCATAGTAATATTTCTATTATTAAGACTATGTAAACATAATGTTCTTTCATTATGTTTCCTTTCTTATTAACCTTTTTGCCTTTCCTGGAACTTGTAATTGTATTATTTTTTCATCTGCTTTGTTTCCTATATGCTTAACACTGTTTTTTCTCCAAGTGCTCAATGGATCTGGCCAAAATCTTTCAACATTTTCAGGCTACTTGTCTGACTCATTTTTATTTCTTCCTGGAAAACTTTCCATCCAGAGCACTGCATCCTTCTGCTGTAATACCAACTGGCTGTTCCATAGGCCAGATGAATTTCTCTTCTCCTGGGACATCTCTCTGTCTCTTCCATAGTAGGTTCCCTGTTTCCTCCATCTATGACTTCCTCTTTCTTATCAGTTTCCTTTGCTGGAGCATAACCATGAGAAGTACATTTTTTGAGCCCCTGTATGAGTCTTTAGTTTATAGAGTTCTATTTCCAAAAGCATTTTTCCTCAGAATTCTGAAGGCCTTTCTTCACAGTCTTTTAGCTTTCAGTGTTGCTAGAGAGAAGACTTTCCATTTCTGATACTTTACATATTTGGCTTACTTTTTTCTCTTTCCAGAAGCTTCTAGGGTATGATATGTTTGGAAGTGAATCTTAATCCATTATACCCTTTCAATCTGGAGATTGCGTCATTTCGTTCTTGGAAAGTTCCATTTCCCCTTTCTCTGTCCTTTCTTTCTGGAACTCTTATTGTCAAAAATTGGACATCCTTGATTTAGCTTCAAATTTTCTTATCTTTCACTCCTATTTTCTATTTTTGTCTTTTTATCCTACTTCCTTAGACTTTATCTTCTACTTTATTGAATTTTTCATTTTGGTGCTCAAATTTTTAATTTTCAAGGAGACTTGCTTGTTCTGTCCCTTTTTCATAACATCTTGTTCTTTCATGGACCTTTAACTAACTCTCTAAGAATACTAAATACCAATATTAAGCATTAAAAAAGGTTGCTTTTTTCTCAACATTATCTTTTTTTCATTCATATTCTGTTTCATGTTTTTCTTGTTGTTTGCATTGCCTCTCATTTATCTAGTAATTTATTTATTTATTTGAGATGGAGTCTTGCTCTGTCACCCAGGCTGGAGTGCAGTGGTACGATCTCAGCTCACTGCAACTTCCACCTCCCAGGTTCAAGTGATTCTTCTGCCTCAGCCTCTGTAGTAGCTGGGGTTACAGGCACCTGCCACCATGCCTGGCTAATTTTTGTATTTTTAGTAGAGATGGGGTTTCACCATGTTGGTCAGGCTGGGCTTGAACTCCTGACCTCAGGCGATTCGCCTGCCTCGGCCTCCCAAAGTGCTGGATTTTCACGCCACCGTACCAAGCTACCTCTCTTTCGTATTAGAGCCTTTCTTCAAATGCCTGCTGACCTTTGGTTGTCCATTCATAAATTGACTAATTAGTCCATTAAAAAGTCGACTGAAAGCTCTGTGTTTGTGGATGTGGCTTGTTCTCTGAGGGATTTCATAGCAAGATGATTGGTTGGGGACCTGATCATTTCATTAGGAAACCTCCAGATGTCATTATCTGTATGTATTTTAGCTAGAGCTTTCAGCTTCTCCAGAGGTAAGTCTGTATCTGCTGCCAGTGTCTTGGAACCAAGTTGGTTTAGAGATCTGACTCCATGCCACCAGCAGGTTTTCTTCAGTCTCTCTGTGTTCAGTAAAATGCTTCATTGCTTCCTTTGCTGGGCCTGGCACACCGAAGTGTAGAGCCTCTCTGGTTCAATTTTATGAGAAAACAAACTTCCTGTTCCTTATGATGGTAGAATAAGAATAGTTGCTGGCTCTATGAGAGGAAGGTATGAATCAGAGGATTGTATAGGCTTATATAGGCTTTCAAAGAATCTTCCTGTTTTCTGCTCATTGCCTCACCTACACTTTGTACTTCCAATTGCTGAATTTTTCCAGGATTCTGTGGGGGTAAATAGGCTTGCCTCCTTTCCGTGTTCCCCTCTGTAATCAGTGAGGTTGTAGCTTTCTCTGTTAAGTCAATTACCTCGACTCTTTTTTTTCAACTCCCCCAAATTGTTGGAAACCTTTCATTAGCTATTGTCTCCTTTCCTGTTCTCTTGATCCTTGTTGGATTATTCCTTTTTTATTCCTTCTCCAGCATTTTGTCCCTGTCAGCACATCAGAGCTAAACATAAGTCATCAGTCAAAAGGCAGTCTCAGCCAGGTGCAGTGGCTCACACCTGTAATCCCAGCACTTTGGTAGGCCGAGGCGAGTGGATCACCTGAGGTCAGGAGTTCAAGAACAGCCTGACCAACATGGTGAAACCCCATCTCTACTAAATACAATTAACTGGGTATGGTGGCACATGCCTGTAATCCCAGCTACTTGGGAGGCTGAGGCAGGAGAATCACTTGAACCTGGGAGGCAGAGGTTGCGGTGAGCCAAGATCATGTTATTGCACTGCAGCCTGGGCAACAGAGTGAGACTCTGCCTCAAAAAAAAAAAAAAGAAAAAATACAGTCTAGCATTAGGAATAGAAAAAAATAACTGAAATGCAATAGGCCCTTGTTGATTTGGAAGCACTTTGGCAAGACTAATACAGTGTGTTGGTTCTGTGAAAAAAATTCTGATCCTTTGGAAATGTGGAATGTTGATTAAAAAAATGACTGTAAAGCAAGTCTGAAGGCACTGAAGCAGGACAGAAGGGAGTCTCTCAGGAGAAATGACTTCTGCAGCTGGGTCTCCTACTTTTACTCATTCAGCATAAAACATAAGAACAGGAACAGAAAAAGCAGGACACACAGACTCGAATGCCTACCAGAGACTAGTCAATCATGGGCCAGTTATAAGAAAATGAGCTGCCAGAAATAGAAGCAAATGTTATTTTAATAGAAATGTTTTAATTTTAAAAGAATACAAATCAAGGGTCCAAAATATTTTTTTCAATACCAAGCGCATAGTGACGAATGATGTAATCAATGGACTTAATCTCTGTGCCTTTTTAAAGGCTTAGATTTGCTTAAATAAACAAATCAAATGTTAGCAGGGACCAGGTACAGGTGGCTGACACCTGTAATTCCAGCACTTTGGGAGGCCGAGGCAGGCGGATCACTTGAGGTCAGGAGTTCAAGACCAGCCTGGCCAATATGGCAAAACCCCATCTCTACTAAAAATACAAAAATTAGCCATGTGTGGTGGTGTGTGCCTGTAGTCCCAGCTACTTGGGAGGCTGAGGCAGGAGAATCACTTGAACCAGGGAGGTGGAGGCTGCAGTGAGCTGAGATCACACCACTGCACTCCAGCCTGGGCAACAGAGTGAGACTTTGTCTCAAAAAAAAAAAAAAAATGTTAATAGGGGCCATTACAGACTCCTGATGATTATAATCAGTCTACATTAATTTTCTAAACTTACCTCCATTTGCAAAACAAATCAATAATTGATGTTATGCCTGATAAACACTATTTCCAAAAGTTCTTTGATCAAATCAAAATTATTAATCTCTCAATGGTGATGGATGATTTTTATTTTTTGTTGTTGTAGTCACTTTTTATATTCACATACTACAAATTGTTTTTTCATTTAACTTGTAAGTTCTTGATCTTAGCTTAATTTGGCTGAGCAAAAGAATTGCTAACCAGTTTAATATTTAATACTTGAAAATGCTATTTCTGTTAAGAACCCACAATTTCTGCTGCACTTAACAGCCCAACCTGTAAAAATGCAGCCTCTATAAGAACTTTGATACCACAGCAATTTCATCGCCTAATACATTCCACAGAAGCGCTATGCATTTAGCTGAATTCAAAACAAAGCTTATTACTGCTTTTCATTATGTCTTTTAGTAAGATTTGATATTTTATATTTATACATACATTACTTTTATTTAAAAAATTAATTTTTAAAAAAAGCAGGAAACTGATAAATGTATAAGAATGTTCTTTACCTCCACAGGGAAATATGTTTAAATCCATTTTCTTGAAACATGGCCCTTTTGGTATAGCTTTTGTTCTCTCCCTTTTGATTTAAAAAAAAATAGGCATAAGAAATATTTTACTTTTCTCTTTTGGGTTCTACTGTACCTGCATCCAAGTGTGTTCCATTCCTGTCCCTAATGCTGTGAAGTTTGGGCACTTTCTCCCGTGCTTTTGCAAAATTGTGATTGTTGATGATCAGACAGTATCCCCGAGGTTTGCTTTTCATTTGGTAAACTTTGTCCAAAGTCTGGAAAACAAAAACCCAACCCAGGAGCTGACTCTGTGGGTCAAACACTAGAGATGTAAACAAACAACTCCCTAGTAAGAGGACTTGCTTTCCATTGCACCACCCCAACTCGGGGTCGTTTCCTCGAAGAACTAGTTTCTACCTATTTCCTTCACACAGGACCTCTCAGACTTCTGCCCCATCGTTGTAAAGTCAGTGTCCCAATACCTGGGCCTCCTGAGCACTTTGCACATATATTAATATTGTTGTCATCACATTGTATTATTGTTTGTTCTCATTTCTGCTTCCCATACTATACAGAAGACTCCTTGAGGTTCATAACATCTGTGCCAGGGACTACGGTGTATTAACTTGTGAGAGCTCAATCAAGAGTCACTGAATGAATGAATGTCTTTGGCTGCCCCCACGCCATGACTTGTGATTCTCTTGGCTGTCTACTGAACTCATCTGTGCTTCGTGGCTAACAGCTGAGGGTCTCCCATTCATGCATTGCACAGTGTGGTCCCAGGATTTTAAAGGTGATGGCTTAACCCAGCTCTCAGGACCACGGTGGCTGCTGGGAAGAGATGGGCTGGTCAGGGAGGTCCTGGCTACACTGTAGGTTATGGTATCCAAACTGTAGTACCTGATAGTACTGGCCAGGGATGGCGCTGTGTCCTATTCATTCTCCTAGGGCTGTTTCAGTACCGAGAAACTCAGCATTTAGTTGGAGGTCTGCGTAGCCCCTTGAGGTGGAGAAAAGGACTCCAGGCTAGGAAGCCCAATTCCTGCCTCTACTTCACCTTATGACTTTGGGCAAATAACCTGTTATCTTAATATGTTAACTCTAAGATATTAAATATTTGATTAAGTTTGTACCAAGTATGTTAAGTTTTTATTATTTACAGTTGTGTTCTAAGTATTTATTAAGCATATTAAGTGTATTTACTGAGATACTAAGACACTAAGATTTGGCCAGGCACGGTGGCTAGTACCTATAATCCCAGACTTTGGGAGGCCAAGGCAGGAGGATTGCTTGAGGCCAGGAGTTCGAGACCTGGCTTGGCAACGTAGCAAGACCCCTGTCTCAATAAAACATTAAAAAAGGAAAAAGATACTAAGATTTACTAAGATATTAAGACAGTGTTTTTAGCTCTTCAGTGGGGACAATGCTTGTAGCATGCTATACTGTTTAGAAAGTACCACATTACTTGGGTTAATCCTTGACTTTCAGATGAAAGAGGTCTGGTAATTTTCTCAGGAGCCCACACTAGTGAATAATCTCTCTCAAGCCTACTTCAGATATTCAGGATTTCCTCTTCTTCCTACCATGAGGAGGAGCAGATCGTCTAATAAGTCAGGATGTATTTGGTGGATTGTTGATTACATAAAGAGAAGTTATTATGCCTAAAAATTACATGTTTCTGCTGGTTCACTGAGACAAAAACACAGAGATGGCTAGATTGTGAGAGTTTGCTGCTTACACCTCATCACCAAGGAGAAGCATTTTTGAAACATTAAGCTAAAGGAAAAGGCTTGGCTTTTTCCATTCCTGCTAGACTCTTTCTCCAAACCACTCCCCCATCCAGGCTGGCACGGCTGCTAGAAGATTTGGTAGGAGGCTTATTACCCCCTCCACCCTCCAACTATTCCAGTATCTTCATCTCGGGTCTTAAAATAAAATTCAAATGTATAGAAAACTGAAGGAGTCACATTTTAAAAATTAAGTCACATTTTTAACTTTTTTTGTGTGAATTTTTTCTACAGTTCTCAAAATTTTCAGTAAGTTTCTGCCCCTTGTCAGTTTATCTGGCAGCAAAAAAAAAAAAAAGCTAACAAATTAAATAACTAGAATCTGTAATGTAAAAAAAAGGATTTGGAGGTTTCCGTCTACCTGTGATTCACTATCCTGTTCTCTTGGAGAGTCCGAGATTGTCATTACCCCACACAACTCCTCCCCTGCAAACAACGAAGAGACACATCTAGAATGAGACATGGCAGGAAAGGTACACTGGTAATGAAATATGTAGCACATAGGACAACATAAGGTCTTTTTTAAGATGAAAATTCAAGCTGGGAACAGGGGCTCACGCCGGTAATCCCAGCACTTTGGGAGGCCAAGATGGGCAGATCACTTGAGGTCAGGAGTTCAAGACCAGCCTGGCCAACATGGTGAAACCCTGTCTCTACTAAAAGTACAAAAAAATTAGCCGGGCGTGGTGGTAGCCACCTGTAGTCCCAGCTACTCAGGAGGCTGAGGCAGGAGAATCACTTGAACTTGGGAGGTAGTGGTTGCAGTGAGCTGAGATCGCACTACTGCACTCCAGCCTGGGCAACAGAGTGAGACTCTGTCTCAAATAAATAAATGAAATAAAATGAAAATTCACAGACTGCCATGAATATAATCTCCTTTCAAGCCAGAGAGATTCTGCAAGCAGGGCAATTAACATGCTTCTGGAAACACAAGATCAAGTTGTCTCCTCGCCAAAGAGAAAAACATACCAAGAAATGCCATAATTTTATATTGCTCCACATGGCCAGGTTGAATTTTTGTGGTATTTGTGAGATACTCATTAATAAAGCCACTAGCTCAGGATGAATTAATGATTTAGTACTTTACTCCTTAAAGTATTCTTAAGGCCTTAGGCTCAGCAGGCAGAGGGGAAAGGGAAGGACAGCCTGCATAGACATTAATCTTTAAAATACATTTGAGTGATCCAAAATGTATTTTACACACACACACCACAAAGAGCCAACGTAAAAATACAATAAAAATATTCATAATATGAATGGAGTGATGGTGTTCTTGGACTTGTAAAAATTTCTCTGAATTTAAAATAATCTTCAATTAGTGTATATAATTTTTCTAATCAGAAAGAATACTTTATTAATTGCCTATAGTCCCAGCACTTTGGGAGGCCCAGGTAGGTGGATGGCTTGAGCTCAGGAGTTCAAGATCAGCCTGGGCAACATAGCGAAACCCCATCTCTACAAGACATACAAAAATTAGCCGGGCATGGTGGCTTGTGCCTGTGGTCCCAGCTACTCAGGGGGTTGAGGCAAGAGGATCATCTGAGTCCAGGAGGTCGAGGCTGTTGTGAGCCAAGATTGCATCACTGCATTCTAGCCTGGGGGACAAAGTGAGACACTGTCTCAAAAAAAAAAAAAGACTATTTGATTAATCAAAATTTTGAAGGAGATCGTTGAGAGCTCTCTCTCTTGGTTCAGCCTCGCTTATCAGGTAGAAAAAGTGAAAGGAAGTTGAAAGGAGTGACTTAGTGTAGAAGGTGTTGAAAGAGAAAGTGACTTAACCAAGAAAATTATGAAACATAATTTAAATCCAGCTACTCAGTGCATAACATGAGCAGCACGTCAAGGAGAAAAAAAAAGCCACATAGAAAAAATGATGTTAAATTACTTACTACTGACTAACTCTGCACCTATTTCAAACTTGCCAGCTTGGGCTACAGGTCTTAGGAGAGCAGGTGCGGCCGGGCGCAGTGGCTCATGCCTGTAATCCCAGCACTTTGGGAGGCCAAGGCAGGCAGACCACCTGAGGTCAGGAGTTTGAGACTAGCCAGGCCAATATAGTAAAACCCCATCTCTAATAAAAATACAAAATTAGCTAGGCGTGGTGGTGCACGCACCTGTAATCCCAGCTTCTCAGGAGGCTGAGGCAGGAGAATTGCTTGAACCTGGGAGGCGGAGATTGCAGTGAGCCGAGATGGTGCCACTGCTCTCCAGCCTGGGAAACAAAGTAAAACTGTCTCACAAAAAAAAAAAAAAAAAGAAAAAGTAGAGCAGGCACGTTAAGATGTGCATGTGGTAGAAGGCTGTGGGGAGGACACATGCAGGTACCAGATAGTAAATTAACTAAATCTTGAAAATGTATCTCCAAGCATTACCATTTGAAAATTCATCAGGACTTCCTTCAAGGCTGCTGCTTCTCTCTGAATTAAAAGGGGAAACCCCAAACAATATTTGATTAGAAACAACTGTGATATGGAGCGATTTGTCAGTTTCAATTTTAGAGTAGGTTTTGCCGATTCCCGGCTGTCAGGTTGTTTCTACCTTTGCTGAATTCTTCATAGTCGTTGATTATCTTCAGCAGGCTCTTGTTGATTTGGGCACAGACTCTTTTCAGGATGTCCAACTTTCCTTCTCCCAGGATGACCCTCTTCTCCATCTCTATGAAAATATCCAGCAGGTTCTAAGAGGAGGAGAAATAAAGTTGGGAATCTGGATTGAGCCCTACTGGTTTTTAGATTAGATTTTTTTTTTTAATTTCCAATTTCTCCAACCAAGGACCTGCCCTTGCTTCCCAAGTTTCTGACAGTTTCTGCTGGTCTCTCACAGCCAGCAGGCTACTAGGGAAGCGATTCCATGTTTTCTGGCCCAGAAAGACAGAAGTGAGAGGATAAAGGAGAAGCCATGTCAGATGTCACCCAGTCCCCAGGCCCTGTGCTCAAATCTCCTGCGAATGCATTACTTGGGGACTGTGAAACAACCTGAGACAGCAGCCCGGTCATCATGGTGACACCCTGGGGAACAGCCTCACCCCCAGCATTGCCTCTCCAGACCTGAGTACATACAGACACACAGACACACACACACAGACACCACATGCACATACACACACAGATACAACACACACAGAGTATACTCAGTGATACACACACAGGGGCATAAATACAATACACACTACACAACACACAGACACACATACCACACAGAGAACACACACACAGAGATACACAGACACACACACCACTTATACAGAGACACACAGAGATACACATATCACACACAAATACAGACACACACTATACACAGAGAAAGGCACACACAGACACGGAAATACACACACAACACACAGACACAATATACACACAGAGTTTCAGGTCCCAGGTTGTTTCGGGGACTGCAGAAGTGGAGGAAATATCTCAGACCCACCGCAGTCTTTCCCAGCTCTGCCGGGTCTGGGCTGCATCTGCACAGCCTCCTTCTCCCGGCCTCTGACTCTGCCTTGCTCCCAATAATTAACATGAGCAGCACTTCGGTCTAAAGGAATCACATCTGTAACACTCGTGCTGACAACTTTCTTCTTCTAGTTAAAAAGTGAGAATCCAGGTTGCTTTTACCAAAATACCCCTCTCTTTGGTCTCAGAAATGCCCCCTGGCTAACCAAGTCTCAGGACTAAATCTCAGTAAGATACCAGGTCTTACCATGTCATCATCCAGTTTGCATTTGGAGATTTCCTCTTGCAAAAGAAACTTAAAAGACCTCAATTCTGATCTGCTCACTTCTTCTGAAATCTGATAGAGCATGACCCTGTGGTGGGAAATGGAGACACTTTAGAAATCTTTTCCCAAATAATTTCCCATTTGATATATGGAGTCACAGTGGGCTTGATTCCAAAGGCCTCCCTTCAACATAAAGCCAGTTAATGGCATGGTTTATGAGTTGAGCCCTTGGAAAGAGGCTGGTGTGGTGACACAGAAGTCTACTGGCTCCTCCCCGACTTTCCCACCCTTAACAATTTAAAGTTCTATCAACTTTTCTTTCAGTTTATTTCAGTTGAGTAAATCTTGTTTTCCTTTTTTTTTTTCTGTAAAATGGAGATTTTGTTGCAATAGCAAAATGCTTTGCCTTTTGGAAATTATGCTTTTCAAAATGCACATTGGCTCATGACTTCCCTAATCAAAACTGGTCAGTATTCTCCCAGTCATTATCTTCAGTAAGACGGCCAAGCATTCGGTTCTGGAATACAAAGTCTCCGAATACATCCCTATCACAGACCAGACCGCAAACACGAAAGGACCTGAAGCCAAACACACCCAGCTGCCCTGCCCTCACCCCTTTCTGTGGTGCCGCTACACCCCATCCCCTTGTCTATCTGCAGAGGCCCATCCATGAACAATCAGCTCAAGCATTGCCTGAGCATCCTCAAAGCTGCATTCACTCCACTATGACTTAGTAACCCCAAAACGATAACACACATAATTGTCTGTTGGCCTGGTGCAGTGGTTCATGCCTCTAATTCCAGCGCATTAGGAGGCCAAGGCAGAAGGAGGATCACTTGAGCCCAGGGGTTTGAGACCAGCCTGGGCAACATAGCAAGACCCCATCTCTACCAAAAACATTTAAAAATTAGCCGGGTGTGGTGGCATGCACCTGTGGTCCCAGCTACTCCAGAAGCTGAGGTGAGAGGATCACTTGAGCCCAGAAGGTTGAGGCTGCAGTGAGCTGTGATCATGCCACCACACTAAAAATAAAAACAGAAAATAATTGTCTGTTTAGAAACTGTTCAAGTCCCCTAGTGGCCAGGTCCGTACCCTTTTTATTTTCATAAACCCAGAGGGTTGTGAGGTGCAATGATTGAGCTCAGCGGACCCAGGCTATTGGTGTTGGAGCCTTGGTTCCACTATCTTTGAGCAGTGTTAACTTTAGACATGTTACACATTTTTTCCTCGTCCATAGACTGAAGATAATTATCCGTAACCACATCATAGGAAGGTTTCGAGGGTTACACAAATAAGTTTATGTGAAGTACTTAAATCAGTCTTTGGCAACACACTAAGTGCTCAATGAGTGATAGGTGTTACTATTTCCTAATCTATGCCTATCACATTTATGTGATTGGCACATTTAGGCTCTTGGAATATGCTTGTCGAATAGGTGAACAAAGGAATGTTTTAGAAGTCAGCAAACCTTTCAATACTATGGTGTAAAGGAAAATAATTTTAATACAAAAACACGTTGACTTTAAAATTTAATTAGAAAAGTAAAATTCTGAAAATAAAAATGGCGTAGAAACAGAAATTACTCAGTATTACCATCTGCCTTATCCCCCTTCTCATGGACTCTCTACCCTAGAAGTGTTTATCTAAAGCTTTCAGTTTGGCCAAAATTGGATCTAATCCAAAGCTACTCTGACTCTTTCACCTTTATTACAAGGTATTTACCCTTTTGCTTTCCTCATTATTGAAGCCTATAGGCTTTCTTGTACCATCACCATTTAGTAATGAACCTGAATAGTTTATAAGATCTTTATTTTATAGGTAGCAATTATAACTGGAAAATAAAATGTCTAGTGTTTTCTTATAATGGTAAGTGGTCACCCTAGCATATTTATTAGCTTCTGGCTAGTATTCAATGATAATGAACAAGCAGTAAGTCAGGATTGCCCGGACCCTTTTATCTCTAAGCCAATACATTAAAGATTTTAAGAGAGATCCTGCCTTATTAATAGATGATCGACCCTCCGCCAGAAAGGTACAGACTGTGTCTGGCACTGGCTGTTTGCTTCAGCCCAGCTCATGCGGCAGAAGTGGAACCTTCAAAGGACCAAGATGGTGGGCACAAGATGAGACCCCCCTCGGCTTTCCTTGTTCTGGGGCTGTGGGTTTTTAGGACTAACTGGCGCCTTAATGAATAAGTGCCTTATAAAGACTTCACAATGCTAGTAAACCAAAGCTATCTAGTGTACTGGTTGAATAGTGTTCTCCCCTCTTCCCCAAAATTCATGTCTATCTGGAATATGAGAATGCGACCTTATGTGGACCCAGGACGTTTGCAGATAAAATCTCATTAAGATGAGGTCATGCTGGCCAGGCGCAGTGGCTCATGCCCGTAATCCCAGAACTTGGGAGGCTGAGGTGGGCAGATTGCATGAGCCCAGGAGTTCAAGACTAGCCTGGGCAACATTTTGAAACTCCATCTCTACAAAAAAATACAAAAATTAGCCAGACATGGTGGCGGGTGCCTGTAGTCCCAGCTACTTGGGAGGCTGAGGTGGGAGGATTGCTTGAACCCAGGAGGTGGAGGTTGCACTGAGCCGAGATCATGCCACTGCACTCCAGCTTGGGCGATGTAGTGAGACACTGTCTCACACACACACACACACACACACACACACACACACACACACACACACAAAGATGAGGCCATACTGGATTAGGTGGGCCCTAATTCCTAATCCAGTGACTGTCTCATAAGAGGGAGATTTAGACACAGAGAAGGGAACATAGGCAGAGACTGCTGTGCCTCATCTACAAGACAAGGAGCACTGAGGATTCCTCCACCCACCCGAAGCAGGGAAAGGCATGAAAAAGATTATTCCTCGGAGCCTCTTAAAAGGGAACCAACACTGTTGGCATCTTGACTTCTGACTCAGGCCTCCAGAACTGTGAAAACACATTTTAAAAACTGTTTTAAACCTGCTAGTTTGTGTTACTTTGTTACAGCAGCCCTAGGAAACTTATATACCCAGAATATCTCTTTCTTTTTTTTTTTGAGACAGAGTTTCACTCTTGTTGCCCAGGCTGGAGTGCAATGGCATAATCTCAGCTTACTGCAACCTCCACCTCCTGGGTTCAAGCAATTCTCCTGCCTCAGCCTCCCAAGTAGCTGGGATTACAGGCGTGAGCCGCCACACCCAGCTAATTTTTGTATTTTTAGTAGAGATGAGGTTTCACCATGTTGGCCAGGCTAGTCTTGAACTCCTGACCTCAGGTGATCAGCTCTCCTCAGCATCCCAAAGTGCTGGGATTACAGGCGTGAGCCACCTCACCCGGCCCAGAATATCTCTTTTTTCACTTAAAATCAAAATGGTCAAGCCTTGGCTGGGCATGGTGGCTCACACCTATAATCCCAGCACTTTGAGAGGTCAAGGCTGGTGGATAACTTAAGGTCAGGAGTTCGAGACCAGCCTGGCCAACATGGTGGAACTCCGTCCTACTAAAAATACAAAATTAGCTGGGCATGGTGGCACACACCTGTAATCCCAGCTACTCAGGAGGCTGAGGCAGAAGAATCACTTGAACCCTGGAGGTAGATGTTGCAGTGAGCCGAGATCATGCCACTGCACTCTAGCCTGGGTGATGAAGCGAGACTCCGTCTCAAAAACAAAACAAAACAAAACAAAAAATAGTCAAGCCTCAAAACAAAAAATAGTCTCTGAGAATAGAAAGACCAGAGCATTCATGGGCTGAGCCATCAGAGGACAGCAGCTGTCAGCCCTGGTTGTGAACCCTTTCCATCTCACATGCCATAGTTATCAACAAGCAAACAGAGACAATGAAATGGGCCCAGAACGAAGACTTCAGTAGAAGTTTCCTGAAAGCAAAGCTAAAATTGCTTTAAGTAGTGTCCGATAATAGGAGATGTTGAAAGAGAGAAAGTGACAATGTGTTTCTGTTTTTAAAGTCTTGTCACAGCATCATGAAGTTGTAACTGAATGGGGTTTCTCTCTCACACCTTTGGTTACCCACTCTCCCTAGGGTGGGGAGAAGCTGAGTTTTACAGCCTTTGGCAGGATGACCCAACGTGCCACTGTCTTCCTATAGAAGCTTAGAACTGTCATACAGCCGGGCTCACAGGAACTGGGCAGCCTCGGTGGAGACTGCCTAGCTGTATGTGCCAGGCCAGCGGCTTACAGCTCCGTAAAGAACTTAGTCATTCGAGTCTTTAAGTGTGGCAGAAAACCCTTAAATCTCATTGAAAATTTTCATAGCCATCCGCAAGCAGGTGGGAGGGGGATTTCAGGGTGGGAAGCCATGATGCTTTACTCAATGGATGGGCAAAGTAAGCACACAATCTGGATATCGAGAGGCATCAAGATAAGAGAGGAAAAAAATGAGAACACTTAGAAAAACTCTATTATAACTTCAGCATACCTCTAAGTAATGTTTCACTTTGAAAAATAAATTTTTATTTTATGGTCTTAGCATTTCTATAGAATTATATATAAGGCCCCTAAATTTCTTAATCTGGCTCCGGTGGGACATCTTCCCAAAGCCTCCCAAGTGATACTGAATGTGGTTTCTCTCTCACGCCTTTGTTTACCCACTCTCTCTAGGGTGGGGAGAAGCTAAGTTTTACAGCCTTTAGCAGGACCACCCAAGGCACTACTGTCTTTCTGTAGAAGCTTAGAATTGTGGCACTGCTGGGTTCCCAGGCACTAGGCAGGGTACCACAAAAAAAAGCCCCAATCAGCTCAGAGGCTGTCCATTCAACCCACACCTCCCAGTCCCACAATGGGAGTTTCCACCCACCTGTAGGCAGAAATTTGAGCCCTGCCTGGTGTCTGAAGTTCCCTTTCCATCTCCTCCTTTCTAGTGTTTAGGTAGGTAATCAGCAAATCCAGTCTATTAATTCGGAAGAGCAGCTCCTTCAGGAAGGACAGATTGCTTTCCTCCAACATTCTCTTTTCCTGGAGTCTCTGGAATAACATCAAGGCATCCTTGATGGGTTCTTGCTTCCTTTGCGGAATGTAGTCCAGGCTCAGGAACTTGAGGGAGGCCAGATCTTCACTGTCCAGTTGTTCCCCAATATCATAAAGATTTCTGCTGAAGTCCATCTTTTTAAAAGGCAGGAGAATATAATCTAAGTCAAAATAAATGGTATGTTCAGATAAGGAAGAAAAGTACCATTTGCTGGCTTGTTCATCAAAGGCTACTGCAACTACTAGGTACTGGTCATTGTGCTGTCAGCACAGGAGAGAAAAAAAGAACACCAGACAAGTTCCCTCTTACTGTTTAGGAAGGTAGACATACAAACAAGCCAATGGGCTGGGCGCGGTGGCTCACGCCTCTAATCCCAACACTTTGGGAGGCCAAGGCAGGCGGATCACGAGGTCAGGAGTTTGAGACCAGCCTGACTAACATGGTGAAACCCCGTCTCTACTAAAAGTGCAAAAATTAGCCAGGTGTGGAGGCACGTGCCTGTAATCCCAGCTACTCAGGAGGCTGGGGCAGGAGAATCGCTTGAACCCAGGAGGTGGAGGTTGCAGTGAGCGGAGATTGCACCACTGCACTCCAGCCTGGGTGACAGGGCAAGACTCCGTCTCACAAAAAAAAAAAAAACACAAAAAACAAAAAAAACAAGCCAATGGTTAGAGGGTTGTGACCAGAGTGTGGTAGGGATGTAGAGGAAGAAACCTTAACTTAGCCTGGGAGAAGGGCTTCCTATGGGGAAGGGATTTTGGGGAGAATGCGAGAAAGCACAATTCTTACAGGAAACAATTAATGTAAAAGATGGAGGTAAGAACTTTCAAGTCCATTCAGGCAGGCACAAGGAGCTCAATAAAGTAACTACAAAGTGTCTGGGATGGAGAGTGATGGGACAAAGGGATGAAGCTCTAGCCAGGTACCATGTCACAAAGGGGCCGCATTACCATGGGGCGAGGGGTTTAGGCTTTGTCCTGGAGGTGATGAGGAGCTAAGAAAGGACTGTAAAAATGAGAATGACATTATCCAACTTGGAATTAACATTCAAAGTGCAAAGGACAGACTGGAAGACTTAGAAGTAGGGGACGTACTAGGACCTATTAGGACCAACCTCCCATTCAACCCCACCATCAATCCCCAAAGTCCATTATATCCCTCTGTATGTCTTTGCATCCTCATAGCTTAGCTCCCACTTTTAAGTGAGAACATACGGTATTTAGTTTTCGTTTTTTTTTTTTCTTTTGAGACCCAGTCTTGCTCTGTCACCCAAGCTGGAGTGCAGTGTCGCGATCTCGGCTCACTGCAACCTCCGCCTCCCAGGTTCAAGCAATCCTCCTGCCTCGGCCTCCTAGTAGTTGGGATTACAGGGACACACCACCACACCCAGCTAATTACCTAGAATAATGGCCTCCAGCTCCAAGATTAAATATTTTTAAAGTGACCTAAAGATTTTGAGTTTTTAAGTGACCCAAAACTTTTAGTTTTCAAAGTCTTACTTTCAAAAATATCCTTTCCTTCCATTCCCTGAAAGAAAATTTTTAAAAATCTTTTCCCCCTCCTGATTACAGCAGCAGTGGTTTTTTTGTGTGGAAATGGAAACCACAGAGGCTCTGGGGACTCATCCCCTACTCCCACCCCACTGCGATCATGTTTGTTCCCTGCAGGGAGCTGGCCCCCAGCCCTACCGGCGTCACCCTCCTGATGACAAACTACCCTCTCACTAGAATGGAAGCTCTGTGAGGGCAGAAACTTTTGCTGGTTTATTTTTTATTCTTATTTTTATTTTTGAGACAGGGTCTCACTCTGTCACCCAGGCTGGAGTGCAGGGCGCAATCTTGGCTCATTGCAACCTCCACCTCCCAGGCTAGAGCCATCCTCCCACCTCAGCCTGCTGAGTAGCTGAGACTACAGGAGCAAACTACCACACCAGGCTATTACTGGCTACTGTCTCAGGCTGCTGGCATGATAATTGTCTGGGCTTTCCTGAATGAATAGTAATAGCTATCTTAGACATGTTCAGTGTAGAAATAATCAGGTCTATTGCAAGTTGGCCAGAATTTCCAATAGATACTGCTAGCACGTGTCAATCGTTGCTCTAGGCCCTGGGAATGCAGTAAAATAAACCAACGTGGCCCAGGAGTTCAGGTCTACCCTGGGCAAGACCCCAGGTGGCAAGACCCCAGGTAGCAAGACCCCAACTCTTAAAAAAAAAAAGCAAAACCAAAACCAAAACAAAACAAAAAAACAGGTGGGTAATTTAGCCATCTCTGTCAAAATATAAAATTCACATAAACTGGCCCACAATTTAACTTCCAAGAGTTTTTCCTACATTCACTTAAACAAGTATACTCAAAACCATATATAAGGCTATTCATGGTAGCATTCCTTGAAATAACGAAAGAGCAGAAACAACTGTTTATCAGCATTAGAAGATTTAGGCAAGCTATTAATCATATTCCAGGGAACTCTATTTGGCTACTAGAAAGAATAGGAAGATCAATGTGGTTGAGCCTGCGTGATCTACATAATGTATTGATCAGTACATATTTTGTGTATTCACAGAAGAGCTCTGACAAAAAATGCACAGGAAGTTCCTTCAGTAATGTTAAAGAAAAGCAGAATTACACACAGATGTGGGCGTGCAGTGTGAGAAGGCTGATGGGTGGAGGTGACAGTGAGAGCTGCTTTATTTCCCATACCTTGCTGCACAGTTTGTACTGTTTGAATTTTTACCATGTACATGTATGACTTATTCTAAAACATATACCTAGTTAAAATCTTTATTTAAAGATCCATTCTTATTCACATGCTGGAAAAGATCTAAACTAGATCTAACCCTGTTTAGTGCCATTAGGTCAACTGTCTTTACAATTTTTAATGCATTCTAACCTCTGTTAAAGTCTCATCTTACAGAATAAAACCAACCAAAGAATCAAATGAAAGCAGGACTTCCTTTCCCCCATCCCTCAATTATTTTTTTCTGAGGATAACAATGCTTAGTGTATTCATTTTAGACAATACAGAAAAGATAAAAAGGAAAATTAAAATTATGTATAATTCCACCATCCAAATATAAATGCCCAGTAATATTTTACTCTTTCCTACCAAATATTTTATGCATACACATTTTTCCTTATATTTGAACACATCATATTTCTGTAGTATAAGTGGATTTTTCCACTGGTAAGTACATCTTGTATTGTAAGTACTTTCCTGTCTTTAGTTTTTCTTCTACAGCATGGGTTTTAATATCTGTAAGGCACTTAATCTTAGAGATGGGCTATAATTTACATAGCCAGTTCCTGATTACATTTAGGATGACTTTAAAACGCAAATCTTTAAGAATACCTCTAATTATTTTCTTAGAATAATTTCCTAAAAGTAGTATTATGGTGTCAAAATGAATAAACCTTTTTGAGGCTCTTGTTACACATTCAATAGCATTTTCTGACAGTATATAATAAAAATCAATACAATCCAAGGCTGAGATGACATGAATTTGGATATAATAAGATTGGCGCATAGCTCCGTCCTCCATAGCCATCTCATCTCACTCATTTCATTACCTTTTCAACAACGTGACAATGCTTTTTAAGTGGTTTCCCCATCAAATCATAACTGACATTTAGAAGGGAAAATGCTAACGTGGCTTCTTCTCTGGCCTAGGTGTTCCAGGATACACTGTCAGATGATAGTCAGCCTTTTCTGTTTTTTGTTTTTTGCTTAAGTTACACATCCCTCTAGTCATAGTACCTAGAAAACAGTCACTTGCAAAGGATTTATGACACCATTAACAACGGGCCATCCAGCACTGTAAGGGGAGAGACATCGTGTGGCAGTTCTTGTTTTATGGGACCTAGATTTTCTGCACTAGCTTATGGGCTAGAAACTTTGTTAAGCTAGTATTTTTTAAACAATGTACTTGTATTTTTGGTTCCTAAAAACAGTAAAAGTAACACTTGTTTCATAGAGAAAGTACAGAGAAGTATAAAAAGAAAATAAAAATTACTTAAAAACTTGCCATTTGGAAGTAATTCTTTGGTCACATTTTGTGGCCTTTTCCCAATTTTTTTTCCACATGTATATATAACATATGTAAATTTGAATATGTTGCCATGTAATACATATATTTTATATAATCTCTGCTAAATAGTAAATGTATATAAGTCTATTTGTATTACATAAGTATATTTATTATTTTATATATTTATGCCCCAAAGTATTTAAATATAAATATGTGTTTATAATAATCATATAAATAAATGATATATAAATGTTTGTAATCTATATATCCATATAAACATAAAAATATTTTTTAACCTCATTTCACTAAAAGCCTCTGAAGAAACTACTATTACTGTCCCCATTTTTCTGTTGTGAAAAATCACGGCTTGGAAATAAGCTAGTAAGAGAGAGAGCCACAGCCAGATTTAAGTGTCTCACTCAAGGGCTTCAGTGACAGATCACAAAGATTTAGACGTCATTCTACTTGCAGCTGGAAGGCAGTGAAAGAATCTCATGAAGAAAAACATAAAATCATAACTTTTTTAGAGAACAACATTTCAAAAAATTTTATAATAACAAAGCCACAAAAACAGAAGTTCTTAACAAATCCACTATAGGAGAGGGGGTTAGAGCCTCACAAAGGAAGTGCTAGAATCTAGGCCCCAGCATCTCATTCCAGAGTCCCATTCTACCACTGTATTACATGTCACAATTAAACTGTAAATACATTCCATCTCATCACAATCATTCCAGTAATATTCTAGCAGCATCCTAGCTCTTGCAGTGATAACTAAAAAGCAAAACATGCATTTGCCATCGGAAGCAGAAACCTGCATCTCATCCGAAGCTTGAGAGAACCTGAAAGCCACTCGCTCTCAGGCCCAAACCCCTAACCGGCAGGTAGTATTGCCACTCCCTCCAATCCAGGCTGGCTGCCTCAGACTGCGGGCTGCCCCGGAACCTGACAGACATCCATTCTGCACGCACATGATGTCCATAACAGGGCGCTGCAGCCACGGCATTCAAACAACCCAGCAAAGGTGTCCAAACCTCAGCAAAACATATAATCCCATCATTTTCAAACAGAATGAAACTTGCAACTTCACCTGTAAATTCTTAACCCCACAAGTGCAGGTCTCTGATTGTGTCTATCTAGTCTTCCCATTATATTGTTTTTTGAACTGTTCTGTATCTTTTTAATTTTTTTTTTTTTTTTTTTTTGAGACGGAGTTTCGCTCTTGTTGCCCAGGCTGGAGTGCAGTGGCACGATCTCGGCTCACCACAACTTCCACCTCCCAGGTTCAAGCGATTCTCCTGCCTCAGCCTCCCGAGTAGCTGGGATTACAGGCATGCGCCATCATGCCCGGCTAATTTTGTATTTTTAGTAGAGACGGGGTTTCTTCATGTTGGTCAAGCTGGTCTCAAACTCCCGACCTCAGGTGAACCACCGCCTCGACCTCCCAAAGTGCTGGGATGACAGGCGAGAGCCACCACGCCCAGTCTTTTTTAATTTCTTTAAAAAATAAATAATTGAATTAGTAGGACCACATGGGTGTGTTTGTGTGTATGTGTGTGTGCGTTTATGTTGGCAAGTGTGTATGTTGGTGGGTATGTGTGTTGGTGGGAGGATAGCTGTAGCAGCAAAGTCAGTAGAGATTTAAATTTTGGCTTCTATTATTTCACAAGTTTGACTGGGATCAGGATGAGGCCTTTATACAAGTAGTTAAACTTGCAGCATTTCAGAAGCTCCTAGGACTTCATCAGTCTAAGCTAGAATGGCCTTCAGATCTGGAAACTGCACGGCCCTCGGCAAGGCTCTCAGAGGGACTGCTACCTCTTACACTAACTTCATGGTTTCCCCATCCACACTCACATACGAGGATCACCTCCATGGCCCCAGGGCCACCCGATCTCACTCTCAGCAGCCTAGAAAACTCCAGAATCAAAGGCCTTCCTCCCAAAAGGCCCCTCTGACCTTAACAAAGAGGCAAATCCTTACCTTACTCTCACGATGGTAGCACCTTCGTCACAGGCCTATCCACTACCATCTGAGCATCTAAGACAAGAGCAAACGTCTAATGAAGGACGGAAGGGCACAGCCAGCCAGCTCTACTTCCTGTTTCGAAACTCCTGAGTCACAAACACTAGAGGGGAAAGAGCGCTTACCACTTGCCCCTGAGTGAGCAGAGTGCCTTCTAAAGCTTCTAAAGCTGCAGGAAAAAGGCCTGGTGGTCCAGGAGACCGCACGCAGGGCACCTGGCCACCTGAGCACTGGCCCCTGGCTGTGACTTTGGATGGGCCATTTTACCTTTGGGGCCTCATTTCCACATTCCAAAACAAGGACGTTGGACTGGATTGTAACTAAGAACACTTTCATTTCATATTTAGGATTTAAAGATTTTTCTGGGTTCATCATTAAGACTTTAATTTTTTCATTCAATGAATCTTGATGGAGCACCTCAGAGAGGTCTTGAGATTGGACACTGCAGAGCCCTCTCATCTTGGTTCTCAGGGTGGCTGTGAACTTTCAGAGCTAAAGCCCCTGGTTTAGCCAAGGAGCATCTCTGTGGCCCCAAGGTCACCAGATTCCACCCTCAGCAGCCTAAAATACTCTAAAATTAAAAAAAAAAAAAAACTCTAAAAAGAAAAAACTCTAAAATGAAAAACCTCTAAAAAGAAAAAACTCTGAAATAAAAAAATTCTAAAATGAAAAAAATCTAAAAAGAAAAAACTCTAAAATGCAAAAACTCTTTGGTAAGATGGTAAGTCCATCTTACCAAAGGTGATCCTTGTATATGAGTGTAGCTGAGGAAACCATGAAGTTAGCTGAAAGCTGGGTTTACCATCTTATCAAAGAAGCAAATCCTGGGGCCCTCACCATGTTGGGCTCTAGGGATATACCAGTAAACAAAATATTGCCTTCATACTGAGAGTTAGATGAAATGTTTTCTGATATTAAAAGTAGGAAAAGAAAATCAAACACCTCTCTTCTTTGAAACTGCCTTTTGTCTTTCCCCAAATAGAATATAAGCTTTCAGAGGGTAGGGACTCATAGCTGAGAAGACTGAACGAAGTATCTGAAAAGGACTCTTCACCAGAGAGGGCTAGGTCAAGATGGCCTCATAATATCAATGCCTGGATGGCCACCGTGGCTCATGCATGTAATCCTAGCACTTTGAGAGGCCAAGGTGGGAGGATCCCTTGAGCATAGGAGTTTGAGACCAGCCTGGGCAACAAAATGAGACACCATCTCTATGAAGAAAAATTTTTTAATTAGCCAGGTGTGGTAGCACGCGCCTGTGGTCCCAGCTAATCTGAAGGCTGAGATGGGAAAATTGCTTGATCCCAGGATGTTGAGGCTGCAGTGAGCCGTGATTGCACCACTGCACTGCAGCCTGGGTGACAGAGCAAGACTTTGTCTCAAAAAATAAATAAATAAAAAAGAAATAGAAACAGAATGAGCAAAATAAAATACCAATAGTATTAATATGCAATAATAATTGCTAACTCGTGTAGTAAGTGATGTATGCGTATTATCTCCTTCAAGCCTCACAGTCACCTCTGGAGGCATTATTAATCATTTAATGATGAGATAACAGAGGCACAGAGGAATTACTTGCCTGAGATCGCATAGTTAAAAAACAGTGTACACATACAAAAGAAAAATACATTTTGCAAAGATACAGATAAATTCACGAATCCACATCAAAACATTAGAGAACTGTCTTTGGGGAACAAGAGAGAGGGCAGGAGGGCAAGGGTGGGGGTGGAGAGATAAAAGGAAACCCTTCAGACACGGAAGAGGGGGAAGGGGCTGTGCACCTCAGGGCATCGTGATTCGACAGAATGACAGAATAAAGTACTTAACCGTCGGCCCCAGGGCCAAATGAAAAAGAAAAAAAAGTGGATTGATAAAGTCTTCTGGACTCTCCAAACGGGTCCACAGGAGGGAGACCGTGTATCTGCATTCGAGGCGGCAGGGAAGCTTGGAGGACAAAAAGGTAGCAGAGGAACTGGAGACTGCTCAGAGTGAAAAAGTAGCAAAGTCAGAGGCAACGGCTCAGAGAGAAACCACACAGGAGACCTGGGCCAGGCAGCACCCAGAGGTGTCCTCAGAAGGGCAGATCCAAGTTGCTTCCCCACCCCCACAGCCCTGTTTCTAGAGCAAGTCAAGAAACAAAAATATTGTGGTTTCCTGTTGAAGAGGCCACCTTGGCAACAGGCACTCACCCGCTCCACCCTTTCCTGGCACCATCGCAGTCTCCGAGTCCCCTAACCTGCCTAACTCCACGTGCTCAGCAGGGAAGGGGGTGGGAAAGGCTCCCAGGAAGAAGTTTCTTTTACTTTCAATAACCACCCTGGCTCTTCTGCCTCCCTCCATGGCCTCACTTCCTGTTGAGTTGACTAGCAAATTCAGCAGGGCTTGAAAAAAAACACAAAAGATAAAAGGAGGAGAACCTGTGAAAACACTTCCCTCCAGCAGAAAGGCAGAATCTGGTCTCCGAGAGAAAGAGAAAACTTCACCACAGAAGGAACTGCAGGGTAAACTTTACTCCTAAAGCAGAACAGAGATGACTCACTCGAACAAGAAATGTTTCCTGTTTAAAGGAACAGATGCCCAATTTCCAACCATTCAGAAGAGGGATGTGGCAGACAATTCATGGACGTGCAAACTAAAGCCCGAGCGCTGGACATGCTTTATTGGAAAGCATTTATACTGACTCCATTTAGTAATAATAACCCCTGTCGGTGGCAAGTAATATGCCATTCTTTCTTGCAAAGGGTCTGGGAATAGGAAGTTTCCCTTTGCCTTGATCAAACCTCAGCACTGAAGTCACAGACCAGCCCTCTCCTCCCTCCCGCCGGACTGGGTAAAGCCAGCCCTGTAGCTGAAATGTAGGTAGATTGTTCAGAAAAAAGGAGGAAGTGTTCTGGCTCAGCCCTACTTGGCTTAGCCCTGCTCGGCTCAGCCCTGCTCAGGCTGAGTTCCCATCCTTGGCCATGTTCTCCAGTTTAGTTGTAACCCGTGTCTTTGTAGCATTGATCCTGGAGTGTTGGTGCTACTGAGGTCTGTTCTCCAAAGCTCTGAGCCCTAGACCCTCCCCTGTTCTCTCATTTTTTTTTTTTTTTTGAGACGGAGTCTCGGTGCGTTGCCCAGGCAACAGTACAGTGGTGCGATCTTGACTCACTGCAACCTCCACCTCCTGAGTTCAGGTGATTCTCCTGCCTCAGCCTCCCGAGTAGCTGGGACTACAGGCACCCACCACCACCCCCGGCTAATTTTTGTATTTTTAATAGAGATGGGGATTCACCATGTTGGTCAGACTGGTCTTGAACTCCTGACCTCAAGAAATCCACCCGCCTTGGCCTCCCAAAGTGCTGGGATTACAGGCATGAGCCACGGTGCCCAGCCCCTCCCCTGTTCTCTGCCATCTGCCTCTCTTTCCCATTTGAATTTTTTGTTCGGGGGACGGAGTTTCGCTCTTGTTGCCCAGGCTGGAGTGCAATGGTGCCATCTCGGCTCACAGCAACCTCCGCCTCCCGGGTTCAAGCGATTCTCCTGCCTCAGCCTCCTGGGTAGCTGGGATTACAGGCATGCGCCACCATGCCCGGCTAATTTTGTATTTTTAGTAGAGACAGGGTTTCTCCATGTTGGTCAGGCTGGTCTCAAACTCACGACCTCAGGTGATCCACCCGCCTCGGCCTGGCAGAGTGCTGGGATTACAGGCATGAGGCAGCGCGCCCAGCCATGAATTTTTAAAAAGGGTTTTCTGCCCTTTTGCTTTCACATCTTGTACATTTTATAACCAGAACACCAGCAATAACACATTACCTATATGTTGCACCTTGACATGAACTATCTCTAATTCTGGCAGCAGAATTCTCTAATTCAGGGTATTGTTCTCCCATGTTATGGATGAGGAAACTAAGACTCAGACAGTTACATGGAGTCAAACTCAGTCCTGCTGAGCCAAAAACAGAGATTTTTCTATGACATACTAACTCCCTTTCTCCAACACTTCAAATTTGGAATGAATCATGTGGATGGAAGAGCAACAAATTTAAACTAATAGTGACTGGTGCATAAAGGGCAGAAGGTCCTTGGTTTCTCAGTCACCTAACAAAAAGGAGTTGGCCTAATAAAGGCACAAGCTAATACTTATCAAACCATTGGCGTATGCCAGACACAGCCACCTAAACTAGCTCATTTCCACTTCTGAACAGTTCTCAGAAGTGGATGCTACGATTGGTCCCATTTTATGGATGAGGACACTGAGGCTTAGAGAGGCTGAAAGACTTGGCCACGCTCAGTCAGTGAGTGACAGAATAAGGTCTGTTTGTCTCTAAAACCCTGAGTGGTTAGTCACCACCTAAACATTAATGCATAGCCATGAATCTCAATCTGACCCACCTCAGAATTAACTGTAACATTTCTAAAAATATGAGTCTTCCAGCTCCAGCTTTGGAACTCCTATCTGAGCAAAACTGTGGGAGATAAAACAGCTGGAGCACTTAGAATAGTGCCTGGGCCTTCCACATTTCTCAATAAATAGGCTGTGGGTGCAGTGGCTCACACCAGTAATCCCAGCACTTTGGAAGACCAAGGCAGGATGATCGCTTGAGCCCAAGAGATCGAGGCCAGCCTGGGCAACATAGGGAGACACTGTCTCTGCAGAAAATTTTAAAAAATTAGTCAGTTATGGTGGCATGCATCTGTTGTCTCAAGCTACTCAGGAGGCTGAGGTGAGAGGATAACTGGAGTGTGGGAGGTCAAGGCTGCAGTGAGCTATGATCACACCACTGCACTCCAGCCTAGGTGACAGAGCGAGGCCCTGTCTAAATAAATAAATAAACAAATAAATAAATATTCACTACTATGTTATTTAAGCTCACAACATCTCTAAGATGGCTATAAATTATTAGGCTTACATACAGATGATGCAATTAAATGCAACATCAATTAGCTGACAAATGGCAGGGCCAGTGCATGAACTCAGGAGTGTCTCACTCAAAAGTTTCTGCTCTTAGCCCCTGTACACATCTCCCTGCATGTACCCAGGCCCAGCCTAGCAGAAATGGATGATCTGCTGGAGGCATCTGAGGAGCAGTACTGAGAATGGGGGGAGCAGGGTAGGAGTGGGAGTCTCAGGGCTTCAACTTGTGCCATTTGTAAGGCACTGACCCTAGATTCTCCCAGTGTGTGTGTATATATATATGACTGATAAATGAATTATGGCCAGGCACAGTGGCTTACCCCTGTAATCCCAGCGCTTGAAGAGATTGAGGTAGGCGGATCACTTGAAGCCAGGAGTTTGAGACCAGCCTAGCCAACATGGCAAAACCCCATCTCTACTAAAAATACAAAAAAATTAGTTGGGCATGGTGGCATGTGCCTGTAGTCTCAGCCACTCAAGGCACGAGACTCACTTGAGCCCAGGAGGCGGAGGTTGCAGTGAGCCGAGATGACACCATTGCACTCCAGCGTGAGTGACAGAGGGACACTCCGTCTCAACAAAAATAAAAAGTGTTAATAAGTGAATTATAAACCTCAGGTTGGTTGAATTCCTATTGTGAAGCACAAAGATCATTATTACTTCATTTGCTGTAACCAACTTCTCACCCTCATCTTGAGACATGTGCCTGTGTGACTGTTTATATCAGAATTAATAATGTGCATGGTCCTTAGTCCCAGGGAAGCTGAAAGATCCGGAGGTGTTGCTGGAGCTGCAGGGACATGGAGAGCTGGCTCCTGCCCAGCACAGAATGAGGACAGGTCTGCTTTGACTCAATCTCCAAGTGGTTTCCACCCTCTAGAATCTCAGCTCCCACCTGGAGGCCTGGTCCTGAGACTACTGTGTCTCCTACCATGTCCACCAGCCGGCTGAAAGCAGATTTGGACCTGTAAGTGTCCCTAAAAAAGCCAAGAAAGACCAAACCTCAGCTCAACTGCAACACACCCTTCCCATTCATCTTGATGTGACACCCTTCAAAGATAAACACTCACAGTGAAAGCAAAATCCCCTGAATGTGCATGCCCTTTGTTTGTTGCCAATGTGGGAGTTTGTATATAACCCATGGGCCAGGATGGTGTGGTTTGTGGATTCAACGGGGCCGCTCCCCTTTCCTTGACTGGCAGCTGGCCTTGGCTACTGCCCTAGACTCCTCCTCCAGAGCGTGGCAAGGGAAGGGAAAACAGATTCCATTCACATCTATCTCATTCCTTTCTGGGCCTTGTAGGGAGAGGCTCAAAGAGTTGTCTAAGACAAAGATTTTAGCAACTGGGATTTTAAGTTTTTCTTTTGGTATTAAAATGATCAGACAGTCATGGGGCATTTACAGTTACTGACCTCAATCTGCATACTCTGCAGCTTGTTGATTGCCAATACCTACCCCTTCTGCTTTCTCAGAAAAACTACTGCAGACATGAATCCGTACCACGGATTTAGAAAGGAAGAAATTGAGTTTGTTAGACTCTGATTCCAATATTCATGTCACTGACCTAGCTTTTCCAGAATTTTTTTTTTTTTTTTGAGATGGAGTTTTGCTCTTGTTGCCCAGGCTGGAGTGCAATGGTGCAATCTCGGCTCACCGCAACCTCCGCCTCCTGGGTTCAAGCGATTCTCCTGCCTCAGCCTCCCGAGTAGCTGGGATTACAGGTGTGTGCCACCACACCCAGCTAATTTTGTATTTTTAGTAGAGACGGGTTTTCTCCATGTTGGTCAGGCTGGTCTCGAACTCCCGACCTTAGGTGATCGACCCACCTCGGCTTCCCAAAGTGGTGGATTACAGCTGTGAGCCGCTGCGCCTGGCCCAGAATTTTCTTAAAGGTTTGGGCATAGAAGAGGTGAGGATCCCCAATATTCTTGAGGCACTATATGCCCATACCCAAGAAATGGGGCACCTCAGACGCTAAGAATAATTGTCAAGAACCATCTTTTAAAATGTATTAATTGTGGTAAAATATATATACCATAAAATTTACCATTGTAACCAGTTTTAAGTGACATCAAGTACATTCACGTCGTTATGCAACCATTCCCACCACCCAGGAGTCACTTTTAATGATATAATAACAGTGCATTTGTTAAGCACTGTGCAGTTTTAAAGCATTTTCCCTATTTTATATCATTAGATCCTCACTGGTAACATTTTTTGGTCTCAGGGGTAGAAGAGCATGTGTCTTACAGACAGGAAGACGTTGAAGAAACGAAAGCTCAGAAAAGTGAAGTGACTCTGAAGGGCCTACATAGCTACTGTAACCTACATACAGCACTAGTGACTGTTTCTTAAAAAAAAAAAAAAAAAAAAAAAAAAAAAAGATCAGGCTAGGTGCAGTGGCTCACATTTATAATCCTAGCACTTTGAGAGGCTGAAGTGGGAGGATCACTTGAGCTCAGGAGTTTAAGATCAGCCTGGGCAACATACTGTCTTTACCAAAAATCAAAAAAATTAGTCGGGTGTGGTGGTGCAGTGGTGGTGCACACCTGTGGTCCCAGCTACTCAGGAGGCTGAGGCAGGAGGATTGCTTAAACCCAGGAGTTCAAGGCTGCAGTGAGCTATGATTGCATCACTGCACTCCAGCCTGGGGGACGGAGCGAGCCCCTGTCTAAAACAAAAAAAAATCAGATGTTGGGAGGGTTATTCCCTGAAACAGATATTTTCTCCATTAGGTTTCACTCCTCACTTTCTGTAAAGAAAATTCCTTTTTTTTCCCCCTCCATAATAAGTGGATTTTAAGAGTATCTGTGGTAGTAACAAAACACATTCACTACAAAATGAATTAGGCAATTATTTCTTTCCTCAAAACTGTTAGTGATAACACCACGTATTCTCAGTAGATCTAGAAGGTGGGTTATAAAATTAACTTTTCGTGGTTTACAACATATGACACAAAATCCTAGTTTCTGAGAAAATGAGTCATCTCTCACCTGACATGACATGTTGTTGTGGGGGACCAGATGTTCTTTGAGATCCCCCTTCAAAAGATACAGTTAAGAGTGAAGAGACAAACCACAGATTGGGAGAAAATGTTTGCAAAACAAAAGACCGTTACCCAAAAGCGTACAAAGAACTCTTAAAACTCAACCATACTGGTGGATCACGAGGTCAAGTGATCCAGACCATCCTGGCCAACATGGTGAAAGCCCGTCTCTACTAAAAATACAAAAATTAGCTGGGCATGGTGGCACACACCTGTAGTCCCAGCTACTCGGGAGGCTGAGGCAGGAGAATTGCTTGAACTTGGGAGGTAGAGGTTGCAGTGAGCCAAGTTCATGCCACTGTACTACAGCCTGGTGACAGAGCGAGACTCTGTCTCAAAAAAAAACAAAAACAAAAACAAAAACCATGCTGTTATCCAAAAATATACAAAGAACTCTTGACACTCAACAATAACAAAACAAACAACCCAATTGAAAAGTGGGCAAGAGATCTGAACAGATACCTCACCAAAAACATATACAGATGGCAAATAAGCATATGAAAAGATGTTCAACATCATATGTCATTAGGGAATTGCAAATTAAAACAACAGTGAGATACCACTACATATTTGCCAAAATTGCTAAAATCCGAAACACTGACACCACCAAACATTGGCAAGGATGTGAAGTAACAGGAACTCTCATTCATTACTCGTGGGAATGAAAACTCATACGGACACTTTGGAAGAAAGTCTGGAAGTTTGTCATGAAGCTTTTTTTTTTTTTAGACGGAGTCTCACTCTGTCTCCCAGGCTGGAGTGCAACGGCAAGTGTGATCTTGGCTCACTACAGCCTCTGCCTCTGGGTTCAAGCGATTCTCCTGCCTCAGCCTCCCAAGTTGCTGGGATTACCGGCATGACCACCACGCCCAGCTAATTTTTGTATTTTTAGTAGAGACAGGGTTTCACCATGTTGGTCGGGCTGGTGTTAAACTCCTGACTTCAAATAATACACCTGCCTCCGCCTCCCAAAGTGCTGAGATTACAGGTGTGAGCCACTGCGCCTGGCCATTTTTTTTTCTTTTTTTTTTTTTTTGACACAGAGTCTCACTCTATTGCCCAGGCTGGAGTGCAGTGGCGCCATCTTGGCTCAATGCAACCTCCACCTCCCAGGTTCAAGCGATTCTCCTGCCTCAGCTTCCTGAGTAGCTGGGATTACAGGCACACGCCACCACGCCCAGCTAATTTTTGTATTTTTTTTAGTAGAGATGAGGTTTCACTGTGTTAGCCAGACTGGTCTTAAACTGCTGATCTCAGGTGATCCCACCTCAGCCTCCCAAAGTGCTGGGATCACAGTCATGAGCCACCGCGCCTGGCCAAAGCATATGCTTACCGCAAGATCCAGCAATCACGTTTCTAGATATTTACCCAAATTGAACATTTATGTCCATGCAAAAACCTGCACATGAATGTTTATACCAGCTTTATTCATAATTCATAACTGCCAAAAGTTGGAAGCAACCAAGATGTCCCTCAATAAATGAATGGATAAACTGTGGCACATCCATACCATAGATTATTATTCAGCAATAAAAAGAAATGAGCTATCAAACCACGCAAAGGCATGGAAGAGCCTTAATTGAATGTTACTATGTGAAAGAAGGCAATCTGGAGAGGCTACATACTGTATGATTCCAACTATGTGACATTCTGATTAAAACTATAGAGACAGTGGTTGCCAGGGACTCAGGGGAGGAAGTGTGAATAGGTTCAGCACAGGGGATTTTTAGGGGAGTGAAATTATTCTGTACAATATTGTAACGGTTCTACATGGCATTATTCATTTGGCAAAACCGGTAGGATGTACACCAAAAGTGAACCCTAATGGAAACTATGGAACTTTAGTTCAGAATAATTTATTGATGGGATTCAGGACGTGCTACCACAAAATATGGCACCACGACTGACATGGTTTGGATTTGTGTCCTCACCCAAACTCATGTCCAGTTGTAATTCCTAATGTTGGAGGCGGAGCCTGGTGGGAGGTGATTGGATCTTGGGGGTGGTTTCTAATAGTTTAGCACCATCCCCACAGTGCTGTTTGCATGATAGAATTCTCATGATATTCTGGTTGTTTAAAAATATGTGGCACCTCCCCGCTCTCTTGCTTCCCCTGCTCTAGCCACATGAGATGTCTCGCTCCCCCTTTGTCTTCCACCATAATTGTAAGTTTCCTGAGGCCTCCCCAGAAGCCAAGCAGATGCCAGCATCATGCTTCCTATACAGTCTGTGGAACCATGAGCCAATTAAAACTCTTTTCTTTATAGATTGCCCAACCTCAGGTATCTCTTTAGAGCAATGCAAGAACAGACTAACACAATGACATATTGAATATTTTAAGGTGAAGGAATTTGCAAAAGCAGCATGTGCAGGAAGGGTTTTCTGACCTTCTCCTGAAGCCAGGTCATAAGACCCTCAGGTGAGAGATGCCCTCCCTATACCTGGTGGTATCTGTGAAGACAAAGGGACACAGAGAGGAATCTAACTAAACAAACGGGCCTTGATAAGCTTCTGCCAGCGGACTACACTTACTTCAAACTCTTTGCTCTATCATATCCTCCACAACTGTCCACCCTTTATCAAACCTACATCAAACTGTAACTGCTTCTTGGAGTCTTCATTTCCTTATAAAGGCTTCCATGTCACATAAAACTTAAATATGTTTATGCACTTTTCTCTTATTAATCTGTCTTCTGTTATAGGGTTCTCAGCCATGAACTTAGAAGGGTAGAAGGAAAACAGATTTGCCCTCCCCTACAATATCAATATTGGTTCATCACTTGTAACAAATGTACCACACTAATGCAAGATGTTAATAACGGGAAAGTGTGGGGAGGGGAGAAGTGTAGGAGGCAGAGGGTATATGGGAACTCTCTACTTTCTGCTCTTTCTTTTTTTTTCTTTCTGAGACAGGGTCTCTCTCTGTCACCTAGGCTAGAGTGCAGTGGTGTGATCTCAACTCACTGCAACCTCCGCCTCCCGCGCTCAAGCGATCCTCTCGCCTTAGCCTCCCGAAGCCAATCTGATTAAGCTAATCTGTTAAGACTCAACAATAAGAAAACAACCCGATTGAAAAGTGGGCAAGAGGTCTGAACAGACACCTCACAAAAAGATACGCAGATGGCAAATAAGCATATGAATAAGCTGGGACTACAGGTGCATACCACCATGCC
Organism: Homo sapiens; assembly: GCF_000001405.40. NCBI lineage: Eukaryota > Metazoa > Chordata > Mammalia > Primates > Hominidae > Homo > Homo sapiens. The sequence continues at coordinate 201,249,457 of NC_000002.12, read as the reverse complement.
CAGCTAATCTGCTCTGTTTTTTCTCTAAACCTGAAACTGTTCTTAAAAAATAATCCATTAATTTTTTAAAGTCTCACACTCTATTCTCACTTGATACATGGGTAAAGGTGACAATGAGGTGAAGTGAAAAAAGGATCGTCTTTATAGTAAATAACGACAGATCAACAAGATAGCCATATAAAAATAAAATGAGCCTTGATTTCCTACCCACACAAAATTCAAATCCAGATGGATAGTCAATCTAAATATAAAAAGGAAGCAATTGACCAGGGCGTGGTGGCTCACACCTATAATCCCAGCACTTTGGGAGGCCAAGGCAGGTGGATCACCTGAGGTCAGGAGTTGAAGACTAGCCTGACCAACATGGCAAGACCCCCACCTCTACTAAAAATACAAAAATTGGCTGGGCATGGTGGGGGGCACCTGTAGTCCCAGCTACTCAGGAGGCTGAGTCATGAGAATTGCTTGAACCCAGGAGGCAGAGGTTGTAGTGAGCCAAGATCGCAGCACTGCACTCCAGCCTGGGCAACAGAGTAAGACTCTCTCAAAAAAGAAGGAAGCAGTAAAACTTTATGAGAAATCCTAAGAGAATGTCTTTATGATATTGGAGTAGACAAAAACTCAAAAAGGACACAAAAAGTGCTGACCATAAGGGGAAAAAACCACCAACAGGACCATTTTAGAATTAAGAGCTTCTTTTCAGAAAAATGATACCATTAAGAGAGTGAAGAGGCAGGCTAGAGAATAGGAGAGGAAATGCTATGATAGAGAGCAATCTCCAACATGTGTTGGTAAGTGAAAAAGGGGTGTGGCAGAACAGCATGGATAGAACAGTGAACAGATAACGGACAAAAAGAGCGGCCACTAGAAATTACACAATGGTGTCTCCTCTGCATCTCAGCCCTTTAATAGATCAATAGTACCAAAGTGAAAACACTTTCAACAAATTTCTGAAGGAAAATTTGCATCTTGTTTTCAGTTGAGTATTAACTGAAAGTCTCACTCAGGCTGAAAACCTAAATTGATGATGTTGCTACTTGGGATAGTCCATTACAGTCGCCTCCATTGTCAGCTGCATCCGCACCTCATCTGGACGGACATTCACTCGGTACACAAGGTGGATGCTCATCAAAGCCCCCTTCTGCTGGGGCCTTCCTGCAACCAGCTACACTCAAGGACCCCTGCACTCGATCCACCCACAGGTCGTGGTTCCTCAGGATTTTCTTGCCCTACTCCCTATTATATTGTTCTGGATATTTTTCTTTACCTGCTTAATTACCGAAATAGTAGAAAAAGCGAGAGATTTAATTACTATACTAAAGAAGTGGAAAGTTTTAGCCTCAAAAGTCAAGGCTGTCATTCACTAATAGGTGGTGCTGTCCAGGCACAGTGACTCACACCTGTAATCCTACCAATTTGGGAGGCTGAGGCAGGTGGATCACTTGAGGCCAGGAGTCCAAGACCAGCCTGACAAACATAGTGAGACCCCCATCTCTACTAAAAATACAAAAGTTGGCCGGGCGCAGTGGCTCACGCCTGTAATCCCAGCACTTTGGGAGGCCAAGGCGGGCGGATCACGAGGTCAGGAGATCGAGACTATCCTGGCTAAAACAGTGAAACGCTGTCTCCACTAAAAATACAAAAAATTAGCCAGGTGTGGTGGCGGGCACCTGTAGTCCCAGCTACTCGGGAGGCTGAGGCAGGAGAATCCCTTGAACCCGGGAGGTGGAGGTTGCAGTGAGCCGAGATCGCACCACTGCACTCCAGCCTGGGCAACAGAGCGAGACTCCATCTCAAAAAAAAATACAAGAATTAGCCAGGAATGGTGGCACACGCTTGTAGTCCCAGCTACTTGGGAGGCTGAGGCATGAGAATCACTTGAACCTGGGAGGCAGAGGTTGCAGTGAGCCGAGATCACACCACTGCATTGGGCAACAGAGTGAGGCTCTGTTTCAGGAAAAAAAAAAAAAAAAATAGGTTGTGCTAATGAGGATTCTGAGAAATCCTGCAGCCCCTGGGGAAATGTGGAGCTGAGGGTCAAGGTCACAGACAGAAGGAAGGCGCCTTCAGCATGGATGCTATGGGGACCCAGTGAGCTCTCAGTAGGCTCCAGAAGCAACCTAATTCACATACATGCAGTTAAAAGAAAAGTCTCACCCTGATGTCCCAGTGGCCACCAGACACACATCCTCAACAGCCTAGATAATTCTAGAATCAGATAGATTTCTTCCTAAAATTCTTCTTTTTTTTTTTTTTTTTTTTTTTTTGAGACAGACAGTCTCACTCTGCCGCCCAGCCTGGAGTGCAGTGGTGTGATCTTGGTTCACTGCAACCTCCACCCCGCCAGCTCAAGCAATTCTCCTGCCTCAGCTCCCTAGCAGAATACAGGCGCCTGCCACTGCACCCAGCTAGTTTTTGTATTTTTAGTAGAGACAGGGTTTCACCATCTTGGCCAGGCTGGTCTTGAACTCCTGATCTCGTGATCCACCCACCTCGGCCTCCCAAAGTGCTGGGATTACAGGAGTAAGCCACTGTGCCCAGACAACTTCTTCCTAAAATTCTAAGCAAATCTTACCCAAGGGCAATTGCAGCTCCTTTCTTGCTCCTCCCTGGCCCCCCAAAATTCCAAAAAACAATGAAAGTCAAATGAAGAACATTTTGCGTTCCAGTTGACACAACTTTTGGGATTTTTGCAGACAGAACAGACTCTTAGCAAAGTGGTGTGGGAGGGTTGGGATCTGAGCAGGACATGCAGTTCACATTTTTTCAAAGCCTCAGGACAGATCCTGGTGTGGAATGGTGAGAATACAGGCTGGGGAGTCAGTCAGCTGAACTGGGGGTGAGGGTGGTCGATTCAGGTCTTAGTCCAACTTCCAGATTTCCAAATGTGAGAAATTAGACTAGAGGTTGTCTAAGAACACTTTCTGTCCAAACATTTGATGATTGCATAATAATATGTTTTTTTCACTCAAGTTCTCATCTTATTTTTCTTCTGCAATTCTAGTGTGTGTGGGGATGGGGGTGGACTTCCAGTTCCGAGACACGATGGCATAGATTCACTTTTCCCTGCTTCTCCCCTCTAAGGACACCTAAATACCCTGGGAATAAATCAACAGACAATCACACAACCCTGAGAGGTGGAAAGTAGAGGCAGACTGGCGGGGGACCCAGAGGCAGGAACAACACCCTGTTTTGTGCCCTGGGCTGTCTTTTTATTCCCACACATGCCAGACTGAAAACGAAAGAGGCCTGCAATCCAGAACCACCAACAGGCCTAAATTAGAAAGAACAAATGGCTGGGCCCAGTGGCTCACGCCTGTAATCCCAGCACTTTGGGAGGCCAAGGCAGGCAGATCACCTGAGGTTGGGAGTTCGAGACCAGCCTCAACATGGAGAAACCCCGTCTCTACTAAAAATACAAAATTAGCCGGGCATGGTGGCACATGCCTGTAATCCCAGCTACTTGGGAGGCTGAGGCAGGAGAATTGCTTGAACCTGGGAGGTAGAGGTTGCGGTGAGCCGAGATTGCACCATTGCACTCCAGTCTGGGCAACAAGAGCGAAACTCCGTCTCAAAAAAAAAAAAAAAAAAAAGAACAAACAAGGAAAAGCAACAGAAAGAAAAGCCTGCTCTCTCTGGCCAAAGGGCCAGGAAAGGGCAGCAAAGCGGAAGCCCAGCAGGGAGATACATGCCCATGATTCACACCTGGGCAAGGACAGCTGACCTGGCCTGCAGCAGCAGGGTCAACAGGAGCTGCCTGGAACCTACGCCTCACTCCAAACCTGGAGCCGTGGCAGGCTACACTGGTGGTCCCCTGGGTCTATGATAAGGAAGTGGAAGCAGCAGATGATGAGGTTGCAACCAGACTCAGATTTCTAGCTTTGTTCATGATACTCCGGATGGTTATCAAGTCCAGTGGCTGGGGACAGTGGCTCACGCCTGTAATCCCAACACTTTGGGAGGCCGAGGTGGGCGGATCACTTGAAGTTAGGAGTTCGAGACCAGGCTAGCCAACATGGTGAAACCCTGTCTGTACTAAAAATACAAAAATTAGCCAGGCATGGTGGTGCGTGTCTGTAATTCCAGCTACTCGGGAGGCTGAGGCATAAGAATCACTTGAACCTGGGAGATGGAAGTAGCAGTGAGATTGAGCCACTGCACTCCAACCTGGGTGACAGAGTGAGACTCTGTCTCAAAAAAAAAAACAAAAACAAATAAAAAACCTCCTTGTGAGGTCAGGTCAATCAATCGGTGACACAATTTCAGATCTTAGATGGTTGATTCCCAGGCATAGAATGCATCTGATAATGGCCCCAGATTTGTGGCCCAAGCCACACATCAATGGGCCCAAGCATGGGGCATATATGATGGACGCCCTATGCTCTCTATCGCCTCCAAGCAGCAGGGATGATTGAGTGTTTTAGTAGACAATTGAAGGACAGGGTTAAGTGACTGACAGGAGGGAATAAAAGAACCTCGGCCTGGACTATGCATCTCAGGGGAACAGTCTGGGGTCCCAGTGTGGCATTCCTCAAAGGGGCAGTCATCATTTGCGCTGCATATTTGATCAGACTGTCTACCTGCTTCCTTTTATTGCACAGCCTCAGTCTCTCTGGGGAACCCTACAAGGGCCCCCCACCCCCTTCAATTCCTTTCTAAAGACTCAGATAGGTGAGAGATTAGATTAGCTATTAAAAAACAAAGCATGAGAGACAGTAACCCTCTTCATCAGTTATCCCTTTGGTGCTGAGCATGGATTTTTTTGCCTGCAAAAAATAATCACTATCAACTTGAGGCTTCTAATTCAATGTTTTCCATAAAGTGGCTTTGTTGCTTTGCCTGGTTATTTTCAAGGGATGGATATCAATGTACAGAAGAGAAACTTTTTTTTTTAGTCATCAGAGGATCCAGGCCAGATTACAGCCCACCTCCCTGGAGGATAGTCGGAAGATGCTACCCTTACCCATGTCACAGTGGTTGGGGAAAATTCCCCCAACGTGAGCGCCTATGAACCCATGAGCCAGGGTACAGAGGAGGGAGAAGTGGGAATCTAACCTTCCTTCTCTCTCTCCTACAGAATAGACTGTGTGACTTCCAAGTCACTAAATTCATTGATATGCCTGTCCCAGGCAGTTCCCCAGTGAATTTGACAAAATGCTGGATGTATCCCCACAAATAAATATTTTGTTCCTGTGCCACTGAATGCTGCAAACAAACATTTCTGTAAACATGGATTTTTCTGGTACCTAAGCTACCCCAGGCATATTAATCTGTACACGATGCTGGAAGTGATCTTGATCCTGACCATGGTCTATTTATTGTAACTGCAGACTAATAACCTGGCTCCTAACAGAGACCCTCAAAATCCAACCCATTCAGGTCCATGATGGGGTAGCCTATGTTTCTCGCTTGGGCTCTGAAAAATCAAAGGATGGAGTTTAGGAATTATTTGGGCTCCAGGCCAAAATCCTATGTGTAATCTGTCAGGCCCAGCCATTAGCAATTACAAAGGCTTTACCTGGCAGGCCAAACAGGGGATTGCTGCCCCCCGACCCTTCACTCCCTCAACAGACTTGAACAGACTTTGTGTATAATCCATGCGTGGCAGGTCCTTGGGGGAGCTGCAGTCAGGACTCAGCCCATCGCCTCCTGTATGCCTCGGGACAGCCATGCTGTTATGCGTATTAAACTAACTTATCAAATCACCTAACTTGTTAAATTGGCCAGGCCCTCCAAAACAGGGTGGAACAATACATTAATAACGATATTACACGTTCCTGAGTTTAATGAGAAGCACTCCAGAACTTCCTAATTCATATGATTTTTGATTTGGGCATCTGGTAGGTATTTTTATCAAGTTAGGGACTTTTCCTTACCTATTAGCTTCCTAGTATTTGACAAAAATCAGAAAGGGGCATTAAATTATCAAAAAGAAATGTCAGGATCTTTTGAGATGATTATAGGATTTTTCTGTCTGAGTTTCTTAAAAGTAAATTATTTACATTATGCTTGTGGATTCAAGGCTATGTGCACCTTGCAAAGTGAGTTGGGAAATCTCTTCTATATCCTATAGCTGCCTCAATAACAGAAATTGTCTTGTGTGTAAATTGACTATTCATTGCTTTTAATTAAATGGAAATTAGGTATTGACCTTTTTATGTATAGGAATCCTATGTATAGGAATCCTTTTCTATTGCTTTATCAATTATATTTTATTGTAGTAAGAACATTTAAGTGAGATCTACCCTCTTAGCAAATGTTTAAGTGTACAATACAGTATTGTTGACTATAGGTACAATGTTGTACAGCAGATCTCTAGAACTTACTCATCTTGCTTAACTAAAACTTTATGCTTGTTGACAGGCAACTCATTTCCCCCCTCCCCAGCCCCTGGCAACCACCATTCCACTCTTTGATTCTATAAATTTGACTACTTTAGATACCACATGTAAGTAGAATCATACAGTATTTGTCTTTTGGTGACTGGCTTATTTCACTTAGCATAATGTCTTCAAGATTCATCCATGTTGTCTTATATTATAGAATTTCCCTCCTTTATAAGGCAAATAATATTCCATTTTATGTGACTACCACATTTTCTTTCCCCATCCTAGATATTTAGGTTGTTTGCACATCTTGGCTACTGTAAATAGTGCTGCTATGACCATGGGAGTATAATATATTTAGAAATCAGGAAGTATGGTGCTTCTAGCTTTGTTCTTCCTCAAAACTGATTTAGCTATTTGTGGTCCTTTTTATACTTCAGAGGTTTTTTTCTGTAAAAAAAAAATCCATTGGGATGTTAATAGAGATCACACCAAATTTGTAGATTGCTTTAGGTAGTATATGCAATAGACTGATGTTTGTTTCCCCTAAAATTCATATGTTGAAACCTAATCCCCTATGTGTTGGTATTTGGAGATGGGACCTTTGGGAGGTGATTAGGTCATGAAGGTAGAGCACTTATGAATGGGACTAGTGCCTTATAAAAGAAATCCCAGAGCGCTCCATCACCCTAATTCCATGAGGACACATGGAGAAGATGGCCATTTATGAACCAAGAAGCAGGCCCTCACTAGATAGCAAATCTGCTAGCTACTTGATCTTGAATTTCCTAGCCTCCAGAACTGTGAAAAATAAATTTCTGTGTTTTATAAGCCACCAGTCTATGGTATTTTGTTTTAGCAGGCTGAATGGACTAAGGCACTGTATATGCATGGATTTATTTCTGAGCTCTCTCTTCTCTTCTGATGGCCTATGTGTTTGTCTTTATGCTATTCCCATGCTGTTTCAATTACTATAGCTTTGTAATATATTTGAAACATATTATGAATCCCATATATGAAAAGCTCACATCTAATATAATACTCAACAGTGAAAATTTTCTTATATATGGTCTTGATGATGTTGAGACTCTATTTCCAGTTTGTTGAAAAATTGTTTAATCACGAAAGGGTATTGAATTTTGTCAAATGCTTTCTCTGCATCTATTGAGATGATCATGTTATCTTTATATCTTTGCCCTGTTAATAGGCCATTTCGCACTGATTTATTTTTGTATGTTGATCCATACTTGTATCCTAGGGATAAATGCCACTCAGTCAGGATGTACGATCATTTAAATGTACTGTTGAATTTGATTTGCTAGTATTTTGTTATGAGTTTTTATATGTATATTCATCAGAGATATTGACCTGCAGTTTTCATTTCTTGTGGTGTCTTTGTTTGGCTTTGGTATCGGGATAATGTTGGCCACATAAAATAAATTTGGAAGTGTGCCCTCTTCTTCAATTTTTAAAAATAGTTTAAGAAGAACTGGCATTAATTCTTCTTGAGATGTTTGGAAGAATTCACCTGTGAAGCCATCTGGTCCTGGACTTCTTCGTTTGGGGAACATTTTTGATTATTGACTAAACCTCCACATTAGTTATAAGTCTGTTCAGACTTTGTATTTCTTCATGATTCAGTCATCGTAGATTGGAAGGTTTTGTGAATTTATTCATTTCTTCTAGATTATCCAGTTTGTTGGAATAGAATTGTTCATTATAGCCTCATGTTTTTATTTCTGTGGCATCAGTTGTAATGTCTCCTCTTTTATTTCTGATATTGTTTATTTGAGTCTTCTCTCTTTCTTACTTAGCCTAACTAGGGATTTGTTGATTTTGTTTATCTTTTCAAAAAACCAATTCTTTTGTTATTCTTTTCAAAAAATTTGTTGATTTTTTTTCTATTGCTTTTCTATTCTGTATTTTCTTGGTTCCTACTCTAATCTTTGTTATTTCCTTCACTAATTTTAGGCTTAGTTCCTCTTCTTCTTCATCTTCTTCTCCTCTCCTTGAGGCACGAAGTTAGACTATTTACTTGAGATCTTTCTTCTTTTTCACTGCAGATGTGTATTGCAATAAAGTACCTCTTAGTACTTCTTTGCTTAGTACTGCTTTTATCCTGTAAGTTTGGGTATGTTGTGCTTTTCTTTTCATTTATCTCAAGATATTTCCTAATTTCTTTTTTTATTTTTATGGCCTAATTGTTGTTCAAGAGTGTGTTGTTTAATTTCCACATATTTGTGAACTTTCTATTTTTCCTTCTGCCATTGATTTTTAGTTTCATTCCATCATGGTCAGAAAAGATACATGGTATGATTTCAGTCTCTTAAATTTGCAAAGACTTGTTTTGTGACCCAACTTGTGATCTACCTTGGAGAAAGTTCCATGTGCATTTGAGGATAATGTGTGTTCTACTGCTGTAGGGTGGAACGTTCTGTGTATTTCTGTTCGGTCCATTTGGTCTATAATGTTGTTTAAGTCCCCTGTTTCCTTATTAATCTTCTGTCTGAATGTTCTATCCATTATTTAAAGTACAGTGTTGAAGTCTCCTACTATTTTTGTATGGCTGGCTATTTCTCCCTTCAGTTCTGTCATTGTTTGTTTCATATATTTAGGTGCTCTGATATTGAGTGCATATATTTATAATTGTTATATCTTCATGGTGGATTGATGCTTTTTTCATTATATAATATACTTTAATGTCTCTTGTGACAGTTTTTGACTTAAAGTCGATTTTGTCTGATATAAATAGAGCCACTCTTGCTCTCTTTGGGTTGTCATCTGCATGGAATGCCTCGTTCCATCCCTGACAGGAGGCATCATAGTTCTGCTCTTCTAAAGGGCAATGATTCTAATGTTTCTCTGTGGGTAGGGGGAAAAGGAAAAGACAGAAAAATAACAGAAAATGTGAGATAGTGAATGGCCTTAAGAATTCTTTTCTGTCCTTGTAGACAATGGGCCCTGAAGGAGAAGAGTGTTCCTGGGCCAAATCTGCATGCATACACACAGTTTGATCTGCCTGGCTTATGAGGGATTCACATCTAGGCCTTACCTCCCACATGCTAAAAATGGGCCTATTTGAGTAACATGGGTGCTTCAAAAATCTCTATGAACTAATTTGAGGGGAAAAGGGGCACAGATGCAGAGGTAACTAGAAGGGATCATAAGTCCCCAAAATGCTCTGAAACTAGGGCCTTGCTGGTATTGGATAGAAGGGCAAAAGAGAGCCAGATCTCAGGAACTTGGTTTCACTTATCAACAGACAAATGCTGTCCCAGCTTGCATCAGAAGCCATCAGGGACAATATCAAAAGTTTCATAATTACGGTGCAGTGTGAGCTTCCAGAGAGCAAGCTGTGGGAGGATCCGGGTAAGGATTGCCCGCCACCCGTGACGCCTCAACAGGGAGGAGCTCCTTGCTTGAAAAGGGAAAAAATTGCCAAACTGAAGAGGAAGGAAACTGAAAGTAGCCACTAAGAAAAAGCAAGATGAACCCAAAGCACAATCAATCCAAGGTAACTGAGAATTCAGGAGAAAACAAATTAGAAAAGTAAACTGATAAGAGTCTATGTAACTCCTTAAAAGGTTTGTTATTAACCAAAAAGTAAAAATCAAATAAGCCAACAACAACCAAAAAAAACACTAGAAATTAGATGAAGATATCCAATAGTTGAAGACAAACGTATTTTTAAAAAGTAAGGAAGCCGCCCCGTCCGGGAGGGAGGTGGGGGGTCAGCCCCCCGCCCGGCCAGCCGCCCCGTCTGGGAGATGAGGGGCGCCTCTGCCCGGCCGCCCCTACTGGGAGGTGAGGAGCCCCTCTGCCCGGCCACCACCCCGTCTGGGAGGTGTACCCAGCAGCTCATTGAGAACGGGCCATGATGACAATGGCGGTTTTGTGGAACAGAAAGGGGGGAAAGGTGGGGAAAAGATTGAGAAATTGGATGGTTGCCGTGTCTGTGTAGAGAGAGGTAGACATGGGAGACTTTTCATTTTGTTCTATACTAAGAAAAATTCTTCTGCCTTGGGATCCTGTAGATCTGTGACCTTACCCCCAACCCTGTGCTCTCTGAAACATGTGCTGTATCCACTCAGGGTTGAATGGATTAAGGGCGGTGCAAGATGTGCTTTGTTAAACAGATGCTTGAAGGCAGCATGCTCCTTAAGAGTCATCACCACTCCCTAATCTCAAGTACCCAGGGACACAAACACTGCGGAAGGCCGCAGGGTCCTCTGCCTAGGAAAACCAGAGACCTTTGTTCACTTGTTTATCTGCTGACCTTCCCTCCACTATTGTCCTGTGACCCTGCCAAATCCTCCTCTGTGAGAAACACCCAAGAATGATCAATTAAAAAATAAATAAATAAATAAATAAAATAAAAAGTAAGGAAAAGACTGGGTGCAGTGGCTCACACCTGTAATCCTAGCACTTTTGAAGCCCAAAGCGGGCAGATTACTTGAGGCCAGGAGTTCAAGACCAGTCTGGCCAACATGATGAAACCCCGTCTCTACTAAAAATACAAAAAATTAGCCAGGCATAGCGGCACATGCCTATTGTCCCAGCTACTCGGGAGGCTGAGGCAGGAGAATTGCTTGAACCCAGGAGGCGGAGGTTGCAGTGAGCCAAGATTACGCCACTGCACTCCAGCCTGAGTGACAGAGTAAGACTCCATCTCAAGAAAAAAAAAAGAAAGAAAAAAGAAAAGCAAGGAAAATAAATAAATAAATGTTTCAGGGTTTCATTGTTTCCTACGCTGAGGTGGGAGCGAATATTCTCTGAAATTATCTTGTAGATAACCTTTAGAAAATTTAAATGATATCCCATATATTCCAGGCATATTCTCTCAAACAGAGCAAGTTCCCCACTTGCTCCACAAGATGCCACAAGCCTTCTCAAGGCTTCTCTGGGTCACCTGGATTTCAGCTCAGCCTTAGTTTCCTGACAACATCCTGTTGTTCCCTCATACTTTTCTTTTTTGCCTCCCTTGTTATTTGTTACCCCCACTTGGAATACTCTTCCTCTTTGATATCTCCAAAGTGTGAATCCACACAACACTGTCCACTTCCTCCAGGAAGTCTACCCTGACTGCTCCCACCTAGTATATCTCTTTCATTCACGTTCTTCTTGCACATTCAGTCAGAAACCTACAGCTGCTCTCCATTTGCCAAGAGGTTGTTCTCTAAGTTTATATCAAGATTGTTTGATGAGATCGCAAAATGCCACTTCCCATTTTTCCCCTAGCTGGCTTTTTAACCCGTGTCATGCCTGACATCTAAACATACTGCTTGATCACTACACAAGGCTGGCCCACAGACTGCTTTGGCACAAAGGCCAAAGACTACTAGGCTCAACGTTAATTCCTGTCTTTCTGGGCCAAGATAAAGCCAGAAGACACAGAGCCATCCACTGATGCACCAGTAAATTAATGACTTTACAAACCAGCATGCATTCTTGCGGGGAGTGTGTGCAAGTGGGAAAAAAACTGTCTGGATATCAAAATCAGTCACCAAGCTGTATATTTACAACTTGTGAATTCTTCAGTATTTATGTAAGGTTTCGATACAAATTTTACACCAGAAAATCAACATGACTCACTCCAGTCTTCTAATTTTCTATTTTTCCTCCGAGACCTTGCTGGATGTTTTCTTTTCTTTTTCTTTTTTCTTTTCTTTTTTCCTTTTTTTTTTTTTTTTTTTACTCTGAAGATCTACTGGAGAGATGTTTTCATAAAGATAGAGAAAAGGGTCTGGACAAGGTGGCTCACGCCTGTAATCCCAGCACTTTGGGAAGCCGAGGCGGGCAGATCACTTGAGGTCAAAAGTTTGAGACCAGCCTGGCTAACATGTTGAAACCCCATCTCTACTAAAAATACAAAAATTATCTGGGCAAGGTGGCAGGCATCTGTAATCCCAGCTACTCAGGAGGCTGAGGTGGGAGAATCTTTTGAACCTGGGAGGCGGAGGTTGCAGTGAGCCAAGAACGTGCCACTGCACTCCAGCCTGGGCGACACAGCAAGACTCTGTCTCAAAAAAAAAAAAAAAAAAAAAAATAGAAAGGGGTCATACTGGGGAAAAGGAACAAACACAGACGCACTGAAAAGAATCCAAATGGTTAAGAATATGACAAAGAGAATCAGAGACTACGAAGATTTAATTCAGGAGGGTGGGGATAGAAATAATTTGACACTGCTCTTCAGCTAAATTTATTCTTTACTTGAAAACTTCTGTCTGGCCAGGCACAGTGGCCCACGCCTGTCATCTCGGCACTTTGGGCAGCCGAGGCAGATGGATAGCTTGAGCCCAGGAGTTCAAGACAAGCCTGGGAAACATGATGAAACTCCATCTCTACAAAAAATGCAAAAATTAACTAGGTGCGGTGGTGCGCACCTATATTCCAGCTACTCGCAGATGGGGAGCTGAAGTGGGAGAATCACTTGAGCCTGGGAGGTTGAGTCTGCGGTGGGGCCAGGGTTCGGTAAGCCGAGGTCACACCACTGCACTCCAGCCTGGGCGGCAGAGCCAAACTCTTGTCTCTAAAAAAAGACTTTTTAATAGAATTTTCATGTTGGCTTGCTGCCCTCTGGTGGAATTATTAGGGTTTATCACAAACACTGTGGAATTCACTCTGGCAATGACCACTAACACAAAATACCGATGGTTCTTGGGCATAACTCTCCCCCTGGGGAGTTAGATCTTTGACTTCATGGCGTCAGGAATTTGTTATTGGCCTGGACAACAGAAACATGTCTGGAAAATCCCCAAATATTTGGAAATGAAATAACACAACTCTAAATAATCCATGGGTCAAAAAAGAAATCAAAAGGAAATTATGTAGTATTGAATTAAATTAAAATCAAAACAAAATATCAAAATGCATGGGATGCCGCTAAAGCAAGGCTAGGAGAAAATTTACAGAACTAAATGCCTAAAAGGAGCAGGGGTGGGGAGGGGCAGGAGGACAGGATTCAAGAGGGCATACGAAATATTTTGGAGGTAATATATATGTTCACTATCCTGACTGCAGTGATAGTTCCACTCAAATATATACAGTCATACGTCACTTAATGACAGGCATAAGTTCCAAGAAAAGCATCGTCAGTGATTTCGTCATTATGCCAACATCATAGAATGTACTTATGCAAAACCTAGATGGTATAGCCTACTACACACCTAGGCTATATGGTCTAGACTATTACTCCTAAGATGCAGACCTACAAAGCATGTTACTGTATTGAATATTGTAGGCAATTGTAACACAATGGTAAGTATTTGCATATCTAAATATATCTAAACATAGAAATGGTACAGTAAAAATACCGTATTATAATCTTATGAGACCACCATCATATATGTGGTCGGTCATTGACTGAAATGGCACATGAATATATATATGAGTGTGTCTATATGACTGTCATATATGTCATACATATGTCAAAACTTATCAAATTATATACTTTATATGCCATTTGTTGTATATCAATCATATCTCAGTAAAGCTGTTTTAAACAACATGTGGCTGTACTATTAGGTAGTACAACTCAAGTGCAATTACTAAGAGAATACTAAAAGCATGCATAATTAACAAGCTAATAAAGGAGTAAGGTGAACTTTCTAAAATTACTTAATTCGTCTAAAAGAAATCAAGAAAGTAGAGAAAAGTGAATTGATGCCACGAATAAAAAACAACTGGAAATATAGTAGATTTTAGCCCAATTATATTGACAATTACATTAAATGAAAATGGACTAAATACTGTAATTTTAAGAAAAGTACCTTCCAGAATACATTTTTCTATAATAAAAGAAAAACTTGAACAATACACCACTTACGGCAGACACATTTCAAGTATAAGAACACCGAAACACTGAAAGTATAAGGATGGAAAAAGATGTACCAACTGATATCATTATACTAATATCACATAAGGCAGACATAAAGGAAAAATGATCCTAATTTAAAATGAGAAATTGACAATCTACAGTCATAGTGTAAGATTTTTATGTTCCCTTCTCGATAATGGGTAAGAAAGACAGACAAGCAGTAGAGTTATACAAGATTTGAACAACACAATTAACCTTGACCTAAATAACATAAAATCTTGACCTAAGTAACATAAAATCAATTCTGTTAGTGCCTTTCTTTCCTCATTCATACAGTCACTGTAATAGTGACTCCTGCATGTGAAGGTTATTACGAGAATCAAATGAGTTAATACATGCAAATTCTTAGAATTCCTGGCATGCAGAGTAAATTCATAATAAGTAGGAACTTAACCAAGAAATAAAAGCCTAAGTATATTGCTTTCATCTAGTGGTCACATTATATAAAAATACATAAATTTTTATAATGTGGTCATATTATCTAAAAATGTGAAATCAGCCGGGTGCAGTGGCTCAGGCCTGTAATCCCAGCACTTTGGGAGGCCAAGGTGGGTAGATCACTTGGGGCCAGAAGTTTGAGACCAGCCTGGCCAACATGGTGAGACCCCCCCATCTCTACTAAAAATACAAAAAAAAAAATTAGCCAGGCATGGAAGCAGGTGCCTGTAATCCCAGCTACTCAGGAGGCTGAGACACGAGAATCACCTGAACCCGGGAGGCGGAGATATCAGTGAGCTGAGATCGCGCCACTGCACTCCAGGCTAGGCGACAGAGCAAGACTCCCTCTCAAAAAAAAAAATAAAAAAGAATAACTTTTCACTATGTGAGCCATTGTCATTTAGTGCATAATGTCTGCGTACTACCCAGTATCCCCTGCGGCTCCTCCACAGTTGTGGGGTCCCGCACTATAGGAAGACAATGCATTTTAGCTCCGAGTACAGGTCTCAAAAACTTGGCTAAATACTTCCCCCATCCACTCATACCAGTGTACAGGGAACAATAATGGATTAATAACCAAAGAGAGGGCGGGAAGGTCCCAACTGGCATCTGCTCCACTCGGCCCACTGGTGTCTAGATAGGGAACAGTAATAGCGTTCACCACTTCTCTTTCCCCCAAACCTCCTCTGGAAATCCCAGGCTTACCTCAATATTCCCAAGGTTCAAGTGACCAACTCAAGGGCTCAGGCGGCCAAGGCCCAACCTCACGTGCCCAGAAAGTGGACGCACCCAGGGGCTGCTCCTGGAAGGAAGGAGAGATGACGGTGAGTAGAAGCCCATGTCAGCCTCTCTGGCTGGGCCCTCCTTCTACTGATGTCTTGACCCGCAGCCCGCAGCCTCTGGGCAAGGAACTAAAGTCGTTTTGAGCCAGCAGGGTCAGACTTCTAGAAGCAGCCAGCTAAGGTAAAATATCTGTCTTCTACTCCCTGGAAAGCAGTCCGGAGAGGTGGAACCAGCCTAGACTTCAGTATCAGGCAGATCTGGATTCAAATCCCAGCTCTGCCTCTCACTTGCTGAGGACTCTAAATACCTCCTTTTGCTCCACCCAGCCTCCATCTTTTCACGTGGAAAAGAACTGCTTGGTAAGGTTGCTGTGGGGAGTGAATAAAGCAATATACATAGTGCTTAATCTCACAGACAGCAGATGCTCCAGAAATGCTAATTCTCTTGCCCACTGGTATTCCTCAGGCAGCCACCAGTCACCTTCTTCTGAAGCTGTTGGCGGGGTACAGGCAGGCAGGAAGCTCAGTCTGAACAACCAGCCTTCAGACCAGCTCAGACACAAGGTGAAACAGAAACCAAAAACTCAGAGCACATGACTTACCTCCTCCAAACCTTTGCTCCAACCACTGCCACTCCCCAGGGAACGCCCTCCTCGTCTCCTCCCGCCCACTGCGGAGAGTGCTCCCATTCTCCACCGTTTATCACACACTTGTTTCTCACTTCCTGGCACTGTGAGTTGTCGTTTATTAACTGGTTTATTTTCTTCTTGGAAAAATAATTTTTTTAAAAAATATACCTTATCTATGCACACAAAGCAGCCCCCCAATTCATGAATGGATATGCTTGTGGTTTGTATTTGCGTTTTAATTACTAAGCAATCTGGCTCATCCCTTTGTGCAAAGCATTGCCTTAGGTTACAGTGTAGGAAACTGTATCAGCTCATCCTAGCACTGTTATAAAGAAATACCTAAGACTGGATAATTTATAAAGAAAAGAGGTTTAACTGGCTCACAGTTCCACAGGCTGTACAGGAAGCATAGTGACATCTGCTTCTGGGGAAGCCTCACTGTATTTATTTATTTGAAGGACTGATTTTTTAACAAAGTGAAAACTTCTCCCATGGCCTCTTCAATGCTTCCTTGAGGTCCCCGCTGTTAACATTTTGATTCTTTCAGACTTTTTCCTAGGCTTATAAAGCCATAGTAATTCTTGCTCTGCCACTTACTAGCTGCGTGACCTTGGGCAAGTTACTTAACGTCTCAGTGCCTTCCTCGGCTCATTCATAAAGTAGCTATAATGATTCCTGCATGTGAAGGTTATTATGAGAACAAAATGAGTTAATACATGCAAAATACTTAGCTCCTGGCATGCAGAGTAAAGACATAAATACATAATAAGTAGAAACAAATATTGTTTTATATACAGAGAGACAAAGAGAGACATCACATATACCATTTTGTTTACAAAAGCAGGGTAAGTATACTGTGCCAGTATCAATCATTGTGTTGCATCTGAGCTCCAAGTCCACTCTGTTCTCTTTGGTGACACCAAGCTACATCCCATAAAAAGATCTCCTTTGCTAGCGGCACAATTTTACTGGCTTTGTCAGTAGAGGGCGCCAGAGGGACGGTGCAAGGCCTAGCAGAGGACTGGATTTCTCTTCCGGGTTCTGGTGCTTCTCTTCCTGCTCTTAACGCCATGACTGCCAGCAGCTTGTAGAACCAGTGGTGCTCACCTTCAGGGAACTTTGGCAGCCTCCCAGCGGGCAGCTTCCTGCTCACCAGCCGGGGCCTGCTGACTGCAGACAGCTTGAGTGCTCTTGTACCTTTAGCAGTTAGCCTTCTTTTACTAGTTAATAATTCTTCATATTACATTTTCCCTTTCAAATTACTGGTGTGCTTTCCATCTCTAACTGGACCCTAACTTTTAGCTCATGCCTGGTATCTACCAGATGGCTTGTAAAATTTATTTAACCATTCCCCTACTGAAGGGAATGTGAGTATTATCGTTTCCAGTTTTCAGCTGTTATACCCTGTGCAGTAGTGAACATGTGTTTTTCATCCACATCACTGTTTTTGAAGGAAAAAAAATCCTGGAAGAGGAATAAATTTCTCTGCCATAGGGTTGTGCATGTAAGTCTTTGGAAAATGTTGTGAGATTGCTCTCCCTATAAGGTTGCACCAATTTATATTTCCAAACATAGGTGTAAGTGCCCACTTCCCCACACCCTCACCAATTATTATTTTTCTTTAACATTTACTAATCTTAGGGGTAATGTCTCATTGTTTTAGTTTGTTTTGTGCAATTACTAAGGAGACTGAACATTTTTTCATAACTTCATTGTCAATTTTTATTTTTTCTGTGAAACACATTGCTTATATCCCTTATTCATTTTTTAGTTGGATTGTCACTTTTTTCTAATTCATAGAAATTATTTGTTGATTCATTCCTAAAAGTGTGTATAGTTTTACAGATTTTATTAAGGGCCTTCATTCTTAGTTATGTAGCAAATATTTTCCCCGATTCATTTCATGTCTTTTTTTATGTGATGAAATACACATAACATAAAAATTACCATTTTCATCATTTTAAGTGTACAGTTCAGTAACATTAAGTACATTAATACTGATGTGTAACCACCACTCATCGCCAAAACATCTTCATCTTCCTAACCTTCATTGTATGTCTTTAAATTCATTCTTTGTGTCTTATATTATACAAAAGTTTTACATTTTTATCTATTCTAATTTATCAACCTTTTCCTTTATGACTTCTGGCTTTTACATCTTGTGTAGGGAAATTTTTGCTGGTGCTGTATTTTCTATATTTTCTTTTAATACCTTTCTAGACTTGTTTTAACATTTTATCTTTAAGCCATTTGACATTTTTGTGCTGGTATGCATGGTCTGAGGTGGGCTTCTAACTTTACTTTCTTGCAGGTGGGGACCTGATTATCCTAACACCTTTTTTAAAAAATCCATCTTTTCGCCTGGTGCAGTGGCTCATGTTTGTAATCCCAGCACTTTGGGAGGCCGAAGCAGGCGGATCACAAGGTCAGGAGATCGAGACCATCCTGGCTAACACAGTGAAACCCCGTCTCTACTAAAAATACAA
This sequence comes from Homo sapiens, assembly GCF_000001405.40. Taxonomy (NCBI): domain Eukaryota; kingdom Metazoa; phylum Chordata; class Mammalia; order Primates; family Hominidae; genus Homo; species Homo sapiens. The sequence goes on along the minus strand of NC_000002.12, from coordinate 201,230,920 downwards.
AATATTAGCCGGGCGTGGTGGTGGGTGCCTGTAGTCCCAGCTACTCGGGAGCCTGAGACAGGAGAATCGCTTGAACCTGGGAGGCGGATGTTGCAGTGAGCCGAGATCGCGCCACTGCACTCCAGCCTGGGTGACAGAGCGTGACTCCATCTCAAAAAAGAAAAAAAGATCCATCTTTTTTTGATTATTTTATTATGTCACTTTTGCCAAAAAGTACCTGCCTTCTCTCCCAAAGCAGATTATCATTTCCTAGAAGGGAGGGACATTTCTTGTATCCATAAGTTTCCTCCTGACCTGGCAGATTGTACATGTTATACATGTTGGTTGGTGATATGACTGATAGGAAGCTGAATGAGAACTAGCACATTTTTAACAAAGCAAAGCAGCAGGTATCAGAACTCAGAATCAAATAAAAGCTGTCCCCCAATTCATGAATGGATATGCTTGTGGTTTGTATTTGTGTTTTAATTACTAAGCAATCTGGTTCATCCCTTTGTGCAAAGCATTGCCTTAGGTTACAGTGTAGGAAACTGTATTAGCTCATCCTCACACTGTTACAAAGAAATACCTAAGACTGGATAATTCATAAGGAAAAGAGGCTTAATTGGCTCACAGTTCCACAGGCTGTACAGGAAGCATAGTGGCATCTGCTTCTGGGGAAGCCTCAGAGAGCTTTTATTCATGGCAGAAGGCAAAGCAAGGGCAAGCATCTTACATGGCAGGAACTTGACCAAGAGAGTGGGGAGGTGCCACACACATTTAAACAACCAGATCTCATGAGAGCTCTATCACAAGAACAGCACCAAAGGGATGGTGCTAACCCATTCATGAAGGATCCATCCCCATGATCCAATCACCTCCACCAGGCCCCACCTCTGACATGGGGGATTACCTTGACGTGTGATTTGGGCAGGGACACACATCCAAACCATATCAGAAACAGAGGATGGGTAAGATATTGTTTCTGCCCTTATGAAGTTTGTGATCCCTAAATGCCCATCACTAAGGTGCTAGCTGGAGCACTGATGATCCATACATTCAATGGAGCTGTAGCAGTCATGAAAAGGATCAAGCAGATCTATATGTTCTGTTGCCCAGGCTGGAGTGCAATGGCACGATCTCGGCTCACCGCAACCTCCGCCTCCCAGGTTCAAGCGATTCTCCTGCCTCAGCCTCCCTAGTAGCTGAGATTACAGGCATGTGCCACCACGCCTGGCTAATTTTGTATTTTTAGTAGAGACGGGGTTTCTCCACGTTGGTCAGGCTGGTCTCGAACTCCCGACCTCAGGTGATCCGCCCACCTCGGCCTCCCAAAGTGCTGGGATTACAGGCATGAGCCACCGCACCTGGCTCCAAGATATGTTAAATGAGCTAACCAAGGTGCAAAACAGTCTGCTAGTGTTTGTGGGGGGAAAATGAGGGAAGGACACAAATACACATATGCTTATATAAGAATAAAATATCTCTGAAAGAATATTCAAAACATTAGAAACAATAATTATCTCCATAAAAGGCACTGAAAGTTTGGGGGACAGTGTGAAATTCACTTTTCCCCATGGACCATTTGTTTAAATTGTTTAACCATCCGCTTGTAGTTCTATTTCTAAATAAAGAAAATGGGAATTTTAGAAGTATGTTTACGATGAAACAAGAAAGATGACACAGGTACACGTGAAACAGTAAGGGAACAGAAGAGTGCCACGTTCAGAAGTCTCAACTTTGTGGCTGCAGAATCGCAAGGTGGTGCTGTAAAGGGAGGTTTCCGTCTTGCTGTAGGGCGTTGTCAATCTCAGGCGATGTGGCTGGAAGGCAGGCAGAAGGAAGCCTCTGGAAAGAACTAGGAAACGCTGCTCCACCTGCGCATGGGGGGTCGAGGTGTCTGCGCAGAGATGGCCGTGGGCAGGGAGGTTGCTGAGATCTGTTTAGCACCCCACACTGTTCTCTTCCTGCCCCTGATTTCCATTGTCTTTTCCAGAAATTTCAGCATCCTACTGAGCACAAAGAGAAATAAAAGGGGAACTTTGACTGAGTGGTTTTTCACACACAAGGACCTGGAGAGGCTGGACCCCGGCATAGCTTTTTTATGGGCAGCTGTACTTTCAATTCCTGGCAGAATGACTCATATTTCTCATCAGTAATGGAGCAGTCTATTTTTTTATTTGTTTACAATCTTCAAGATAAACCAAGCCCATTTCTCACAGGCCTAAAACTGTTGATAAAGTTGGCTTGTCCTTGATGTTTCAAGATGATAACTCAAGTGGAGAGGCCATGGCTCCTATCTCCAAGACTACTTAGTTTCTCTGGGCCTTGATTTTCTGATCTGTAAAATGGGAACTAAAACACCTCTCCATCACTCTCAGCAACATTTTTAGCAGCAGCAGGTGGCTAAACCCAAGGGCTGGAGTTGTTAATTTGGCAGCAGCAAGAAGCCCCAGGCCAAAACTGGCTCACTGTGCCCTTGCAGTGTGGCCAGACTGAGCCTTCAGAAAGGCATGAGTGGTAGGGGTGAAGATTCTTACTCTCTCATCCCTTCTGCCCTAGTGGAAGGATCCTTCTGAAGTTTCTAAGGAATTTTTTTTTTAGAGGGAGTCTCGCTGTGTCACCTAGGTTGGAATGTAGTGTCACTGGCACGATCTCAGCTTACTGCAACCTCCACCTCTCAGGTTCGAGCAATTCTTGTGCCTCGGCCACTGAGTAGCTGGGACTACAGGTGTACATCACCACACCCGGCTAATTTTTGCATTTTTAGTACAGACAGGGTTTCACCATGTTGGCCAGGCTGGTCTCATACTCCTGGCCTCAAGTGATATGCCTGCCTTGGCCTTCCAAAGTGCTGGGATTACAGGTGTGAGCCACCATGCCCTGTCTCTAAAGACCTTTTTGAAGGTTCTTCAAATGGTGAAATAGCAGCCTTATCCAATAGAGTGCTGAGCTTCTAATTGTGCATTCAGAGTGGAGGAATGCCAGCAGCAATTTGGGCGTTGTGGGTGTCATGGTGAAGATGACTGATTCTGTAGAGGAACCCCTTGACTTAACACTTATTTGTTAGAAACCGGTTTGGGGGCCGGGCGCGGTGGCTCACACCTGTAATCCCAGCACTTTGGGAGACCGAGACGGGCGGATCACAAGGTCAGGAGATCAACACCATCCTGGCTAACACAGTGAAACCCTGTCTCTACTAAAAATACAAAAAAAAAACAGCCGGGCATGGTGGCAGGCACCTGTAGTCCCAGCTACTCGGGAGGCTGAGGCAGGAGAATGGCATGAACCCAGGAGGTGGAGCTTGCAGTGAGCCGAGATCGTGCCACTGCACTCCAGCCTGGGCAACAGAGCGAGACTCCATCTCAAAACTAAATAAATAAAAAATCAAATTACATTAAAAAAAGAAACTGTTTGGGATCTTCAGAAGTGTCATAAGGGAGTTTCCCATCTGCAGCTTGCTTCCTGGTCTGGAGATTATATCCAGATCATTATTTTGCAACAGGGATGGCTCAGGGCAATAAAAAGTGAGTCAATACCCCTTATCCTTGCTTTGGCAACACTGATCATATTAATTACAGCCACAGAAATCACCACCAAAAACAGACAGTTACTAGATTGGAAAAACATACTCTGCCCAAGAGGGCAAAGCTTCCCTGCAAACCTGGCCAACTATTCAACAAGCCAAAAAATCACCCAATCTGGTGGCTAAATTCCATTAATCAGCACTGAGACGCAAAAAGGATTAAAGAGAAAAGAGAATATCCCCACATCTAGCACTCAGTTGAAGATATAAAACATGACTGATGCATTTGAAGCCCCTGTAATTCCTCCCCATTGGCATGTTCCCCCCTGTCCCCCCAAGACCCAATCCCATCCCAGGCAACTACTACTCTAAACTTCTCATCACCCCCATGCATCTGTATATTTGTACAATATACATATTAATTTATAAGCAACATAAAAGACTCTTATGTGTATTTTAACATTATATAAATCATATCATATTATATATATTATTTGCTCAGCATTATGTTACTGATACATATATTTAAACTGTATGAAATTGCCAATATTTGGTTGTTTCTGATCTAGAAGAATGGCAATTTCATATGGTTCAGCCTAATAATTCTAATTGATTTTATTTCACTACTTGATAGTATTCCTTTATATGACTATACCACAATTTATCTATCCTCCTCTTGATGAATATATAGATTGTTTGTGTTGCTTCTTTTCATTTTTTTTTTTGTACTTTTACAAACAATGCTGCTCAGAAAACTAACACTTCCTCCTTATCTCCTGGTACCTGTGCAAGATTTCTTTTGGGGCCAGGCGTGGTGGCTCACGCCTATAATTTCAATACTTTGGGAGGCTGAGGCAGGAAGATTGCTTGAGGCCAGGAGTTCAAGACCTTCCTGCACAACATAACAAGACCCTGTCTCTACAAAACAATGTTTTTAAGTTTATTTTGGGACATAGATCCAAAAATGGAATTGCTAGATTTTACTGTGTGCAAATTTCCAACATTTATAAATATTGCAAATTGCTCTCTAAAATGATTGTGTCAATTTACATTTCCTAGATCGATGTAATAGAGTTCCCTTTGCTCTGTATCTTCACCCACACTTGGTACTGACAGAGTTTTAAATGTTGATAATATGATGGACATAAAATGCTATCTCACTGTGGCTGTATTTTTCAAATTCTCTGATGACCAAAGAGAATGGTTATGTTTTCATATATTTATTGCTCATTGGTATTTCCTTTTAATTACTGGTTCATATTTTTTGCTCATCTTTGAACTAGTTTATATTTTTGCCCATCTAGGTTGGATTGTTTAATATTTTATGGATTTATAGAAGATTATATATATAGTATATGTACATATATCTCCTTTATCAGTTATACAACGTGGCAGATATCATTTCCCAGTTTGTGGCTCATCCCTCAGGTTTTGTTTTTGTTTTTGTTTTGAGACAGAGTCTCACTCTATCACCCAGGCTGGAGTGCAGTGGCATGATCTTGGCTCACTGCAACCTCCACCTGCCAGAGTCAAGCAATTCTCATGCCCCAGCCTCCCATGTAGCTAGGATCACAGGTGTGCGCCACCATGCCCAGCTAATTTTTTTTAGTACAGACAGGTTTCACCAAGTTGGCCAGGCTGGTCTTGAACTCCTGACCTCAGGTGATCCGCCTGCCTCGGCCTCCCAAAGTTCTGGGATTACAGGCGCGAGCCACCACACCCCGGCCTCATCCTTCAATTTTTAAATGTTGTTTTTGATGTTTTAAAATAGTCAAGAGGCAAGTGTTTCTTCTTAAATTCACAAATGACAGCTCCATAGTGGGTTATCAAGAGAAAAGGTGGGGCTTCTCAGGAAATATCTCTAACCTTTTAGGTTGAGATCATAGAGAATTCGATGATTAGTAAAACAGACCGAGAGTGCAAAAGGGTGATATAACCAGGGAAATGTCACAGCATTGCCGAAACCCCTGAAAGCCCATTGGAGGTTTGTGGTCATTGGTTTGAAACGAGACCTGTCTGCAACATGGAAGGTTTTTACCCCAGCCACATCCTGGAATTCCAGTACAAATTTGGAGGACAAGGATTTATAGGATTAACCAGAGTTGGGATTCTACCACCTCAGTGGAACTGACAGAAAGGCAAGGGTGTTGGTGGGTACAGGAGACTTTAACAAAGACACATGGACTCTAAGCTGAATGAAGAGGGAGTGAGGGGCGGTGCTGACATCGGGAAGACAATAGATAGGGTCAGTCAACCTAACTGGAAGCCCTGGTGGCACTGAAGATCCTTGAAGGGAAGGTCCTAGAAGAAGCAAGATGGAATGATGGGAGGTGGTTGTCAGAGAGGGACATGCTTGGAATTGAAACGTGAGTGAAAGTACAGATGGTAGTAATGACAAAGTTTACTGGATGCATGATTGGGGGGACATGGAGGATACACTCATTGAAAAAGGGTGGGGAAAAATCTGTGACAAACACAGAGTGAATAATGGGAAAATACATAGCAAAATAGAATTATAAATAAATATACTTTTTTCTTGGTGTGTTTTTGTATTTCCCAAATATTCCATAATGAACATACATTACTATGTAATCAGAAAAAAGTTATCAAATAAAATTCCCTTATTTATTAGTAAGTCCATTTCTACTATTTACCAGTACTCAGCTCAAAATCTCACAAAGTTATTTCCATTCTAGAATTTCACCAGTATTTCCCAGGCATTTTACAGAATCACTTAAAATGAGACCTACTGAGACATGTAAGTTTCACAGCATATGTTCTTTCTTCCAAGAAATACCTGTCTGAAATATGTATGCAGAAGTGGGGAGGACTGGGTATACAGTGGACAGAACTGGGGGCAAAACTCTTCTTGAACACCTTTAATTTTCTTATCTTCAAACCATACAAATATCTTTATAAAAATATTACCTACTCAAAATTACTTAAAAAGTAAAAATTAGTACAATTTAAAATTTTTAATTTAAAAATCTTTTCATAAAAATTCAGATTTGCAAAAGTTATGTTAGGAAATAAACAGTTGTTTGCATTGCCAAATAAGTAAATCTTTAAACACAGAATTTCCTCTAGTGCTTTTTAAAAGGGATTTCATTTTTTTTCTAATGTATTAAGAGTTCCATTTTTTTTTGGCCAGGCACGGTGGCTCACGCTTGTAATCCCAGCACTTTGGAAGGCCAAGGCGGGCGGATCACGAGGTCAGGAGATTGAGACCATCCTGGCTAACATGGTGAAACCCTGTCTCTACTAAAAATATAAAAAATTAGCTGGGCGTGGTAGCGGGCGCCCATAGTCCCAGCTACTCGGGAGGCTGAGGCAGGAGAATGGCATGAACCTGGGAGGCAGAGCTTGCAGTGAGCCAAGATCGAGCCACTGCACTCCAGCCTGGGCAACATAGCAAGACTCCGTCTCAAAAAAAAAAAAAAAGAAAAGAGTTCCATTTTTAAAAAACACCTGCCTGTAGCCCCAGCTGCCACTCAGGAGGTTCAGGTGGGAGGATCAGTTGAGCACAGGAGGCAGAGGCTGCAGTTAGCCAAGATGATATCACTGTACTCCAGCCTGGGTGACACAGTGAGACTCTGTCTCAAACAAAACAAAACTAAACTAAATTTAAAAATTTGGTTCCTATTCAAAATTCAAAGATACAAATGTGTTGTTACATTCTTATCACATCCTTAAGAGCAAACTGCAGACTTCCAACAAAACTGAAACCCTAACAGAAAAAAGTTAAAAGATTTGTCACATACAACGCAAATCTCACCAGAGGACAGTTACAGTTGTTTGGTATGGCTCCGGAGTTTAGAATGAAAATGAGTGGTTTTAAATAGTTTCTAAGAAGGCAGAAACAGAGAACAGAGAAGAGAACACTTAAAGCTGTCCAAAAGTGAAACCAGGTGGCTTGGAGGGACAGGGCAGCAAATCCAGAGATACAAAGAATTGCAAATCCTCCAGAAATGGCTTCGAGGCTTCAGTAAGTCACTTAGCACTTTGAGGGCTGGACTGCAGGGTCATTGGGGTCCTTTCAAGCTCCCAAATCCATCCCCCACTTGTGGTGAGTTCCCTCTGCTAGAAGGGTTCAGCAGAGGTGAGGGACGGTGGAGGAGGAGTCTGTTACAGAATGAGAGGTTGGAGTGAAGCAAGCTTCAAACAGATTAACCACTGGCACCTGAAGACCTCCAGCTACAGACGCCCATCCACACTACATTAAAAGGTCCAAGATAAAGTTCATCCCTTTCTGTAGGCAGGCCCCAGAACATGAGCTGTCATTGTGTGGCAGTACTCAAATATGAAGCAGTCGCCCCAAAGAGCCAGGACACACCTCTGTGAAGTTTTAAAGATTATCACCAAAAAGAATTAAAGCACTTAAAAATGAAGGTGGAGAGCTCAGAGTCTCTGAGAACAAATTTACAAACACCTAAGGGCCCAAGAATTCCAGGTTGAGAACAAATTGACCAGATCACTCAGAAAGCATCAGATCTGGAAGGTTCTGTGAATCATGTATGGCACAAAAATTACCTGTATGAGGTAAACTTCTAGTTTAGTTTACCTCCGTGGAGATTTGATCATTATTGATTAAGGGTTGCTATTTGGCAACCTTAACCATTGTGTTATACCAGTCACTGGGTCGGTACCACAGCGTACCAGATGCTTATATGTTTTACACCGCCTGGGCATAGGTGGAATAGAATGCCTTGCTAAGGGTAAGCCCCATGATATCCAACCTGCCCAACACCATTGTGAATCCCTGAAGCAGAGGCCAGTAGGTGCTATGACTCTAATAAAAATAAACACCAGTAGTTAAATAACTGTCACATTTGTAATAACAATTTATCAAATGTCTTCATGTCTTTAATTTTGTTTGGCAGTATCCAAACTTTTATGAAAGAAAGAATGAATGAGGCCAGACACAATGGTTCATTCCATTGGGAGGCCAAAGTGGGCAGATCACTTGAGGTCAGGAGTTCGAGACCAGCCTGGCCAAAATGGCAAAACCCTGTTTCTACTAGAAATATGAAAATTAGCCAGGCATGGTGGTGCACACCTGTAATCCCAGCTACTCAGGAGGCGGAGGCAGGAGAATCGCTTGAACCCAGGAGACGAAGGTTGCAGTAAGCCAAGATCACACCACTACACTCTAGCCTGGGTGAGAGAGCGAGACTTTGTCAAAAAAAAAAAAAAAAGAATGAATAAAAGAGAGGAAGGGGAAAGAGAGAAACATTTAATTACAGCTCTTGTAGGTGAGTACAACTAGGCAAAATATACATGAACCTCACTCAATCTACCTATTCCCCTCATAAACATCTTGGCATACAATGACTATCACCACTGTCAAATAGCTGTGATCAAATCACCTGTTATTCCTGAACTCAAAATTCACGCAGACATGCACACACAAATACAGACAAGCATAATGTTTCACGAAATCTTGGAGGGCACACTCTACCAACTGTGTACCCCTCCTACGGAGGAGGAATGAGCCAAGGATGACTATGTTCTGATGTCTGGGTAGATCCACGACTCACAGCTGTAAACGTCCAGGGACCTCCGAAGTGCTTGCTGAAGGCCCCTAAAAACAACGTTTCCTGATTCTAGAATTTAACCTTGCACAAGCACTAAGTTCTAGCAAAACAGAAATATGAAATACACCAGAGGCCCAAAACTTAAACATCAAACCCCAAATGCTCCTGATGAAGGAGGTTTCACTCGCGTCCTTGTGAAGAGACAACCAAACAGGCTTTGTGTGAGCAATAAAGCTTTTTAATCACCTGGGTGCAGGTGGGCTGAGTCCGAAAAGAAAGTCAGTGAAGGGAGATAGGGGTGGGGCCGTTTTATAGGATTTGGGTAAGTAGTGGAAAATTACAGTCAAAGGGGGTTGTTCTCTGGCTGGCAGGGATGGGGGTCACAAGGTGCTCACTGGGGGAGCTTTTGAGCCAGGATGAGCCAGGAGAAGGAATTTCACAAGGTAATGTCATCAGTTAAGGCAGGAACAGGCCATTTTCACTTCTTTTGTGATTCTTCAGTTACTTCAGGCCATCTGGATATATATGTGCAGGTCACAAGGGATATGATGGCTTAGCTTGGGCTCAGAGGCCTGACAGGAGGTTTTATCAACAGCATTTTGTCCAACTGAACTCAGAGTCAAGAGCTGGCCTTCTGCTGCGGTAGACATCACGAACCAGTGAGGGAAGAATTAGATCTTACTCAGAGTATGTCAGGGGTAATGCTAGTGCTGAGTTGCCGCTAATAAAGTCAGCTGGAATTACGCACAAAGGAACTTAAGTCCTGCTATTTCTGTTGCAGTTACAACCGGAAGACCCTACCACCTAAAGGCATTTATATGCACCTCAGCACAGTTAGATTTAAATAGATGCACACATAGGACACATTCTTTTTCGTCTTCCCAACAGCTAATGTTTTCTCTACTTTACAGACAAGGCTGAAAAAAGCTAGCTTGATTTAGTTAGTGTCTCTGAGCAAAGGAATCAGGACAAAATGGAAATGCAGGGCTTTGATCTCCAGATCCTTTGCTCTTTCCTCAGTATCTCACCATCCTTCACTTGCCTTCACATGTCAGTTCTGCCAACTGGACAAGGACTGTGACCACTAGCTTTTGGCCCTGACTGTTATGAACACGGTTTTGGGAGATCATCCTGACACATGTGTAAGAATTAAAGAAAGAGGAAAGAAACATGAAAGGTGGCTTGACAGCCAAGGACAGGTTTATTTTAGAGAAAACAAATTTGAAAGGGGCTTCTGGCCGAGTTAGGTCAGAGCCCACTCACTTACAGACTAAGAGTTTTTAAGGATTTAGGGTGGGAGAGTTTATCAGAGGCTTGGATTGCTTCTATGTCTCTTTGCTGTGCTTATCTGGGAGGGAGAGTTGTGTGTCCGTTCCCATACAATATTTCTGCAGCTGTAGGTACACCCCACCCCCCTCCAGTCTGCTTTTAGCTTCCCCACTTAGTGCACCTGAAGGGAAAGGAATGTGCTTATTAAGGCTCATTGTTTTCCTGGAACCCATTGTATGAAGGCAAAGTTTGGCAGTTACCCAAGAGACTTCCCCCACCCCCCCACCTCCCTCTATGCCAGAGCTGTCTTATCTGTATTTTACTCTCTTCTCTTTCTGGCTGCTCGCTGTTAGAAAAGAAGTGATTTCCTTGAAATGCATGAGGCTAGAAAGGGAACTGGAACTTAAAGTGGCGGTGTTTGTCTAAGATGACGGTGTTCCTGCCCTGTCAATATAGATTAGACATTCCCTCTGTCAAGCTACATTCAAATCCACATGACAATCAGAGATATCAGAACAGTGTTCTTGTGAATATTCTTATAACAAATTTACTGTACATGAATTTGACTTTCACATAAATAATTATAAATGCAGGCACCACTGAGAGTTGTTGTTCTTCATTCCTTGACATTTTTTTATGAGCATTCACATATCAAATGAAACACTCCTAATGCCCTTCCACGCCCCAAGGCATTCCAGTTCACCTGGCTGAAGTCAAATCCAGTAAATGAGGACTGTGAGCAGGTTGTTCACATCCCCAGGCCTCAGCTGCCTCATCTATAAATGAAGGCGTTAACCACAGGACTTTGGATCTCCCTATGAGGGCTCACCTTTAAGGATTCAAAATACAGTTCCAGGAATTAACAGAGAAAAAGTTCCTCTAGAAATTGAAAAAAAAAAAAAAAAAAGCTCAAGTACGTAAAAATGCTCAAAATCTTAATGAAGAAAGCATCAAGGCGTCCTTACAGAGCCACTCCCTTCAGGCAAGCCAGACATCCCCTCTGCCAAGAAGAGCCCAGTGATCCTGAGAACAGCTTCAGTTTCTGACACAGCCTCTCTCCTCATGCCTTGGGCCAGAGGAGCAAAGTGTAGTAGCAGTAACAAGGTGGGGACTGTCCACTGCAGTCTACTGCATCTGCCAGCCCTGAGGACATCCGGCCAAGAGAAAGGTGCTGGCCTGTAGATTGAGTCCTGATTCAAGCTTTGCCTGAAGCCAGTGTTATCCACTCCTGGGTTTCAATGTGAAAGAGGCAATAAATTCCCTTCTTTGCTTCAGTCAATTTGAATTGGGTGTTCTGTCAATGGCAACTGAAATGTTCCAACCCCAATATTGAATTTTTTTTTTAAACAAGGTCTCGCCCTGTTGCCCAAGCTGGAGTGCAGTTGTGTCATCTTGGCTCACCACAGCCTCTGCCTCCTGGATTCAAGAGATTCTCCTGTCTCAGCCTCCCGAGTAGCTGGGATTACAGGTGCTCGCCGCCACACCTGGCTAATTTTTGTGTTTTTAGTAATGATGAGGTTTTGCCGTATTGGCCAGGCTGGTCTCGAACTCCTGACCTCAAGTGATCTGCCTGCCTTGGCTTCCCAGAGTACTGGGATTACAGGCATGAGTCACCGCACCCAGTCCAAAATGGAATATGACATCAGGTTGTAAAGTTTCTGCTTGCAGAGCAGCTGAGTGTAAATGAGCCATCATCTTCCTACAGGGAAACCTGTCTCTAACCAAATAAAAACTTCCTATGTGAGCACCTTCCTTACACAAAAGCAGGAAATGGGCCTGGCATAGACCAAATTTTCACCTCACTAGATGTGCAAAAGAGAAGTCTTAGGAAGGGGGAGATCAGAGAGAGGGTGGGTGGACTGTGACCTCACTGTCCAATGTTTAAGGGCATGCAGAGGGGACACAGAATTATAACTAAGGGGTAGTTGTCTAGAGAGGCAATCTAAGCTCAATCTAGGCTAAGAACGTGGTTTTTGAACACCAAGGAACCTTAAAATGCACCTGGTCCCCAGGCCAGGCACAGTATTTCATGCCTGTAGTCCCAGAACTTTGAGAAGCTGAGGTGGGAGGATCGCTTGAGCCCAGGAGTTTGAGACCAGCTTAGGCAACATAGTGAAACCCCATCTCCACAAAAAAAATAAAAAGTTAGCTGTGCATGGACACACACCTGTAGTCTCAGCTACTTGGGAGGCTGAGGTGGGAGGATCGCTTGAACCTGGGAGGTCAAGGCTGCAGTGAACAGTGATCCCACCACTGCACTCCAGCCCAGGTGACGGAGTGACTCTGTCTCAAAGAAAAAGTACCTGCACAAACCAAAGCCAATTACTCTGTCTTCAGAATAGACATCCAAAACCAAGGCTACAATCCAAGTCTTCAATAATGAAAGTTTTCTGGCCAGGTGTGGTGGCTCGTGCCTATAATCCCAGTATTTTGGGGACAGAGGTGGGAGGATCACTTGGGCCTAGGAGTTTGAAACCAGCCTGTGCAACAAAGTGAGATCCCTCCATCTCTACAAAAAATAAAGAATAAAAAAAATCCGGGCACGGTGGTACACACCTGTGGTCCCAGCTACTTGGGAAGCTGAGGCGGGAGGACAGCTTGAGCCTGGGAGGTCGAGACTACAGTGAGCCGTGATTGCCCCCCTGCACTCCAGTCTGGGTGACAGAATGAGACTATCTCCAAAAAAAAGAAAGTTTTCTAACATTTAGACTTGCAAAAGAAAAAGAAAATCAGAATTGACTGTGTCAGAAAACACGGTGTTTCCTGTTTCTAGAATGACAGGTGGAGACCACCGATTCCTGTGCTGGGCAGGAGGCTGGAGGTTATAGCCAATGATTCGTTTGAGGTCTAAGAACCAACAAAAACTCTCTGCTATAATGAAAGTGCATCCAGGGGCACAGGGAATACTAGTTTTTTCCTTAGTGTGAAAGCAGGCTGGGGCATCTGTTTCTTTGTTCCCTGTTTGTCCACTCTTCGACTCACATCATCGTTGACAGCAGTGAGGATGGATAAGATGTCTTCATGTCTGCAACAAAGAAGAAAACAAAATTTTTTTTTACGGAGTCTCACTCTGTCGCCCAGGCTGGAGTGCAGTGGTGTGATCTCAGCTCACTGCAGCCTCCACCTCCTGGATTCAAGTGATTCTCATGCCTCAGCCTCCCGAGTAGCTGGGATTACAGGTGCCTGCCACCACAATTGGCTAATTAGTAAAGATGGGGTTTCACCATATTGCTTGCCCAGGCTGGTCTCGAACCCCTGACCTCAGGTGATCCACCCACCTCGGCCTCCCAAAGTGCTGGGATTACAGGCATGAGCCACTGTGCCTGGCCCAGAGAAGAAACTTTTTTCAGTCAGGAGGTAGAAACCACACACCAGGTCTTAGAAAAGACACCAGGTACCATGTACCAGGTCTTAGATCAACAAATATGCAGCAGATGCCACAGATACCAACAATGCCCTCTCTATCTGTAGTCTTGGGAGAGATACAAAGATAGACATGACACAATTCCTGAAGTTAACCACTTAGAATGCAGATATGAAACATTTACCGAGGATGGCATATACACAATATTCATAACACAAGGCAGAATGTGGTCAACACCAAATGAAAGGTCAAGGTTCCACTGCAAGTTCAGAGGAGAATGCATTTCTGGTTGGGAGGGAGAGAGAAGGCTTCATGCAGATGGTAGCATTTGAGCCTGGGCTTGCAGGACATATAGCATTTAGCAGAACGTTCTCAGGGTAGGCAATACATATCACTGGAAGCAAGCACAGGTTCTGAAAACACATTCAATTTTAAATTGTGGCTCCATCATTCATTCATTGTGTGCTCTTAGGCTGGTTACTCACTGCTCCATGCCTCGGTTTTCCCAGCTCTAAAATAGGAACCATAACAGTCCCCATCTTAGGGGTTGCCGAGAGCATTAAAGGATGTATATTGGGTCAAGCACTTAGAACACTGGCTACACTGTTCTGCTGACCATCATTTTTAGTATTAGTATGACTACTCTCATCCCCTCATCCTTAACTATCACTATTTTTCAGGGAAGGGATGCAGGCCCTTACCTGCTCTCAATCCCTGCATCTTGCTTTGCACCTGCTCTCTATTCCCAAATCTTCCTGTGTCTGTTTCCTTCTTATCATTTAGTCTCACCTGAAATATTACCTCCACCAAGAAACTACCATTATCCTGTTTTGATTTGTTCATGGCAGGGATCACTTCCTGAAATTGCCTCTTTTTGTTAGAGACAGGATCTCGCTCTGTTGCCCAGGCTAGAATGCGGTAATGCGATTGTAGTTCACTACAGCCTCAAACTTCTGGGCTTAAGCAATCCTCCCACTTCAGACTCCCTAATAGCTAGGACTACAGGTGCATGCCACCACACCTGGCTAATTTTTTCTTATTAATTTAAATATTATTTAAATTAATATTAAATAATAATTGAATAATAAAATTATTAAATAAATATTAAACAATTAAAATATCATTAACTTAAATATTAAACACTGAAAACTATAAAACATTGATGAAAGAAAGTGAAGAGGACACAAATAAATGGAAAGATATCTCGTGTTCATGGGTTAGAAGAATAATCTTGTTAAAATGACCATACTACCCAAGGTGACCTACAGATTTAATGCAGTCCCTATCAAAATACCAGTGACAAGCCAAGTGCAGTGGCAAATGCCTGTAGTCCTAGCTACTCAGGAGTCTGAGGTGGGAGGATTGCTTGAGCCCAGGAGTTCAAGTCTAGCCTGGACAACATAACAAGACCCCATCTCTAAAACAAAACAAAACAAAAACAAACAAAAAAATTACATTCTTCACATAAATAGGGAAAAAAACCCTAAAATGTATATGGAACCACAAAAGACCCCAAATAGTGAAAGCAATGCTGAGCAAAAAGAACAAAACTGGAGGCATCCCACCACCTGACTTCAAAATATACTACAAATCTAGAGTTACCAAAACAGCATGGTAGTGGTATAAAAACAGACACATAGATCAATAGAACAGAATATAGATCCCAGAAATAAATTCACACACCTACAGCCAACTGATTTTTGACAAAGGTGCCCAGAACACACAATAGGTAAAAGAGAATCTCTTCAAAAAACGGTGCTGGGAAAATTGAATATCCATACACAGAAAAATGAGACTAACCACTTACCTCTCACCATAAACAAAAACCAACTCAAAATGTGTAAGACTTAAATGTAAAACCTGAAACTATGAAGCTGCTGCAAGAAAACAGGGCAAACATATCATGACATTGGGTTGGGCAAGGATTTTTAAAACAAGACTTCAAAAGCACAGACAACAAAAGCAAAAATAGACAAATGAGTTTACATCAAATTAAAACCCTTTTGCACGGCAAAAAAAAAAAAAAAAAAAAAAAAACCGAGGGAAGAGACAACCTACAAAATAGGAAAAAAATTTGCAAATTATACATCTCACAAGGAGTTAATATTTAGAATACATAAGGAACTTAAATAACTCAACAGCAAAAAAACAAATAACCCCATTTAAAAATGGGCAAAAGACTTTAACAGACATTTCTCAAAAGAAGACATACAAATGGTCCACAGGTATAAGAAAAAAATAAGTAGTTTAAGGCAAAATAAATGATTTCATTAGATTATGATAGAACATACTTACCAAATGCCCTCTATTTACATAAGTATCATATTAGCATTTATCATATCACTTCTGGGGGTATTAGTCTATCAGTCCCACCTAATATCATCCCTCCTATGCCTAGAAGGAATAATATTATCATTATTCATAGTAAATACCCTTATAGCTTTAAATATACACTTCACCCTAGCAAATGTAATACCCATTACTCTACCAGTATTTGCTGCCTGCAAAGCCAGGGTAGGCCTTGCTTTGCTACTTTCAATTTCCAACATATATGGCTTAGACTACATACATAACCTAAATTTACTTCAATGCTAAAAATAACTATTCCTACAATTATACTACTACCAATAACATGACTCTCTAAAAATTATACAATTTGAATCAATATGGCTACCCACAGCCTAATCACCAGCTTCATTGCCCTATTATTCTTTAACTAATTCAACGACAATCTATTCAACTTCTCATTAACTTTCTCCTCTGATCCGCTAACATCACCCCTTCTAATCTTAACAGCCTGACTACTACCTCTTATAACTATAGCAAGCCAGTACCACCTCTCCAGTGAATCACCCCTATGGAAAAAACCCTGTATTTCCATATTAATTTCCCTACAAATTTTTCTAATCATAGCATTTACAGCCACAGAACTAATTATATTTTATATTCTCTTTGAAGCTACACTTATCCCTATCTTAATTATTATCACCCGATGGGGTAACCAACCAGAACGCCTCAATGCAGGTACATATCTCTTATTTTACACACTAGTGGGATCCCTCCCCCTACTTATTACACTTATTTATGCCCAAAATATCCTAGGCTCACTGAGCATGATAATAATAACATTTAATATCAAGAACTACCAATCTCCTGATCCAACAATCTCATGTGATTGGCATGTATAATGGCCTTCATAGTAAAAATACCCCTATACTGACTTCACCTATGACTTCCCAAAGCCCATGTATAAGCACCTAAGGCTGGCTCAATAGTACTTGCAGCAGTGCTCCTAAAATTGGGCGGCTACACAAAATGCGACTTACCCTCATCCTCAGCCCTCTGACAGAACATATAGCCTATCCTTTCCTGATATTATCCTTATGAGGCATATTATGACAAGCTCCATCTGTCTACGACAAACTGATCTAAAGTCACTTATTGCACATTCCTCCGTAAGCCACATGGTACTTGTTACTGTGGCTATCCTCATTCAAACCCCCTGAAGTTTTACCAGTGCAATTATCCTCATAATTCCCCATGGACTTACTTCGTCCCTACTATTCTGCCTAGCAAATTCAAACTACAAGTGAATCCACAGCTGAATCATATTACTCTCTCGAGGACGTCAAACATTACTTCCACTAGTAACCTTTTGATGACTTACAGCAAATCTCACCAACCTTGCCCTACCCCCCACTATTAATCTAGTAGGAGAACTCCTTGTAACAACGGCTTCATTCTCCTGATCAAACACTACCATCATGCTTATAGGACTTAATATATTAATCACAGCCCTTTATTCCCTCTATATACTTGTCACAACACAACAAGGAACACTAACATACTATATTAACAGCATTAAACCTTCCTTTACACGAGAAAACATACTAATACTCATACACCTTTCACCAATTCTCTTACTATCTCTAAATCCTAAAATTATTATAGGACTTATACCTTGTAAATATAGTTTAATCAAAATGTTAGATTGTGGTCTAATAATAGAAGTCCGCAACTTCTTATTTACCGATAAAGTTTGCAAGAACTGCTAACTCATGCCTCCATGCCTAACAACATAGTTTTCTCAACTTTTAGAGGATGAGAGTTATCCATTGGTCTTAGGAACCAAAAATATTGGTGCAACTCCAAATAAAAGTAATAATCATGTATTTTTCCATTACTATAATAACCTTAATCTCCTTAACCTTACCAATTATTATTACCTTTATCAACCCTCACAAAAAGAACTCATATCCATACTATGTAAAAATAGCTGTCGCATGCACTTTCACCATTAGCCTCATT
The DNA here is from genome assembly GCF_000001405.40 of Homo sapiens. Classification (NCBI taxonomy): domain Eukaryota; kingdom Metazoa; phylum Chordata; class Mammalia; order Primates; family Hominidae; genus Homo; species Homo sapiens. The sequence goes on along the minus strand of NC_000002.12, from coordinate 201,212,940 downwards.
CCCACAACATTTATGTGTACAGACCAAGAAACCATCATCTCAAACTGATATTGAATAACAATCCAAACCCTAAAACTCTCATTAAGCTTCAAACTAGACTAATTCTCCATAATGTTTATTCTAGTAGCACTATTTATCACTTGATCTATTATAGAATTCTCAATATGATATATGAAGGCAGATCTGAACATTAATCAGTTTTTCAAATACCTACTTATTTTCCTCACCACAATATTAATTCTAGTTACTGCCAACAACATTTTCCAACTCTTTATCAGATGAGAGGGTGTAGGAATTATATCTTTTCTACTAATTGGCTGATGACATGGCCAAGCAGATGCTAACACAGCAGCCCTCCAAGCAATTCTATACAATCGCATTGGTGACATTGGCTTTATTTTAGCTATAGCATGATTCCTCTCATCATCCAATACATGAGAGCCTCAACAAATACTTATCCTTAACCCTACCCCCAACCTTCTTCCATTAATTGGTTTTCTCTTAGCAGCAGCAGGAAAATCAGCCCAACTTGGCCTCCACCCCTGACTTCCTTCCGCCTTGGAAGGCCCAACCCCAGTCTCAGCCCTACTTCACTCTAGCACTATAGTTGTGGTGGGAGTTTTCCTACTTACCCGCTTCCACCCCTCAACATCACTAATCATCACGGAAATGCAAATCAAAACCACAGTGACAGCTGGGCGCCGTGGCTCACGCCTGTAATACCAGCACTTTGGGAGGCTGAGGTGGGTGGATCACTTGAGATCAGGAGTTCCAGACCAGCCTGGCCAACGTGGTAAAACCCTGTCTCTACTAAAAATACAAAAATTAGCCAGGCGTGGTGGCACATGCCTGTGATCCCAGCTACTCGGGAGACTGAGGCAGAAGAATTGCTTGAACCTAGGAGGCAGAGGCTGCAGTGAGCTGAGATTGCGCCACTGCACTCCAGCCTGACAGAGCAAGATGTTGTCTAAAAAAAAATAAAAATAAAAATAAAAAACCCACAGTGAGATGCTACTTCACTCAAGTTAGAATGGCTATTATCGAGGAAACAAAAGAAAACACATATTGGCAAAGATCTGGAGAAAAGGGAACACTTACACACTGTTGGTGGTATTGAAAATTAGTACAGCCATTATGGAAAATAGTATGCCAGTTCCTCATAAAATGAAAAATAAAAATACTATATGATCCAGCAATCCCCATACTAAGTATATAAACAAAGAAAATGCAATCAATATGTCAGAGAGATATCTGCACTCCCAGTTTACTGCAGCATTATTTACAATAGCCAAGATATGGAATCAACCTAAGGGTCCAAAAATGGATATATGGATAAAGAAAATGTGATATTTATACGTGACAGAATACCATTCAGCCATAAAAAAAGAAAATCCTGACATGTCTGACAACATGAATGAGCCCAGAGTGAAATAAGCAAGACACAGAAAAAATCTGCTTGTTCTCACTCATGTGGAATCTTTGTTTAAAAAGTTGATGTCATAGAAGCAGTGATTAGAACAGCAATTACAAAGATGAGAGAGAGAAGGAGGGAAGGGAAGATGAGAGGTTAGTCAATGGGTACAAAGTTACAATTAGATAGGAGAAATAACCTCTGGTGTTCTGCTGCACAGTGGGGTGACTATGGTTAACAGTAAGGCATTCTGAGCTGGGCACTGTGGTTTGAGCATATAATCCTAGCTACTTACAAGGCTAAGGCAGGAAGATTGCTTGAGCCTAGGAGTTCAAGGCCAGCCTCGGCAACATGGTGAGATCCCATATTTAAATCAATCGATCAATCAGTAAGGTGTTGTATATTACAAAATAGCTACAAGAGAGGCTTTTAGAGGTTCTCACCACAAAGAAATGATAAATGCATGAGGTGATGGATACACTAACTACCCTGATTTGATCATTATACAACACATATATGTATTGAAACATCAAATTATAACCCTGAAATATGTAGTTATGAAGTATCAATTAAAAATAACAGAAATTTCTGGAGTACCAAAAAAAACCACACATTGCTTAATCATGCATGTATACTGTCTCCTTTTAATATTGTTGAATTTTTAAAATAATAATAATTTAAATATTCACTTATATTTTTATTATCTGTCCTTCCTTCACTGGACTTTTAGCTCCCTGGAGAGCAGATTTTGTCTCTCTTGTACACAGTTGCACCCCCTGTCCCCAGTTCGGTACCCAGTACAGTAAGCACATAGTACGCTCTCAATAAATATTGCCTTGTTCCTGAAGCCATAGACATTAGCCTCTGATGTCTGTGATGAGAATGGAGGGGCTGGTAAAGAAGAGAGAAAAGCAAAGTTGACTCAAGGTTCCAATCCTGAATTCCCAGAAGAGCACTATGGCCATTCCTTCAAATGGAAATTCAGGAGTAGGAGCTCCTGGAGAGAGCTGGGAAGATGAGCTCAGAAACATGCATGCTGAATGTGAGGTCCAAGGGCTAAACAGAGGTAGGATATCTAGCGGGATGTTAATGAGACAGGCTCAAGCAAGTCATTCATTGGCCCAGCAAATGTTTAACAAGCTCACAATATATCAGGTCAGGGGCTGAGGATATAAAGTTGAATGAAACAGGGTCTCTGCCCCCAGGAATTCAGAGATGAGTGGGCCAGAGATGGCAACTTTGGAGACGTTTTCATGGAGGAGCCCATGGCCTCTAGGTATGGCTAAAGGTGCCAAGAGGACAGCATGTGGCAGAGACAGAAGGGAAGCTGTCAGAGCAGTGGCAAATAGAAGTCCAAAGATAGCACATAGGTGCTCAGGACGTAAGAGTGAGTGATAAATAAACGAACAAATAAAAGGCCCCCATGCTTTTGTTCATGCTATTCCCTCTGCCCAGCACATCTTTCACCTGATTCTTTACCTAACATCTATTTGTCATTTCTAGAAGCCTCCTCTGATCCTTCAAATCTGGGCAAGGTACTCATTCTGCATGTTCCCATAACACCTATACTTCACAATGTGCACTTACCAGCTGGGGATGCCCTTCCCCGTCTATTTGTTTGTCTATCCCTCTAGCTTGTAAGCAACCTGAGGGCAAGGACTCTGTCTTTTTTTAACTCTGTATCTTCCTTTCCAGGTCCAGGCTGGTACTCAATACAAGGTTGCTGGATGGATGGATGGATGGACAGATGGATGGATGGATAGATGAATGGGTGGATAGATGGATGGATAGATGAATGGGTGGATAGATGGATAAATAGATAAACAGGAGGGTAGGCAGATGGTTGAACAGGTACATGGATAGAACAACGTAGAACTCTCACCCTTACCAAAGGTGTTGAATGAGAGTAAAATAAAAAATAAATAAAACTAATTAATTACAAATGGAAGAAAAAAAAGAGCTCTCACCTTGGGACCAATTTCTTCAGATGATTACACAGAGACTGAATATACCAGCTGCCTTCCTCCACATGCCGAAAGGATACATAGCCTGGGACAGTGGCCAGACCAAGTAGGAAGTCAGCCTCGGCAGGAATACTGTCCTGCAGGGAAGTGGGTGCCTGCTCAGGGTTCAGAGCATCTGCTTCGATGGATACGGAAGGCTGTATCTCTTCACCTTGGCAGGCCTGGATGAAAAAGAGTTTAGGTTTTTCAGCCAGTCTAGGGCACTGCAGGGCTGTGAAGTGAGACATGATCTCCCGAATGGGAATGAGGGCCTCATCCGAAGAGTAGACAGCTCCAAATCTCCCATGGGTCAGAATACAGAACACGAAGCAGTCCCCGTCGGCATGGGCTGGATTGCACTTCTGCTTCTGCAGGACCATCTCCATTTCCACTTTCGTCACATTATTGTGTATATGCACTGTGAACCCAAGCCACTGGAACACATGACTCAGGATCTCTGTTTAAAAACAAAAAAAAAAAAAAAAGAGAGAGAGAGAGAGAAAGGGGAAATAATAAAATGATGCAAAACAAAATGAAGAACTGAAACAAGGCCGGGCACAGTGGCTCACACCTATAATCTCAGCACTTTGGAAGGCCGAAGCAGGCGGATCACTTGAGGTCAGGAGTTTGAGAACAGTCTGGCCAGATGGCAAAACCCCATCTCTACTGAAAATACAAAAAATAGCCAGGTGTGGTGGCTCACGCCTGTAATCCCTGCTACTCGGGAGGCTGAGGCACGAGAATGGCTTGAGCCTGGGAGGCAGAGGTTGCAGTGAGCTGGGACTGCACCACTGCACTCCAGCCTGGGCAACAGAGCAAGACTCTGTCTCAAAGAAAAAAAAAACTGAAACAATGCTAATAGTTACAAAATTTGCACAGCAAATAGCCTAAAGCTTTGGATTATTTTTATTTTCATAACCATAAAATCTTACAATGAATCTCCTATCACGTAATACCCAGTGTTGTCACAACAGTCCTGAGAATCGGCAGTGGCCAGTGTTTCATCCTGTTTCACAGTTGAAGAAGCCAAGGTCTCTTGACTCTCCCATGATCACACACCTAGTTAGTGGTGGAGCTGGAGCTCACGCCCAAGTTGTCTCGTGCCAATCCAGCAGGCTCTCCCCCAGTACATGCTCTCCTCTATTCAGAATTGTGAATAGTCAAAGATTCTTGCCACTCTTTAGCAGACTGATGACTCCCCAGGGATATATAAGAGGCTCAGAAACATGATATCATCCTTACACGTATATGGAAGATAAAAGTCACAGAAAGAAAATGTGAAAATAAAAAATAATTTTAAGATCCCCAATTTGCATTTGATAAACTGTTCCAGACTTTCTTACCAGCATCTTTATGGGTTCCTTGTCTGTCCTTCAGGGAGGTAAAGCTGTGGTTGTTGACAATGACACAGAGGCCTCTGTGGTTCCGATTCATCCTGTACACAGCTGCCCTCTTGAAGAATAGATAGAGCCACTTAGTAGGAATCCTTATCTTAGGGCCTTAAATGTTTCTAACCAACCACTCCAATGGATCCACTGTGAGGAAGAGCAGGATGTATCTCCCCATGCCAGTTGTTTAAACCATGTTTTTGTTGTTGTTGTTATTTTGTTGTTGCTGTTGTTGTTGTTTTGAGATGGAGTCTCACTCTTGTTGCCCAGGCTGGAGTGAGTGACGCGATCTCGGCTCACTGCAACCTCTGCCTCCCGGATTCAAGGGATCCACCTGCCTCAGGTGCCCACCAACACCCCCAGATAATTTTTTTTTTTTTTTGAGACAGCATCTCGCTCTGTCACCCAGGCTGGAGTGCAATGGCGTGATCTCAGCTCACTGCAACCTCCACCTCCTGGGTTCAAGCGAGTCTTCTGCCTCAGCCTCCCGAGTAGCTGGGACTACAGGCGCCCGCCACCATGCCCAGGTAATTTTTGTATTTTTAGTAGAGACGGGGTTTCACTATGTTGGCCAGGATGGTCTTGATCTCTTGACCTTGTGATCCGCCCACCTCGTCCTCCCAAAGTGCTGGGATTACAGGCATGAGCCACCGCGCCCAGCCGATAATTTTTGTATTTTTGGTTGAGGTAGAGTTTCACCATGTTGGCCAGGCTGGTCTTGAACTCCTGACCTCAAGTGATTCGCCCACCTCAGCCTCCCAAAGTGCTAGGATTACAGGCATGAGCCACCATGCCTGTCCAAAACCATGTTTTTATACTCTAGTCTAAACCCCTTGGGGTATTTATGCCACATTATTTCTGAAGTCACATATTGAAAAACTGGGGATTCTGACTACTCTGCAACTCACTTTTACTGCACAATTGTGATCTGAATAAAATTTCAAAGATTCTTTTTTAAGTCCTAGAGCCCAGGACAAAGGATAAATCTCATTTGCACTAAAGATTAGACAGTTCCTTTCTTTCAGGATGCCACTCCCAGTATCAGAGGCAGAGAGTTCTCAAGATCCTGGCCCTAGTGTGGAATTAGCTAATTAATTCCAAGGTGAAATGCCAGATCCTGATTAAAATTCAGACTTCACCTGGTTTGGCTGGAGAAGCTCAATCATGACAGTTAAGAAAATGGAATATATATTTTAATATTGTCAAACCCAGGGTTTATGCAAAAGCATCTTCACTTTCATATTAGCAACATGAATGAAGAAAGCATACACAAGGATTTCATGAGACAACATAAATATCAAAGATTTTTTTCAGATGGTTCATTTCTGGAGTGATCTAATGCCTTCAAAAAAGGGAAATCTTTTGTAATTTTATTTCTGAATATAAAAATAATATACAAGCTGGCATGGTGGTACTTGGGTGGCTGAGGCAGGAGAATTCCTTGAGCCTGAGAGTTCAGGACAAGCCTGGGCAACACAGTGAGACCGCCATCTTTATATATATGTGAATATATATATGAGTGTGTGTATATATATATATACACTTAATATATAAGTATATATATATAAAGTATACTTATAAATAAAGTATATATATACACATATATATTCATATATATATAAAGATGGCTGATATATATTCATATGTATATAAAGATGGCTGTATATTCAATTTTTAAAATTCAATATATATATATATTCACAGTAGGAATTTAAAAACATGTGCAATTATTTTTTAAGGCTATTGTAAACAGCATGTGATTGCAAATTAGCTGAGCTGGCTTTAGCAGAGCCTCTGGGCAGCTAAAATCATCCTTGAAATCGTGGTACATCTTTATCCAAGCAGAAAACAAGTGGCTTCAATGGATAAGAAAAGAAACTACCCCTCTCCAGAAATAACCCAAAGGGTATGCATGACTCAAAGTGTAACAGCATTTCCTCCACAGTCAAAGGGATCAGTCACTTCTGATTGATACAGAAAAAGGTGGGAAGAACAGAGATAATTACAGAGAGAGGGAGAAACAAGTCTGAAACAAACAGCTCGGAGCCCTTAAAATCATCGAAGGCTGGACCCTAGGGAGAGAGCCCCTAAAGAAACCGTCCTTTTGATTAAATTTGGAAAAAAAATTTTTTTATTAAAAAAGGAATAAAAGAAACCATCCAGACCTTTGTGCTGGTTTCAGAGTTTAGAGTGTTAGCAGATGCTCCTTGCATCCCCCTGGAGACCAGGCTTGGTGCACCATTTGTGGCTCTGTTACCTAGAAAGAGAGGTACTCAGACTCCAAATATCTTCCCCAAGCACTTAGATTTCTTCACTGATAATTTTCGCATCTAATTCTGGAGAATTATGCTTCTCTCAAGGCCCTCCTGAGACAAATTCAGCCACCATGCCCTTCCTGATGGGAGAGACTGATGTGTCTTCGCATTCTTTTTTGCTTTGTCTGGGTTGGAAACTATGCTGCTGGCAGGGATTGGGTGGGGAATTAATTAAGATCCCATGGATCAGCTCAAGGCTTCCAGCTCAAGTATGGTTGGATTGAGTCAGCATTTATGTCACTGGATATAAAGAGGCTAGGTGGACCTCTTCCCTAGAGAAGGAAAAAGAGGGAGGCTGGGCGTGGTGGCTCATGCCTGTAATCCCAGCACTTTGGGAGGCCAAGACGGGCTGATCGCTTGAGCCCAGGAGTTCAAGACCAGCCTGGACAACTTAGTGAGACCCCATCTCTAGAAAAAAAAAATACAAAAAATTAGCTGGGCATGGTGACACATTGCCTGTAGTCCCAGCTTCCTGGGACGTTGAGGTGGGAGGATCACCTGAGTCCGAGGGGTCAAGGCTGCAGTGAGCTGTGATTACACCACTGCACTCCAGCCTAGGCAACAGAGTGAGGCCCTGTCTCAAAAAAAAAAAAAAGAAAAGAAAAGAAAAGAAAAAAGAGGGGAAAAAGAAAGTTCCAGTTGGGCATCGACTGAGGATCACACTGCTTTGAAGTGTTCCTGCCAACTCCCTGATTCCTCTGGAAAAGACTCTATCACAGAGAGAAAGTCAGCAATGCATTATTTGTCACATGGCACTAACAGGAAAATGTAACATCAAACAGTTTTCTTTTTCCACTCACAGGAAGTTTGTAGTAGAACCCACCAAACTCTGTCCTTGTCTCTGGGGCATGAGTTAGTTATTAACTACTGCTAAGGGTCAGTCCTCAGGCTGAGCAAGTCCATATTCCCCAGACCAGAAAATACAGCAAAAGGGATCCACGCTTCAGTGGCTCAGAGCACCTATAAATTCCTCCTCACCATGAGAGAAGGTAATGCTCCACGGGAAGTCACGTCTAAATGTTGGAACCGCAGAATTGTAAAGCTGAAAGAAACTGCTTTATTCTTCAGAGGGGTGAAGCAGTCACCTGAGCTCACATAAATAGACACTGGGATAGCCTGGCCTTAGGAGAGTAAGCTCTGGAATCAGACAGCTGGGTTCAAATCCCAGCTTCACTTCTTTTTAGCTGCGGTGCCTTTTAGCTGCAGTGCAAAGCACTAGATTTCATGGGTCTCAGTTTCCTCATCATTAGTGAGAATAACAGTATTACCTACCTCCAGTGAATGGAGGAATAAATGATATAATCCCTGAAATCTCTCTGAACAGTGCCTAGTATGTGACAAGTGCTTAATAATGGTGACCTGGTCAATGTCACCAACATCATAGCACACAACCTCCGTGTTAGGCAAAAAGACAAATTGCTAGCAAAGCTGTGTGTCTTGGACTCTGAAGGATAATTTTCCAGAAAAAAAAATGAGGAATGGTCTGTGACAAACTTTACATACCACAGAAAGACTTCGCCAAAGCCTGTTTGTTCATAAGCAGTTTAACCTGATGGCAGATTCTGGAATATTTTCCTAAGGTTATGGTTTCTGGGCAGGGATTCAGGGAACTAAACACACCATCCTCAAGTCCCTCCTCTTGCTTCTTCTCTCCCTCTGAAGCAACATCTGGAACCACTCCATAGAGGACACGCACCCAGACTGCACATTCTGCTGTCACTACTGGCCTGAAGGCTTCAGCCCTGCGGGGGCTGTTTCTGCTGCACAGAGGGTGGCCTAATTCTGAAGGGTGGAGGAAGAACAGCCGCCTGCAGTCCCTAGAATCTGCTATACTAGGCATTCAGAGCAGAAACCACCCAGCCCTCTCCATACTGCCATAGAAAAGCCTAGTACAATCCATGCATTCAATGTCTTGCCTTGAATTGGAATAAAAAATGAATTATTCATTATTTATAAAGCTTCTCTTCCAAGTCACCTTGAATTCCTTGGTATATATCAAATATGTCTATCCCTACCATACCGATCTAAGTTGTAAAAAGTACATTAGAAATACCTACCATTACTACCTGCATGCTTATTTTGCCAGGACTCCTGCTGAGAAAAAAGAAAGGAGGGCATGAAACATAGGAATTTCACACAGTTAGGATGAGGAACAAAAACTAGACTTGATGCAGGGAAGGACAGATATCTAATCCACAGCCACAGAAAAGGTCATTGGGCCGGTTGCGGTGGCTCATGCCTGTAATCCCAGCACTTTGGGAGGCCAAGGCAGGTGGATCACCTGAGGTCAGGAGTTCGAGACCAGCCTGACTAACATGGTGAAACCCCACCTCTACTAAAAATAAAAAAATTAGCCGGGTGTGGTAGCGCATGCCAGTAATCCCAGCTACTCAGGAGGCTGAGGCAGGAGAATCACTTGAACCTGGGAGGCAGAGGTTGCAGTGGGCCGAGATTGCGCAACTGCACTCCAGCCTGGGTGACAGAGCAAGACTCTGTCTCAAAAAAAAAAAAAAAAGAAAGTTCATTGGCAGGAAATGGGAAGAGAACCAACTCTCTCCATCCAAAGGAGAAGGTTCACAAAGACGCACTGGCAAAAATACAGTGTGACATATGCTCAAGGGTACTTACTCATTGCAGCATTATTTACACTAAGGACTGGAAATAGCCTAATGTCCACCAATAGGAAGTGATTGAAAAAGCTGTGGTATGTCCACATAGTGGAGTAAGATGCCAAGGACAGCCTCTATACCCTTCTCCAGGGGATGCTGTCATATGGAGAAAGCAAAATGAAATGGTATTTGAGTGCACTACCTCTTTTGTAATAAAGGGAAGATATACGTTGGATTTTTTTCAAAAGTAATAAGATAAATCAAAAAACAAATAAAAATGGCAATCGAGGTGGGGAGGAGAGGCAAGGATGCACTACCTTGGGCATACATTAATGTTTTATATAATTAAATACAAAATTAAAACAAAGTCTAAGACCCTGTCTTTTCTGTACCCTCCTCCCCATTCACCATCACCCCCTTCCCCCTATGACTCTCAGCCGTCAGCCTTCAGCAGAAAGCCCCCAAGGGGACCTGACCAAGGTGTTGGGGAAGAGCTGTTCCCCCAGCTCTGCAGGAACAAATGCAAAGGAGGCTTAGCTTCACTTTCCAAAAGGCTTCCTGCCTTTCTTTTCATAAGCCACTGTTCCCTTCCTGTAGAATCCTAGATTTCTTCTAAGAGGCAGACAAGGGCCTGGCCAGACTGCCTTCTGGTTTTGTCCAGCAGTTGAGTGAGTCTTCTGGGATTAGGGGCAATGCAGACACAGCAGCAGGCTCTGCCCAGCCCCTCCAGGCCCTGGCTTTCCTTGATTTGTTCTTCCCTTGGCTGATAAAGTCAGCCAGAACAGGGACTAGAAAAAAGCTTTAAGGTCTAATCTGCCTTTCTTCTCCCGAGAATGTTGCATCCTCTGTTGACACCTCTCAAGTCTCTATGTCAGAGAGGAATGAATGAATGAATGAGTGAATGTCCCACAGCCTGGCCACACTGAATCATCTTTCAACTTCTTTTGATAGTTTTCAAGAGGGGTCCAATAAGGCCTTATAAAGAAGCAGGTGTTAGGTCTCCTCCATAGAGAGACATGCCTCTCCTTAAGAAAACCTTATGCCACACTCAAAAAAATCGATTTGGCCGGGTACGGTGGCTCACGCCTGTAATCCCAGCACTTTGGGAGCTGAAGCAGGTGGATCACCTGAGGTCAGGAGTTCGAGACCAGCCTGGCCAACATGGCGAAACCCCATCTCTACTAAAAATACAAAAAATTTGCTGGGTGCGGTGGCACGTGCCTGTAATCCCAGCTACTCAGGAGGCTGAGGCAGGAAAATCACTTGAACCTGGGAGGCTGAAGTTGCAGGGGGCTGAGAAAAAAATAAATTTAATTTTTAAACATATTAGGAGATGTTGCTTAAAATTCGATGAGAGTTCCTTCTCATTGAGCCCAATTATTGGCAGTGTTCTTTTAAATTTAAAAAAAAAATCCTCAGGTGCTTAAGAAACATGAGATGTTTCACCAAGTTTTATTTTATTCATCATTTGATGGAGAGGGAAAGGGCTGCCCAGATAACTTTTAAGACACCTTCCAACCTTAAAAGTCTGTGAAAACACGTGAGATGCTGTGCCCCAGTCCCCTTTGCACTTCTAGTACTGCCACGACTATCCCCCTACTGCATGTGCCGTGGCCAAGTTATCATCCCACGTCAGCGGAACCACAGCGCTTCAGAGGCCACAGCTGAGCCATGCCCCTTTAGAAACCACTGAATTTCTCAAAGACAACGAGCAGAATCGTGTGTGTGTGTGTGTGTGTGTTTCTACATGCATGTCAGTATCTGAGCACAAAACAAGTTGAAAAAGTGGGTGGGAAGAGTTACATTTAGCAGACAATTTAACTTAGAATTAGGGAATCCTAAAATGTCAGTGCTGGAAAACCACATTTTAAAGAGCTTCTGGGATGGCCATGCACAATAGCTCATGCCTGTAATCCCAGCACTTTGGGAGACTCAGGAGGGTGGATCACCTTAAGTCAACATGGTGAAATCCTGTATCTACTAAAAATACAAAAAAAATTAGCCAGGCATGGTGGCGGGTGCCTGTAATCCCAGCTACTAGGGAAGCTGAGGCATGAGAATCATTTGAACCCGGGAGGCTGAGGTTGCATTGAGCTGAGATTGCACTCCAGCCTGGGTGACAGAGCGAGACTCCATCTCAAAAAAATAAATAAATAAAATAAAATAATAAAGAGCTTCTGGGGGAGCGGGGAGGTGGGAATGGATTTGCAACTCTCTAAACAAAGCTGTGCCCATGGCCAGGGAGTTGGCCCATAAATGTTGCTTTAATTGGATTATAGTAAAAGAATCAAGGGGAGCAGCCTCTCTCCCTCAATACCTCAATCAGATATCTAGGCGCTTTTCTAGGATTGGAATTAATTGAATCAAGGGCTATTTTCCTAGAGAAAAGAAGCCAATTTAAGATTTTATAAATAATTGCAATTCTGTGTTATTTCCCATTGGGGGAGATGGGGAATTCAAATGAATAAACTCACAGCAAGCAGGCGGAGGTGTTACCATTTCTTTTAATTAAGGATGTACTTAATCTCTTAAGATCACTTACAAAGTGGCCTCCCAAAGCTGAGATTCCCTCAAATGCCTAAATACCTCCACCTGCCGAATGAGGTTCAGGGCAGAGCCGAAGAGCAGGCCTCTCCCGGCTCTGTGTCATGTCCTGATTGCCTGCATAGTCTTCAGGTGGGCGTTTGCCCAGCCTTTGCCAAGCTCCAGGAGCTACAGGTCATCTGGCGAGTTTCCACGGTCTCCTTCATTTAAAAAAACAAAAACACCTTCCTGGGGAGAAAGGAGGGTCCTTCTTTACAGTAGAATGCTGAGAGCCAACTTACGAATGTGGAGAGAATACTGGAGTCAGAAAAGCATTGTTTTACAACCAACATAGTAAATGCTGGATCACACAAGAATCATCAGCAGACGCTCAATCTAGGGGGAAACTTTTCATGTGCAGCAGGATATTTACAGAATCTTAAAATGTCTCTCCAGCACTTGCTTATTAATTGCGTGGGGAAAAAATAGTAACTATATAAAATTAACTGCAGAGTGATAATATCAGAAAATATCTTGACCAAATAATCAAAATTAGCATCACGAATAGGGGGGCAGATGGACATGACGTATTTCCAGATGGGATGCCCTGAGAAAGACACATCACTTCTGTGATATTCTGGCCAGAACGTACAGCTTGAATCTAATTATGAGGAAATACCACATGTACCAAAGATAAGGAAAATTCTATTTAATGAAAGGTGGGAGGAGTGACTGCATTCTTCAAAAGTCTCAATGGCATAAAAGAGGAAATTAAATGTCATAAAAGTTGTGGAAATGTTCAAGATTAAAGGAGACTATGCCAAGCATGGTGGCTCACGCCTGTAATCCCAGCACTTTGGGAGGCTGGGGCAGGCAGATAACTTAGGTCAGGAGTACGAGACCAGCCTGGCCAACATGGTGAAATGCCATCTCTACTAAAAATACAAAAATTAGCCGAATGTGGTGGTGCATGCCTGTAATCTCAGATACTTGGGAGGCTGAGGCACAAGAATTGCTTTAACCTGGGAGGTGGAGGTTATAGTGAGCCGAGATCATGCCACTGTACTTCAGCCTGGGTGACAGGGTGAGACTCAGTTTCAAAAAAAAAAAAAAAAAAAAAAAGATTAAAGGAGACTAAAGGATCATGACAACTAAATACAATATTGTATTGTATTATATTGTATTTTTAATTTTTATTATTTTCTTTTAGAGAGGGTCTCACTATGTTGCCCAGGCTCACCTTGAACTCCTGGCCTCAAGTGGTCCTCCCACCTCGGCCTCCCAAAGTGCTGGGATTACAGGTGTGAGCCAACATACCCAGCCTTGTGTTGCATTTATATAGGATCCTATGTGGAATTTTGTACTAGATGGTTTAAAAACTGTCAAGGACATTATTGGGTTCAACAGACAAAATTGGAATATGGACCATTGATTTGATAAAAGTATTATATTAACATAACTTTACTGGCATTGATAATTGTGTTATAGTTCTGTAAAAGAATATCCTTATTATTAGGAAATACACACGAAAATATTTAGGAGTAAAAGGCCATGATGTATGCAACTTACTCTCAAAAAGTTCAGAAAAAAATTATGTGTGTGTGGAGAGAAAGGGAGAAAGAGAGCAAGTGTGAGTAAATGCACAAAAATAATAAAGCAAATGGGGTAAAACATCAACAACAGGTAGGTAAATCTAGGAAAACAGTACATAGGTATTCTTTATATTATTCACATTCTTGCAACTTTTCTATAAAATTGAAATTATTTTTAAATCTAAAAATTGTAACTGTAAAAATATCAGACCATGACAATAGTAAAGAAGCCATAAAAGAATTTTTAAGAATAAAATATAGGCCGGGCGCGGTGGCTCACGCCTGTAATCCCAGCACTTTGGGAGGCTGAGGCGGGTGGATCACGAGGTCAGGAGATTGAGACCATCCTGGCTAACACGGTGAAACCCCGTCTCTACTAAAAATACAAAAAATTAGCCAGGCGTGGTGGCGGGCGCCTGTGGTCCCAGCTACTTGGAAGGATGAGGCAGGAGAATGGTGTGAACACGGGAGGCGGAGCTTGCAGTGAGCTGAGATTGAGCCACTGCACTCCAGCCTGGGAGACAGAGCAAGACTCAGTCTCAAAAAAAAAAAAAAAAAAAGAATTAAAAAATAAAGGCCGGGTACGGTGGCTCACACCTATAATCCCAGCACTTTGGGAGGCCAAGGTAGGCAGATCACTTGAGGTCAGGAGTTCGAGATCAGCCTGGCCAACATAGTGAAACCCTGTCTCTATTAAAAAATACAAAAATTAGCCAGGTGTGTTGATGCGCGCCTGTAATCCCAGCTACTTGGGAGGCTGAGGCAGGAGAATCGCTTGAACCTGGGAGTTAGAGGTTGCAGTGAGCCATGACCCTGCCACTGCACTCCAGCCTGGGCGACAGAGTGAGACTCCGTCTCAAAAAAAAAAAAAAAAGAATTAAAAATAAAACTTCTACAAACAACCGAATTAGAAAATGAACAAAGGACTTGGACAGACATTTCTCTAAAGAAGATATACAAATCGCCAAAAGCACATGAGAAGATGCTCGACAGCCCTAGTCATTAAGGAAAGCAAATCAAAACCACAGGGAAATAGGACCTCACTTCCATTAGGATGCCTACTATCAAAAATGAAAGAGAATAATACGTCTTGGTGAGGAAGTGTTGCTGAGGATGTGTGCACAGCTGGTGGAAATGTAAAATGGTATAGTCACTGTGGAAAATAGAATGAAGGTTCCTCAAAAAATTGAAAATAGAATGACTATATAATCCACCATTTCCACTTATGGATACAAACCCAAAAGAATTGAAAGCAGCATTTCAAAGAGATATTTTTACACCAACATTCACAGCAGCGTTATTAAAAATAGTCAAAAGGTGGCAGCAGCCCAAGAGTCCATCAATGGATGAGTGGACAACAAAATGTAATACAGTGAGTCCTCACTCAGAGTCATCAGTAGGTTCTTGGTAACTCCGCCTTTAAGTGAAACAACGAACTGTATGCTATAGAAACTTAACTCTTAGGGCTTTTTGTTATCGTTTTTTGAGACAGGGTCTCACTCTGTTGCCCAAGCTGGAGTGCAGTGATGCAATCTCAGCTCACTGCAACCTCCACCTCCCAGGTTCAAGCTATTCTTGTGCCTCAGCCTCCCGAGTAGCTGGGATTATAGGCATGCACCACCACGCCCAGCTAATTTTGGTATTTTTAGTAGAGATGGGGTTTCGCTATGTTGGCCAGGCTGGTCTCGAACTCCTGGCCTCAAGTAAGCCGCCTGCCTTGGCCTCTCAAAGTGCTGGGATTGGAGGTGTGGGCCACCATGCCTGGCCAACTCTTGTTTATATCAATGAGCCTATGGTAAAATTGGTTTCATTATATGGTATGTGGCTGGGCGTGGTGGTACATGGCTGTAATCTCAGCACTTTGGGAGGATAAGGCGGGAGGATTGCTTGAGCCCAAGAATTTGAGACCAGCCTGGGCAACATAGCAAAACCTTATCTCTATAAAAAAAAATTTTAAATAAAAATAAATACATTATACAGTATGCTGTCACTTAAATTCAGTTTCCAAAAATCTATCAACCTTTTAAGTGAGGACTTACTGTATATACACACAGTGGAATATTATTCAGCCTTTAAAAAGGAAGGAAATTCTGAGATATGCTACAACTTGGATGAACCCTGAAGACTTTACACTAAGTGAAATAAGCTAGTCACAAACGAACAAATATTGTATGGTTCTACTTATATGAGGTACCCTGAAAAGTCAAATTTATAGAGAGAGAAAGTAGAATGGTGGTTTCCAGGGGTTGGAGGGAAGGAGAAAATGAGAAGTTATTGTTTAATGGGTACAAAGTTTTACTAAAAGAAGATGAAAAAGTTCTGGAGATGGATGGTGGTAATGTCTGCACAACAATGTGAAGGTATTTAACATTACTGAACTGTATACTTAAAATTGATTAAGATGGTAAATTTTGTTATGTGTATTTTATCACAGTTGAAAACAAAAACAAAACATTTCCCAGACCAAGCTAACTTCATTGATGCTGACAGATGTTGGCAAAGAAATTACCCAAGTCTGCTGGAAGAACCACAAATCCCAGGGAAGACTGTCACATATCTCCCAAGGATCATGATCACATGGTGAGGAACAGACTGCAAATTCTCCCAACGTTTCCCCTTCCACCCATCCTTTCAGAGCTGAGCACCACAGAAACCAGAAACCCTTGCCCTCTGGGTTGGCCAGCTACATGCTTGGCAAACCTCTTGTTCAATACATTAAGAATTTCAAAGCAGTAACAGCAGAGCATTAAACAAAAGCTCTGTACTTGAACTGTGGAATTACTATCAGACGCCCTGTGCTCCATAGATTATATGTCCCTAAAGCTGGCTCTAATTGCATCCCACAGATAAGAACAGAGGAACCATTTCAGAGCAACTCAGGGGTGTGGGGAGTCAGCTCAAACTAACTAGCGAGAACTCAAACTAACTAGCTCTCACTAGTCAGCTAGTGTCAGCCAACTGTTAAATTTTCAGAAAATGTGCACTCTGGTTGATATCATGTTGTTTACTTGCAATCACCATGGTGAGACCATTTACAATAAATGGTACAAACCGGGGCCTCTCTCTCTTTTTCTTTTTTGGGGTGGCAGGGAGGGGAGGTTGGAGGGTGGAGCCGGTTGTTAAGCATTGACCAGCACACCACTGAACCTACCGGTAAGGCTTCCAAGAATGTCTTAACATCTGTTTGGGAAACTAGTTCTTCCTCTCCTTGATACGACTCGGCTTCCTTGTCTACAGGAGGTGTCACTATCTGGATAGCTGAAAATAAAATCACAGACAGAAAAATAAAAATCACCTTCTGACTAGCAGCAGGAGAATTGCTTGAACCCAGGAGGCGGAGGTTGCAGTGAGCCAAGATTGCCCCACTGCACTGCAGCCTGGGGACAGAGTAGGAGTCCGTCTCAAAAAAAAGAAAAAAAAAATACTGAAGCAAACACCAAGGCTCAAGACAACTTAGAAAGTTAGCCAGGTGGTCCTTAAATAAAGCCAGTATCCTAGCTTGGACTTTGGATCACACACACTTACAGAAAAGTCTAAAGTCTGCACACCTACTCTTTAGTCCTTTAGTCTTTCATCTTAACAGCAGAATTAGGCTCAAACTCTTAGAACTAAAGAAAGTCAATATTAAAATATCAATAATGATTGACACCCAAAAGAGATCACACACAGGTAGGTTGTAGAAAAGAAAAATCAAAACTAGAACTCTGCTGATATAAAGCTCAGTCCTGGACCAGGCGCAGTGGCTCACGCCTGTAATCCCCACACAGATCACTTGAGGTCAAGAGTTTGAGACCAGCCTGGCCAAAGTGGTGAAACCCCATCTCTACTAAAAATACAAAAATTAGCTGGGCATGGTGGCGGGCATCTGTAATCCCAGCTACTCAGGAGGCTGAGGCAGAAGAATCGCTTGAACTTGGGAGGTGGAGGTTTCAGTGAGCCAAGATCATGCCACTGCACTCCAGCCTGGGCGACAGAGCAAGACTCCAGCTCAAATAAAAATAAAAATAAAAATAACAAAGCTCAAGCCGGGCGCGGTGGCTCACACCTGTAATCCCAGCACTTTGGGAGGCCGAGGCAGGCTGATCATGAGGTCAGGTGATCGAGACCATCCTGGCTAACATGGTGAAATCCCATCTCTACTAAAAATACAAAAATTAGCTGAGCGTGGTGGCAGGCGCTTGTAGTCCCAGCTACTTGGGAGGCTGAGGCGGAAGAATGGTGTGAACCTGGGAGGCAGATCTTGCAGTGAGCCAAGATCACACTACTGCACTGCAGCCTGGGCAACAGAGCGAGACTCCATCTCAAAAAATAAAAATAAAAAAAACAAAGCTCAGTCTTCAAGACTCACTGAGGCAAATGTAATCAACTACATAGAAACTAGTGTGTCTTCTTTAGAATTTAAATATCCAGAATAATATGACCACTTGCCCTATGTTTACTTTATATGGGATATGGCATTACAGAAAAATGACAATGTGTTTAGAAAAAAACTCAGAGCTCATGTGAGGATTTCAAATATTCTTTCCATATCAACCTTCTGCTTTTTATTTCTCATTTGATAATTTGATGATAGAAAGAACTGTTTTTATTCTTCATAACTTAAATTATGCATTTATTCATCATTTTATTGTTTGAGATTTTATCAGTTTGACAACAGTATATTTTGCTCCTCAACTCATTCTGTGTTAACCAAATTCTTAGACAGACATTTCCTCTTAGCTAGTTTCATTTTCAACCAAGAAATTTGCACACTAGAGTCACTCACTGAACTAAATTAAGGGTGTGGCATAAAAGTTTCATGAATACACTCATGAGTTTTTATGTATAGCGCTTGCTTAACAGTGGAGAAATGAACTCAGAAAAACACAGATATTTAGCGTACTGACACGTGGTAAGGCAGCCAGGTTTGACTTTTGCCCTGTGCTTCTATCTGTATAAAATATCACAGCAGAACTACCTTTATCAGACAGACTTAAAACACACACACACACACACACACACACACACACACAAGAAAATAAAGTTCTTTTTTGATAGTAGTTTCTGAGAATGTGAAGTCTTTATGACTTTTCTCTCTGAGAGAGCCATAATAGCCACATGTATAGAAGGCTTACTCCATGCCAGACATGCATTTTACAGAAATTATCTCATTCAATCCTCACAAAAACCTAGGAGGTAGGTACAATTATTATGCCCACTTTACAGATAGGGAAAGTGACACATAGAAAAGCCAAAAAAGTACCACTGCACCACTAGTAAGTGGAGTCCTGGCAATCCGACTCTATAGAGTCCACTCTTACCCCATGCTATCCTGCCTTCTTTTTCATGTTATTTCATTTAAAATAATTCCCTATACTCTCACTCCCATATTAGAATCAGAAAAAGACGTTTGTCTAAAACTACTTCCCTGCACTGGAATATAAGTTGCAAGAGGGCAGGAGCTTTGCTCTGTACTTTGCTATATCCTCAACTTCTAAAACAGTGCCTGGTACAAAATATGAACTCAACCAATATGTGTTGAATGAACGAAGGGGAAGATTTCTGGCTTTCCTAGCAGAATATTATCAGAATGATGAGTAAACATCATGCACGGGCCAGGCATGGTGGCTTACACCTATAATCCCAGCATTTTGAAAGGCCGAGGTGGGTGGATCACTTGAGGTCAGGAGTTCGAGACCAGCCTGGCCAACATAGTGAAACCCTGTCGCTACTAAAAATACAAAAATTAGCCAGGCGTGGTGGCAGGCTCCTGTAATCCCAGCTACTCGGGAGGTTGAGGCAGAAGAATCACTTGAACCCGGGAGGCGGAGGTTTCAGTGAGCCAAGATCACACCACTGCACTCCAGCCTGGGTGACAGAGTGAGTGAGACTCTGCCTCAAAACAAAACAAAACAAAACAAATAATCAAAACATCATGCATGGCCAATTGGTTTAAGAATTTCCATGGTCTGGTCCAAGTTAGCAATCACAAGCTACTTACCTTTCTCTCTTTTGTATTTCTCTATGTTTCTCAAAAGTTTAGGTACAACTGTTTTGCAGAGGTCCTCCAGGCATGTCAGATTATCTTCATCTATTTTACCTTGTTTCTCTAGAAATGCCAGGAAACTTAGGGAGGTCTACAAGAGAATCAATAGAGTTACATTTACTTGCCTATTGATTATCCACTCACTCAAATGTTATCTGCATGGCCAGTAGGCACTAGGTTTTGCACTGATAAATAAGATATAACAGCATCTGCCCTCAAGTTGCTCAGGAATGTAGGGGAAGAGGCATTACCAAGCAAATCTGTATACAATCTATATTAATACCAGATACCAAATATATATATAACTCTATGCAACAGGGACAGTGCTTGCTGTATATTAACAGCACAACAACTGAATAAGTAGATATTATTATAATCCACATTTTAAAGATGAAATAATTGAGGCACAAAGAAATTCCAGTAACTTGCCGAAGGTCACAAAGCTAATTAATGGCAGAGCTGGTACAATCTGATGCCAAAGTCTATGTTATTAACCACTGAACTCTAAGTCACAGCTTTAAATGATACTGCTTAGGAAGCCAGCAAAAGAGGGACACCAAAGAAATGAGGGGAAAATGTTTCGAAAGAATTTTATATTTGATATTTTAAAAGAAAAAGAATTTTCTGAAACAAAAAATCACAATTCAGCTATTATTATTATTATTATTATTATTATTATTTTGAGATGGAGTCTCTCACTCTGTCTCCCAGGCTAGAGTGCAGTAGTGCAATCTCAGCTCAAAGCAACCTCCACCTCCATTCAAGCCATTCTCCTGCCTCAGCCTCCTGAGTAGCTGGGATTACAGGCTCATGCCACCACATCCAGCTAATTTTTGTATTTTTAACAGAGATGGGTTTCACCATGTTGGCCAGGCTGGTCTCAAACTCCTGACCTCAGGTGATCTGCTTGCCTTGGCCTCCCAAAGTGCTGGGATTACAGGCATGAGCCACCCTGCCAGGCCAGAAACTCATGTCTTGACAGCATCCTACCAGGAGGAATAAAGGGCTAAGATGTGATTCCAGAAGCAATTACGGAAATTCATTATACTTTCTAAAAGTTTATTAGATGTTTAGTACATCACACACATACACACGCACATACTTAAATGGGACCTGGACATTAGTTTAACACCACTCTGGCAAATACTAGCAGCAAACATCTGAAAGTTCTTTTTTTGCTTTTTTGTTAAAGAGTAAGTTCAGGTGTGGTTTCCTTTAGACTCAATGTTGTATGCTGATTGCTGTGCTGAGAACGGATTTCCTGACAGTTGTGAGATCTCTCAGGATATGTGTAGGCCAGCTATACTGCTTACATTTCTATGAAAGCTATCAAAGACAAAGCCCAGAATGCCCCTCAAAGGCAAGGTTATTTGTGTTTCCCCAGAGAGACTGTAAGAATTTAGAACCTTTCCGTTTTGGCTGAGGGGTGTTCAGGCCCTTTTCCAATGGTGGGTAAGTAATTTATTTCTGTGATAAGGTCTTTTGCAATTGCAGTTGCAGATAATGCAGCCTCACTGAGCCCTGGTGTGGAAACATCTGTGTTGCTTAGAGACTGTCCTTTACACACTTCCAAAGGCTGGTCTGATTGCAAAATCCAATACAGATCAACCTGGATTATCTGAGGTGTGTAACTCAGCCACAATTCTGACACAAAAAATGAGATCTCCCCACCCCGCCCCCAACAAAAAAAAGCTGAGATCATTTGGAATCCAAAGAGGAAATATGGTTTTCCTGAATTTGACCTGGTAATATCACAATTCCATGCCACAGCTAAGCACAGTTACGTTTCCTTTTACTGTTATACTGAGAAAAACAAGATCATTTGGCCACATGAACATGTGCATTTGATCATTTAAAAGCTATTTTAGTAGGGGGGAAATGTTTGGAATGCTTCTGACCATAAAAATAATTCTGGGCAGGCACAGTGGCTCATACCTGTAATCCCAACACTTTGGGAGGCTGAGGCAGGTGGATCACCTGAGGTCAGGAGTTCAAGACCAGCCTGGCCAACATGGTGAAACCCCACCTCTACTAAAAATACAAAAATTAGCTGGGTGTGGTGGTGGGCGCCTGTAATCCCAGCTACTCAGGAGGCTGAGGCAGGAGGATCACTTGAACCCAGGAGGCAGAGGTTGCAGTGAGCCGAGATGGCACCATTGCACTCCAGACTGGGCAACAAGAGTGAAACTCTGTCTAAAAATAATAATAATAATAATAATAATAATTCTGTAGCCACAGATGCCTTCAAGTAGAGTTCTAGAACCTGTGCAAGCAAAAGAGAAAAAAAAACATTTTCCAGCTTTTCTTGTTTGAAAACTAACACTCAGTGTTTCGAATATCAGAGATTGCTTTAACAAATGACCTTTCTCTCGTCCCTCACCCGCCACCTCATATTGTTCAGAGAGTCCCTAACATAGGACGGGGTATAACAATAAAAAGTGGTCTCATTTTATGTATAAACCTAGACACTGGAAAATTTGTGAGCGGATGCCCCAACTTGGGAGAGAATGTTATGAAAACCACCTGGAGCGCTTGTCAAACTACAGGAATCTCCTCTGACTTTGAGAAATTCTGTATTTAAGGTATAATGCTACCATTTGAGCAGGTAATTGCTTTGTACCACTGCAAATGTGGGCACTGAAATTTTACGGCAAAAGCAGAAGATCCTTACAATGTTTTATAAAAAAGAATTCCCTAAAACAAAATCGCCTGATTTTTAAAATTCTCCAAGAATTACTGAACCTTTAGGTCATGTGTGTGTGTGCATGTGTGTGTGTGTGTGTATACATATGTGTATATACGTAGTGTGTGCATATATATTTACTCAAAAGCAATGAGCATGCCAGCATCGAGTTTGTGGTCTTGAAATGACATCTCTCATTAAAAGAAGTCAGGATTTTTGGGAGAAATGAGAGATTCCAGGACTGGGTAGAAAATATACAAGATGAACCTGGGATATTTTTGCCAGATAGTAAAGAAGCCATCAAAGACTACTAAGGTCATGTCAAAATGACTTAGGAACCAAACTGAAGATGTATCCCCTGGGAAAAAATGGGACAATTGAACTATTTTTTTGAGACAGGGTCTCACTCTGTTACCCAGGCTGGAGTGCAATGGCACAGCCATTGCTCACTGCAGCCTTGACTTCTCTGGGCTCGAGCGATCCTCCCATGTCAGCCTCCTGAGGAGCTGGGACTACAGGTGCACGCCACCACACCCAGCTAATTTTTGTATTTTTTGTAGAGACCGGGTTTTGTCATGTTGCCCAGTCTAGTCTCAAACTCCTGAGGCTCAAGTGACCTGTCCACCTCAGACTCCCAAAGTGCTGGGATTACAGGCATGAGCCACCATGCCCAGCCTCAGTTTGAACTTCAGTAAGGATAATAATTGCAGTAGATTGAAATACCTCACATATGTTTAAATCCATGAGTTTAAATTTATATATATTTTGTAATGGGTCACCTTCAGAGAATGATAAGATACCAATTAACTTAAAAACTGGATAACTAGGCAAAGCACAGTGGTTCATGCCTGTAATCCCCAGAACTTTGGGAGGCTGAGGCAGGTAGATCACTTGAGGTCAAGAATTTGAGACCAACCTGGCCAAATGAAACCCTGTCTCTACTAAAAATACAAAAATTAGACAGGCATGGTGGTGCCTGCTTGTAATCCCAGATATTCAGGAGGCTGAGGCAGGAGAATCACCTGAACCTGGGAGGCAGAGGTTGCAGTGAGCCAAGATCACACCACTGAACTCCAGCCTGGATGACCAAGTGAGACACCGTCTCAAAAAAAAAAAAAAAATAACTGAAAGAAAAGAATCAAGGATTCACATATAAGCTGTATCACTGGGTAACCAAATAATGGATGAAGGGAAAACGAAATGATACAATTCTAATATGTGGCCGGGTATGGTGGCTCACACTTGTAATCTCAGCACTTTGGGAGGCCGAGACGGGTGGATCACCTAAAGTCAGGAGTTCCAGACCAGCCTAGCCAATATGGTGAAACCCTATCTCTACTAAAAATACAAAAAGTTAGCCAGGCGTAGTGGCAGGCTGCTGTAATCCCAGCTACTCAGGAGGCTGAGGCAGGAGAATCGCTTGAACCCAGGAGGCAGAGGTTGTAGTGAGCTGAAATTGTGCCATTGCACTTCAGCCTGGGTGACAAGAGTGAGACTCCATCTCAAAAAAAAAAAAAAATTCTAATATCTCCATTTTTGCAACCCCTCAAAATTCAATATATAAAATGGTTGAACATCAACAGTTGCTAATATCAAAGAAAAAGAGAGAGAAAATCAGGTACCTCCTGATGAAAAAACAAGACTACCTATAGTCTTGCCAAACGGATCTGACCTGAGTCTGATGAAGCCTCTGGATTCAGCTGCCAGTCTGCAGGAAATGCAGAGGACAGAGGAACATGCCAAACTGCACCACGAGTGTGCAATCAGCAAAACTCAGCCTGTGAGAAACTCCACAGGCCAACCGCCCAGAGATTCTTCAACAGATACATTTTAAGAAAAAGAAAGAGATTTGGGGGCAGGGAGGAAATCTAACCTACAGATTAAAAGGCACTTGAAAGAAAAAACTGGACAAGGCCAGGTGCGGTGACTCACACCTGTAATCCCAACACTTTGGGAGGCCAAGGCAGGCAGATCACTTGAAGTCAGGAGTTCTAGACCAGCCTGCCCAACAGGGTGAAACCCTGTCTGTACTAAAAATACAAAAATTAGCTGGGCATGGTGGTGCATGCCTGTAATCCCAGCTACTAGGGAGGCTGAGGTAGGAGAATGGCTTGAACCCAGGAGGTGGAGGTTGCAGTGAGCTGAGATCATGCCACTGCACTCCAGCCTGGGCAACAAGGCAAGACTTCGTCTCAAAAAAAAACAAAAACAAAAACAAAACACAACAGATTCCAACAGAAGTGAGCATTTACTGAATGCTATACCAAATATTGGCCTCATGCTAATGCTTCATGAACATTATTCCAGCTAATTCTCCCAACAATCCTAGAAGGAAGTCATACGATTGCCCACAATTTTACGTCTAAGAAAATAGAGACTCAGAAAAGTTCAATCATTGGCCTCACAGCATGGGTTTAGAATTAGAATCAGGACCAGAATCTAGGCTCATCCAGCACCAAAGCCAATGTTCGTAACCATTGTATGATACTGTCTCCCATAAAAAATAAATCTCCCTAAAAACCCTTTCCAGCATCTTTCTAATCATTGATTAAGACAGTGCTCACACAGACCCATTCTGTATGACCCACTCACCATTTCAGTTTTGGGAAGCGAGTCTTTCAGAAGGAAGATCATGTCCTTTAAGTTCTCTGAGTCAATGCCTTCTGACAGTTCGTAGAGCAGGTTTCTAAGACACACACCCAAAATGACAAATAAAGCCTTACACTTGTGGAGGACACCATAATCAATCAAGTGCTTTCATAAATGTTTTCTGTCATTTGAATGATCAACTCTATGTGTAGACAATTATTAATCCCATTTATAGGTTCAAAAAATGAAAACTTTCAGTTTCTAAGTGACTTGTTTAAATAAAGATAACACAGTAAGTGGTAGAAGCAGGCCTTCTGACTCCAAGTCTAATGCTGTTTTTCACCACACTAAGAAGGCATATTTAAAAAAAAAAAGGCATAAAACACAATTCTGACATGCCTTCCCATCTCCTGATTCCATCAAGAAATTCAGGCTTACTTTACAGGCCCTTGGTAGATAGGACCCCAGGCCAGCCAAGGTACAGTCGGTTGTATATTGAAAAGGGAAGAAAACTACCCCAGCTTCGAGATATAATCCACAACCAGAAACAGTGAGGATTTCATCCACATACTAACACCCCTATGTGTCAGAGACTGTCCCTCAGATGTTTAGCCAGCAGAATGGAAATATGGATTTCTGGAATTCATCATTCCTTCCACTGACTCAAGGGCAACTCAGGTTCTGGAAGCCAGTTCCACCGCTAAGGCTTAATGTGTTCTAATCGCAGAGACCATAAAACACCCTCCAAAGGCTCCTCTTCGTGAGGTTCTCTGATGTGGACACTATGTCAGTGAACAATTTTAAACACTGTCATCAGCCTGGCACAGTGGCTCACACCTATAATCCCAGCACTTTGGGAGGCCGAGGTGCGTGGATCACTTGAGGCTAGGAGTTCCAGACCAGCCTGGCCAACATGTTGGAAACCCTGTCTCTACTAAAAATACAAAAATTAGCCAGGTGTGGTGGTGGGTGCCTGTAGTCCCAGCTACTCAGGAGGCTGAGGCAGGAGAATCGCTCGAACCCAGGAAGCGGAGGTTGCAGTGAGCTGAGATGGTGCCACTTCACTCCAGCCTGAGTGACAGAGCGAGACTCTGTCTCAAAATAAAAATAAAACGCTGTCATCCATGATAAGACCAATGCCTAAATTTTACCTCTTTGGGCAAAATGCCTGTTTTTACCTTTCTGGATTCCCACCCAAAAATATAGAAATTTCTATAACTAGACATGGCATAAATGACATCCCTCCCTACCCCAGAAACACATCTCTTTTTTCATCTTGCTTATTTCACTCCAAGTATGCATTACTCTCTTCTCAAGACCCCGGGAAACAGGTAGACAGACTAGTGGATCCCAGGAGGGAGAAGATCTGCACGTGTAGCCGCTGGTAAGCAGGGAAAACACGGGCTCTGCCACACTGAGGTGGGCTTCACTGCTAGTGAGAAGCAAAACAAAGGGAAGCCACCTCTGGGCCCAGGGCTTGGTCTTGAAGCTTTGCTGACCTCCCAACTCTTATCTCATTAGCATCAGAGGCTGAGAAGGAGGTTTAGAATCTCCTGGTTTATCATCCAAGGAGGTAGATAACCAAAAGATCTTAACTGCAGCTTCCTTTCAAAGCCCAATGGCCAGAATGAACACTAGATGGGAGATCCTCCCATCTCCACCACAGACCCGTCCTCACCTAAACAGAGAAACCCTTTGTCGGGTGGGCAGCAGTCGCTCCACTTCCTCTTTGGTACAGTTGAGGTGCTGCAGCAGCTTCTTCTGCCGTATGATATAGAGGAGTTCTGCCAGGAAGAAAGGGTCTTCCTCACTCAGCAGATCCTCTGCCAAGAGATGTTCAAAAACATCTGAGGCTGAGCTGGACTTCTCCAGCTTCTTGTTGGGGACCAATCCTATGCAGAGAAACTTGAGGTTCTCCACATCTTGGACCCCCAGGTTTGAATCAATAATCAGAAGCTTCTCACGAAAGCTCACTTTACAGTTTTTATCTGAACTGGAATACCAATGTTGACCTTGAGATTTCATGGCCAGCCTGAAAGGGACAGAGAGGTGGGGCAGGGAGTTAGAGAGTGAGGACATATGGCCCCCTGACTTCCCAGGCCCTCCCCTCACCACAACCTTCTCCGTTCTGGGCATTAGACTTTCCTAGAAGTGCTGAAAAATAAAAATTACGGCGAGGCTACTTCAAAAAGCAACAGCCCAGAAAACTTTTCCCCAACACTTGCAAGTTACTTTTTAGGAAACTTGGAGGGTGCTTATATTGGAATTCAATTCACCTTGATTTCTCCCAAATCAAAATGTTCCCAGAGAGAGAAAGTTAAGATGGAGGGACACAGCACAATTTTTCTCAAGCCTGGTAGCCTGATTGGAGCCCTTACATTCATTTCCAGCACGTGGCAGAAATAGCACTTGGCTCTATGCTTTAAGTTTTAGACACAAAGCAATCTGGGGGAGGCAGGGTTATCCTTATGATCTATCAACCCAAAGACAGCAAGGTACCGTGAGGTATGTGTGTTACATCTTAACTTCAGACTGCTACCTGTAAGAGGGCAGGCCTTTATCTTACAGAAAGGGAAGGCATAATCCTAGACCTCAAGCCTGAGCAACATGGCGAGACCTGGTCTCTACTAAAAATACAAAAAATTATCAGGGCATGGTGGCACATGCCTGTGGTCCCAACTACTCAGGAGGCCGAGGATGGAAGGATCATTTGAGCCTGGGGAGCACAGGTTGCAGTGAGCCATGATCATGCCACTGCACTTCACCCTGGGTGACAGAGTGAGACCCTGTTTCAAAAAGAAAAATAAATAAATAAAATATCCTAGACCTCAGGAGGAAAGGGTGGTTTTAGACAAGAGTTGCTCAAATCAGTGTAGGAAGTTAAAAATTACATGAGTCGGCTGCTCTGTCTATGGAGTAGCCATTCTTTTGTTTCTTTACTTCTCTAATAAACTTGTTTTCACTAAAAAAAAACAAATTACATGAGTCAATGTTTCCATCTGATCAGTTTATAAACTATGCTATTCTCTATACTAAATTTCATCATAATCAGAGGAGCAATGCAGTGATAAAATTTTCATTGTAATACTATTTATTCTATAAGCACTTGAGGTATGTAGTCAATATGCAGAACTTGGCTATTTTTAGAAACAAGAAAATACTTTATAAAGGAAGGAACAGGTGGGGTGTCATGGCTTACGCCTATAATCCCAGCACTTTGGGAGGCCAAGGCGGGTGGATCACTTGAGGCCAGGAGTTCAAGACCAGACTGGGCAACGTGGTAAAACCCCATCTCTACAAAAAATACAAAAATTAGCCAGGCATGGTGGTGCACGCCTGTGGTCCCAACTACTCAGAGGGCTGAAGCAGAAGGATCATTTGAGCCCCGGGGATGGAGGTTCCAGTGAGCCATGATTGTGCCACTGCACTCCACCCTGGGTGACAGAGCAAGACCCTGCCTCAAAAACAAAACAAAACAACAACAAAAAAACCTCCTAGACCTCAGAAGGAAAGGGTGATTTTAGACAAGAGTTGCTCAAATCAGCGAAGGAAGATAAAAATTACATGAGTCAATGTTTCCATCTGACTAGTCTATAAACTATGGTATTCTACATACTAAATTTCATTATAATCAGAGAAGCACTTCAGGAGACTGAGGCAGGTGGATCACTGTGAGGCCAGGAATTCGGGACAAGCCTGGGCAACACGGTGAAACCCCGTCTCTACAAAAAATACAAAAATTAGCTGGGCTTGGTGGTGTATGCCTGTGGTCCCAGCTTCATAGGAAGCTGAGATGGGAGGATTGCTTGAACCTGGGAGGCGGAAGTTGCAGTAAGCCAAGATTGTGCCACTGCACTCCAGCTTGAGTGCTGGAGGGTGAAAGAGGGAGACTCCGTCTCAAATAAATAAATAGATAAATAAATAAATAAATAAATAAATAAATAAAGGAAGGAAGACACAGCAAAAATCAAAACCTCCATAACAAACAGTGGTTATATCGAGGTGACATAACTATAGATAATACAAATTTCCTTCTGGGCTTCCAATTGAATTTCTCAAATTTTATGCATATGTGAGCATACACATTACTTTTGGTGTTAAAAGAAACAAAAAAATGTCATTTTTAATGTGATAATCCAGGGGATCTTCCCTGCTACTAGCCCTGAGGTCAAATGAGTGGTTTATTGGAGACACCTTTCTATTCTACCGCATCTAGCATTTGCCTTGTGGTTTCTTGACAATTCTGATCTCTAGTTTTAGTGAGTCTACCAAACTTTGTCTCTGTGAGCTAACATATTTCTGCCCCGGTAAAAGGCTATGTTGGAGGCTTCCGGATTTTTTAACTTTTGTTTTCCCAGGCATGACAAAGAAATCTAAGAAAAAATAGTGCCATTGCTGACAAGTTTTTGCAAGTTTCTACAACACGAAGCCATGAAGCAAAGGAAAAGATTCAAGCATGAGACTCTGGAGTAAGAAGGGTTGTTAATTACATACCTTCAGATCAAGCTCCACCAATCTTCTGGAAGTAAACGGTTCTCAGGGAAATTGCCTGAAAACAAAGTTTTAAAGAAAGTAGAATCCTCTGTGTGCTCCAAGGTCCAAAGAAGCTCCCATTTGCTTGGGAAGAGACTTCAAGACTTGCTGGTTGTTTAAGTGAAAACTGAATCTTCAGGACTGGGTAGCCTGATACTAGTTTCCTGCTGATGTCATCACTGCTTATCTGCCTTTTTCCCTCCCCTTTTCCAGGGTTAAGATAACTTTGACAAACAGCGTCTCCTAAAGGCTAATTTACAACTTTCTCACTGTAGAGCTTGGGGTTTCCCCAGGTAAAGCAAAAGCTTCCTAGAAACGAACCCGTGGAAGCCACAAAGTGCTTCAGGCTTTCCTTTGGATCTCCATTTCCTTGGTAAGTCAAAAAGGGAAGCATCTGTTTTCCTAACCAACTCCTTCCCCAAACACACTTCACTTTTCAAATAAAGCCAAAAAGCTCATGAAATAGTTGTCGGCCATGTTAACCCTTTCTTATGTCCACATGCAAATAAACAATGGAGCGATCTCCACTTACCGCAACCTCTGCCTCCTGTGTTCAAGTGATTCTCCTGCCTCAACCTCCCGAGTAGCTGGGATTACAAGCATGCGCCACCACGCCCGGCTAATTTTTTGTATTTTTAGTAGAGACGAGGTTTCACCATGTTGGCCAGGCTGGTCTCGAACTCCTGAGCTTGTGATCCACCCTCCTTGGCCTCCCAAAGTGCTGGGATTACAGGCATGGAGCCACCGTGCCCGGCCCACAAATAAAATTTTTAAAAGATAAAAGAAAAGTGGGGATTCACTTTCAGTCTTTGTGGGAGAAATTAAGAAATAAAAAGAAAAAGAAAGGAAAAAAAAAAGAAAAGTGGGGATGGTGAATTACAAGCCCATTTGGAGGTACCTGCAAGAGACTCAACAAATTTGTGGTAGGCAAAACTGACAGTATGTGTTCTCACAGCACATTCAAACCAGCAGGAAAGTGAGACTTTGAAGACATTATTTCTAATCATAAAAACAATACTGCACACTAATATTGCAACTACCATGTGCCAGGGCATTTACAAATATTTACTCATTTCACCATCCCAACAACACTGTAAGATAAATACTATTACTATGACTGCTGCTTTAACATGTGAAAACTAAGGCACAGAAAGGTTAATTAATTTGCCCAAGGTCACACAGTGAGCGGCTGGAAGAGCCAAGATTTAAACCAGCAAGTTTGGATCAAAGTCACTACACTATAATTAAGCTAACTCAAATGTGCAGCACTCTGGAAAGAGGTACAGAGTCTTAGAAAGATGTTTTATCTATGGGGAAAAAAAGCAAGATTTATGATGCTTTGATTAGCAAATGTATTAAAATGTCCTTTCCATGTCCTAGGCATCATTCAGAGAACTTCTGTGCTTAAGAAAGACAAGTCCTGGGGCCAGGTGCAGTGGCTCCCGCCTGTAATCCCAGCACTTTGGGAGGCTGAGGCAGGCGGATCACGAGACCAGCTTGGCCAAGATGGTGAAACGCTGTCTCTACTACAAATACAAAAAATTAGCTGGGCGTGGTGGCACACACCTGTAATCCTAGCTGCTCGGGAGGTTGAGGCAGGATAATCGCTTGAAGGCAGGAGGTGGAGGTTGCGGTGAGCGGATATCACGCCATCACACTCCAGCCTGGGCTACAGAGCAAGACTCCTTCTCAAAAAAAAAAAGAAAAGAAAAAGACAAGTCCTGGCCAGGCACAGTGGCTCACACCTGTAATCCCAGCACTTTGGGAGGCTGAGGTGGGCAGATTGCTTGAGGTCAGGAGTTCAAGACCAGCCTGGCCATCATGGTGAAACCACATCTCAACTAAAAACATAAAATTCGCCAGGCTTGGTGGCACATGCCTGTAATCCCAGCTACTAGGAGGCTGAGGCTGGAGAATCGCTTGAACCCGGGAGGCAGAGGTTGCAGTGAGCCAAAATCGTGCCATTGCACTCCAGCCTGGGCGACAGAGAAAGACTCTCTCAAAAAAAAAAAAAAAAAAAACCTTCTTGGGAAAGGGGGGCCGGAGCACAGCAGGCTGGGTTACTCACTACCCCAGTTCCAGGGAAGGTGGGGCCCTGACCCTAGAATGCTGCAGCAGAGTGAGGAGGGGGCCCCAACTGACCATAAAGAGTGTAGGGACCACCTTCTTTGCCTGTTCTGTTGGGACCAGGCTAGTCATTATTTGTCCCAGCCTGGGGCTCCCCCTGTGGTTTCCAATTTGCAGTTACTTTAACTTAAAATATAAATATTATTTTCTGGAAAATAACTTAAAAAGGAAGAAAGACAAGCCGTAAGTCTTGGTCTTCTATTTAGTTGTTTTATTATAAATATTAAATTTATTGGGCCATTTAGGGAGGCAACTTATTGAAACTATCACTTTCTCTCACTCTGTTCATAAAGTATATTAACTCTTTCAACTTTGATTCAATAATATTAAATATTTAGCAGGCAATTCAAAGCCCTGAATTGGGCACAATTGGAAAGCAAAGTGACCTGCTTTCCATAGTAACTATGGCGACCGGTACTACCATTTCTAAACTTCTCTGATGAACTCATAACAACTCCCAGCCTTAGCTGGCATTATTATCCACATTCAATAGATGAGGAAACCCAGATTCAGAGAGGCAAGGAATCTTGCCACCATCCCAAAGCTATGAGCAAGAATTCAGGGCTCAAACGTGGGTCTCTCTGACTCCGAACCCCTTGCTCTTGATCCCCGGGCTACCATTGCCCGAATCTCAGTATGACATCGTGTAGCATCTGTAACTGCGGGCAGGGGGTGGTGATGCCACAGTGAGGCTTCACTTTGGTGCCACAGGGGCTTTAAGAAGGGACAATCAGTCAGACATTCCTTGGAGGAGGAAGTATTTGATCTAGGTCTGGAAGGTAAAGGTAGAATAAAGACCCAGGAAGTAAAACTGTAACTTTTATCCTACTGCTCCAGGGAAACATTTGAATCAGGTTACAGAGGGGAGATGGCGTGCAGTGCAGATATTTGTACTCAGCATTTTCTACTTCCTCCTACACACAGTTACTGAGGGCATGTTGATGGTGGTAGAATAAACACGTCTTACAATCTCTTTCCTGATTGGTTGCAGTCTACTGAGTGCACGTGAAGGGCCAATCAAAACCTTCATGGCCTTTTGTAGAGGTGGATGTCAACTACTGCTTTAGTTCCACATTAGTAGGGGGTAGTGGTAGCAGTGGTTGGCTTTCCTTGACATACAATCTGTGGTCCAAGTTCCCCACCCTCTGTCTGGGTAGACTAAAGGGTAATGACTCCTGGCTGGGCACGGTGGCTCACACCTGTCATCTCAGCACTTTGTGAGGCCGAGGTGGGTGAATCACCTGAGGTCGGGAGTTTGAGACCAGCCTGACCAACATGGAGAAACCCCATCTCTACTAAAAATACAAAATTAGCCGGGCATGGTGGCACATGCCTGTAATCCCAGATACTCAGGAGGCTGAGGCAGGAGAATCACTTGAACCCGAGAGGCAGAGGTTGCAGTGAGCCGAGATCATGCCATTGCACTGCAGCCTGCATAACAAGAGC
The DNA here is from genome assembly GCF_000001405.40 of Homo sapiens. Lineage (NCBI taxonomy): Eukaryota > Metazoa > Chordata > Mammalia > Primates > Hominidae > Homo > Homo sapiens. The sequence continues at coordinate 201,179,696 of NC_000002.12, read as the reverse complement.
GAAACTCCATCCAAAAAAAAAGAGTAATGACTCCTAAAGGATTGGCATAAGCCATGGGGGAGGAGGAAGGGATATACTGGCTAGAGAAGAGCTCAGAGCACTGAAACCTCCACCCCAACCTATGAGGGTCCTCAGAAGGTCTTGAAGTAGCAAGTCTTCTAGATTTGACACCCCCAACCTCCAAGACCTCCTTACCCCCACTTTGCTCCATACCTTTGTTACGGGATCTTTGGGGTATCAATTTTCTGGCTGGAAACCTCTCTGACTGCAGCACCTTTGCCCGAGTTCTGGCCTGCGTCCAGGAAGAATGAGGTACACAGACAAGTGAAGGGTGAACAAGATGAAGAAGAGCTTTATTTAGTGCTAGAACAGCTCAGAGGAGGCCCACAGTGGGTAGCTCCTCTCTGTAGGCAGGTCATCTGTCCAGTGCTCAGTTCTCAGTGGAGAGGAGGCCCTGGAAAGGGTGGCTTCTCTCTGCTGGCAGGTTGTCTCTGCAGCTCTCAGTGGAGAAGGTAGCTCTTCTCTGCAGCCAGCCATCCCATTGTCTCCAGCTATCAGCAGAGAGTACTCCTCTCTGCAGCTGGTCATCCCACCACCTCTCTGCCCTCTTTGTCCTCTGGCCATCCTCTGCCCTGCTCTGGCTGAGCCCAGGGCTTTTATGGACCTCAGAGAGGAGGAAGTGGCTGCCAATTTGTCCACGGGCACCCAGAAGAGGCACCATGAGTCCCTACTACAATCCACAGGACTGGCAGCCCCACCCCCAGCCTTCAGCCCTCCCTGGCCTGAAGGAGGACCTTACTGGGGACCTGCCCCCTTCTGCCTCCCATTGCCATTCAAGGCCCCAGGACTTGGCCCCAACCCCACTTCAAGATTGGAGAAGGTGCCAGGAGTGAAGAGAGGCCAGGCAGCGGGAGCAGACACCCCCAAGCCTGCGGGATGGGGTGGGAGGGGGTCCTTCCTGGGGCCCCCAGGGTGCAGGCTGCAGAGATGCCCAGGTCCTGCACCTAGGAGGGTGGCTGCAGCCACACCCTGGTGTTGGGAACAGTCCCCCAAATCTGGCCATAAACTGACCCGAAAACTGGCCATAAACAAAATCTCTGCAGCACTGTGACATGTTCTTGATGGCCATGATGGCCACGCTGAAGGCTGTTGTTTTACCGGAATGAGGGCAAGGAACACCTGGCCCACCCAGGGCGGAAAACTGCAAAAAGGCATTCCTAAACCACAAACAATAGCATGAGTGATATGTGCCTTAAGGATATGTTCCTGCTGCAGATAACTAGCCAGAACCCATCCCTTTGTTTCGGCCCATCCCTTTGTTTCCCATAAGGGATACTTTTAATTAATCTATAATCTATAGAAACAATGCTTATCACTGGCTTGATGTCAATAAATATGTGGGTAACTCTCTGTTCGGAGCTGTCAGCTCTAAAGGCTGTCAGCCCCCTGATTTCCCACTCCACACTCTATATTTCTGTATGTGTGTCTAATTCCTCTAGCACCACTGGGTTAGGGTGTCCGTGACCAAGCTGGTCTCTGCACCCAGGAAGGCAGATCCTGCCTGCTCCCAGCCCTCCTCCAAGAGCACAGGGGGGCTCAGATCCACAGCCGCAGTCTGGGTGGCTGGGTTTGGGCAGCTGCAGCAGCACCCGAGGAGCTCCCGCTCCAACTCAGAAGGTGGGGGGCACCCACCAGCTCCGTGGAGTGTGCACCCAGAGCCATGCCTCCCTGCTGCAGCCAGCATGATGGCAGCAGCCACTGCCATCGCCTTTATCCACACATTCCAGACCTTCCCAGACCTGTCATATGTGGTATATGGCATGAAACTAAGGTCTGAAGGAGTAGACTTTTTCTGTTAAAGACCCCATCAGAGATTTCCAGATAGTCAACAGGAAAGAGACGATAGCTAGACAAGTAAAATGCAACCAGGCCCGGGCAGTGTGGTGCTGTCTCCTATAGTACCAGCTATTGAGGAGGCTGAGGTAGGAAGATCACTTGAGCCTAGGAGTTGGAGACCAGCCTGGGCAACATAGAAAGATCCCATCTCCAAAGAAAAAAAGTGACCCATTTTGTGTTTGCTATGCCACATAATAGAAGAACAGAGCAGCTAGGAAATTCTGGGGTGGCAAAACCTCAAAGTTCCGCAAGATGGCAGTAGTTCCTAAAAGTTAAATTAGCAATAGTTTGTCTAGGGAACTAGGTGGACGTGGTTAAATTGAGTAATGTAGGCTGGGTGTGGTGGCTCATGCCTGTAATCCCAGCACTTTGGGAGGCTGATGCAGGCGGATCACCTGAGGTTAGGAGTTTGAGACCAGCCTGGCCAAATGATGAAACCCTGTCTCTACTGAAAATACAAAAAAATTAGCCGGGCATGGTGGTGGGCGCCTGTAATCCAGGAGGCTGAGGTAGGAGAATCTCTTGAACCTGGGAGGCGGAGGTTGCAGTGGGCCGAGATCATGCCATTGCACTCCAGCCTGGGCAACAAGAGTGAAACTCTGTCTCAAAAAAAAAAAAAAAAAGAAAAAGAAAAATTGAGTAATGTGTACAATATATATTTATATATATTTATAAATATATTTAAATTTAAAATATATTATATAAATATATTATAAAAATAATTTTATATAACAGATTGTATAGTATATAAATTTAAAATACATATTTTATATATCAATAAATTTAAAATGTTGTATATAAGAAACCACTATATATGTTTATATGGATTTTCTTGAGACAGGGTCTTGCTCTGTCACACAGGCTGGAGTGCAGTGGCAAGATCATAGTTCACTGCAGCCTCAACCTCCAGGGCTCAAGTGATCCTCCCACCTCAACCTCCAGAGTAGCCGGAACTAAAGGCATGTCCCACCATGCCCAGCAAATTTTTAAAAATGTTTTTGTAGAAACTGGCTCTCACTTCATTGCCCAGCCTGATCTCGAGCTCCTGGGCTCAAGCAATCCTCCCACGTCAACCTCCCAAAGTGCTGGGATTACAGGCATGAGCCACGGCACTTGGTCTGAGTAAAACAGTTTTAATGCTGCTCAAAAAAGGTAAGATAAACGCAGAAAGGCCTTTCACTTCAAGGTTAGTTTGTTGTTTCTAGGGCAAAAAACAGTGAGAAACTGCTAGTATTTGACATAATTTTTCAGAAGGAAGCATATGACTTAGCCACATCTATAAAAATTCACAATGAGGCAAGTGACAAGAAATGTCACCATATCAAAGTATACAAAGAAGGGGTTTGTTACAATGGGTACATTCAGGTCTGAGCAAGGCAGGAGAGGGCTCCCCCGACACACACCAAGAGTGTTGGGCAACCATCAGGTGATGGTCAGGCGGTTGTTAAATGTTTCTGTAAAGTAATAATTGGTCACAGGTGGTGCCAGGGACAGGCAGCTCCCCCGCCCGCCCCCCCCCCCCGCAATAGAAAACACCTGAGACTGATCATCAGCTTCTCAAAAAGATCTCAGGAGTGGGGAAAAGTAACACAAGATCCCGGAAGTATGCCAGCATATAAAACCCCAAGTCAAGAGGGCAAGCCCTGCACCTGGTTTCTCAGGTCACCTGCTTGGCCCTCTTCCAAGTTATACTTTCCTTCTTTTCTTTCCTTTCCTTACTGTTCTAAAGCTTAATAAACTTTCTTGGCTCACTGCAACCTCCGCCTCCCAGGTTCAACTGATTCGCCTGCCTCAGCCTCCCGAGTAGCTGGGATTAGAGGCATGGACCACCATGCCCAGCTGATTTTTCTATTTTTAGTAGAGACGAGGTTTCATCATCATGATGGCCAGGCTGGTCTCGAACTACTGACCTCAAGTAATCCACCTGCCTCAGCCTCCCAAAATGCTGGGATTACAGGCATGAGCCACTGTGCCCAGCCTAAAGCGTAATAAACTTTCACTGTTGCTCTGAAACTTGCCTCGGTCCCTCCTTCTGCCTTATGCCCCTCAGTCAAATTCTTTCTTCTGAGGAGGAAAGAATTGAGGTTGCTGCAGATTTACCACCAGTAACTTGGATACCGTCCACCAGTAACAACTTCCGTTAAGATGGCAATACACCTCAAATTTATTTTTATTTTGAGACAGGGTCTCACTCTGTTCCCCAGGCTGGAGTACAGTGGCACAATCTCAGCTCACTGAAACCTCCACCTCCCGGGCTCAAGTGATCCTCCCACCTCAGCCTTCCGAGTAGCTGGTACTACAGGCGCATGCTACCATACCCAGCTAATTTTTGTATTTTTAGTAGAGACAGGGTTTTGCCGTGTTGCCCAAGGTGGCCTCAAATTCCTTGGCTCAAGCGATCCACCATCCTCAGCCTCCCAAAGTCCTGGGATTACAGGCATGAGCCACTGCGCCCAGCCAAACTTATCTTTGTATGTTTGTTATAGGCAAAAGTACCCCAAGGTTAAGGCTCAGCCCAAGAGGTCAAGTGGGTTCAGGAAAGAATTCAAGAGCATGCTGACAGAATAAAGTGAAAGCAAGTTCATTAAGAAAGTAAAGGAATAAAAGAATGGCTACCCCATAGGAAGAGTAGCCCTGATGGGCTGCTGACTGGCTATATTTATGGTTGCTTCTTGACTATACGCTAAACAAGAGGTGGCTTATTCATGAGTTTTCCAGGAAAGAAGTGGGGAGGTCTGGACCTTTTAGACCATACAGGGTAACTTCTGAAAGTTGCTATGGCAGTTGTAAACTATCATGGTGCTGTAGAAGTTTCTTTTAGCGTGCTAATGTATTATAATTACCATAGAATGGGCAGCAAAGGTAACCAGAGGTCTCTTCTGTCACCATCATGGTTTTGGCTGGTTTGGGTTGGCCTTTCTACCACATCCTGTCTTATCAGCAGGGTCTTACAGGGTCTTGTGGTCTTGGGAAACCAGTCCTGCCAAACTCCTCTCATTCAGTGTAATCACTATCAAAATTCCAGAGGCCCTTTTTACATAAATTTGCAAGTGAATCCTAACAGTTATATGAAAATTTAGGGAAAGGTAAACCCAATACAGCCCTAACAATTTTGAAAAAGAACAGGCCAGTTGCAGTGGCTCACCCCTCAGCACTTTGGGAGGTGGAGGTGGGAGGATTGTTTGAGGCCAGGAGTTTGAGACCAGCCTGGGCAACATAGCAAGGCCTCATCTCTACAAAAGAAAAAAGAAGAACAACAACAACAACAAAGTTAGAGGACTACATTTCTGGATTCCAAAACTTACTACGAAGTTACAATAATCAAGACAGTGTGGTACTACCATAAGATAGAGCAACAGAATTGAGTCCAGAAATAAACCCTTATAGTTAGTTGATTTGTGATAAGTATAAAATAATTCTATAGGGAAAAAATAGTATTTTCAATAAGTAATGCTAAGACAAGTGAACATTTATGTGCAAAAGAATGAGGCTGGATGCTTATCTCGCACTGCATACACAAAAATAACTCAAAATGGGTCAAAGAGCTAAAATCATAAAACTTTAGAAGAAAACATAGGGGTAACACCTCATAGGCAATTGATTTAGACAATGGTTTTTTAGGTATGACACCAAAAGCATAAGCAATAACATAAAAAACAGAAATCAAGTGAACTTCATCAAAATTTAAAACTTGTACTGTATAGTATCCAGAAAGTGAGAAGACAATCCATGGAATGGGAGAATATATTCACAAAGATTGTACCTGATAAGAAACTAGTATCCAGAATATTAAAAAGAATGCTTACAACTCAACAATAAAAAGACAACCCACCGGGTGTGGTGGCTCACGCCTGTAATCCTAGCATTTTGGGAGGCCGAGGCAGGCAGATCACCTGAGTTCAGGAGTTCAAGACCAGCCTGGCCAACATGGCGAAACCCTGTCTCTACTAAAAATACAAAAATTAGCCAGGCGTGATGGTGGGTGCCTGTAATCCCAGTTACTAGGGAGGCCGAGGCAGGAGAGTCGCTTGAACTCAGGAGGTGGAGGTTGCAGTGAGCCGAGATTGCACCACTGCACTCCAACCTGGGCGACAGAGTGAGATTCCATCTCAGAAAAATAAAATAAAATAACGCAGTTTTAAAATGAGAAAGGACTTGAGGCCAGGCACAGTAGCTAATGTCTGTAATGCCAGCACTTTGGGAAGCCAAGGCAGTCAGATCACCTGAGGCCAGGAGTTCGAGACCAGCCTGGCCAACATGGTGAAACCCTGTCTTTACTAAAAATACAAAAATTGGCTGGGCGCGGTGGCTCACGCCTGTAATCCCAGCACTTTGGGAGGCCAAGGCAGGCGGATCACGAGGTCAGGAGATAGAGACCATCCTGGCTAACACGGTGAAACCCTGTCTCTACTAAAAATACAAAAAATTAGCCGGGCGTGGTGGAGGGCGGCTGTAGTCCCAGATACTTGGGAGGCTGAGGCAGGAGAATGGCATGAACCCAGGAGGCGGAGCTTGCAGTGAGCTGAGATTGCACCACTGCACTCCAGCCTGGGCCACAGAGCGAGACTCCGTCTCAAAAAACAATACAAAAATTAGTTGGGCATGGTGGCGAGCTCCTGTAAACCCAGCTACTCCCAACTACTAGGGAGGCTGAGGCAGGAGAATGGCTTGAACCCAGAAGGCAGAGGTTACAGTGAATCAAGATAACGCCACTGCACTCCACCCTGGGCGACAGAGTGAGACTCCGTCTCAAAAACAAAAAAATAAAAAAAACCTCATACACTGCTGGTGGGAATATAAAATGATGCTACTACTTTGAAAAGCAGTTTGGCAGTTCCTCAAAAGGCTAAACATAGAGTTACTATATGATGAGCACTCTCACTTCTAAGGTATATGCCCAGAAGAACTGAAAACATATATCCATATAAAAATTCATATACGAATATTCATAGCAGCATCATCCATAATAGCAAAAAAGTGGAAACAGTCTAAATTTCGATCAACTGATGAATAAACTAAATGCGGTATATCCACACAATAGGGTATTATTCAGCCATAAAATGTAATGAAGCACTGGTACACTCTATAGCATAGATGAACCTTGAAACATGCTAAGTGAAGGAAGTCAGACACGAAAGGCCACATGTTTATTTTTATAAAATATCTAGAACAGGCAAATCATAGAGACAGAAAATGGATTATTGTTTCTAGAGGCTGGGGGAAGAGGAGGATTAGAGTGGCAGCTCACTGGTATGGAGTTTCTAGGTAGATGGAAATGTTCTGGAATTAGATAGTGGTGATGATTGCACAACTCTGTAAATATACTAAAATCCACTGCATCATTTACTTTAAAGGGGCAAATTTTATGGCTTGTGAATTACATTTCAATAAAAAGAAGATGAGGAAACCTAGGATATGTCACAATCCCATGCCACAAACTACTTACACTTCCAATATAAAAACTATATCAACAATAGTTTACATCACGTTCATTGCTTGCTAAAGTAAGGTCATGAATGTATCAAAATATTTTATAAAAGTTAAAATTTAGGAGATCCATCATTTCTCTTTTCAATCCATCACTGATTCATTCAATATATATTTATGTGTATGCCAGGCTCTTCATCAGGTAAAGTGTTTAGGAGAGATATAAAGATAAAACTGATGAGAATTCTGCACTTGAGCTACAGCATACTTTCCAAGAATTACAGCATGAGATATAAAATGAAAAGAAGGCTTGGAGGAGATTCACACGAAATAGTACTGTTCAGGAGAGGGGGCGATAATTCCAATGGAAGAGATAACTGACTTCATGGAGGATAGAAGGAGATGGTATTTGAACTGCCCTTGAAGTATGGTTATATTTTGGGGATGTGGAGATGTGGGGTAGGGTGATATGCTGGGGTTCCAGATGGTCCAGAAATATACAATCACCAGAACCAAAGATCCAGAGGTAGGAGATATGAGCTGTTCAATTTGGCTGAGCTAACAGTGTTTGGAGTGGGATCTTGAAGAAGCTGAAAATGAAGATACCAACTAGACAGTCAGAGAAAGACTTCCAATGTTTGACTGAACTGCAATTTTATTGTGTATGCATTGAAGAATCTTTTTTTTTTTTTTTGTATTCTCTAAAGATTTTTAAAATATTTTAAGTTCTGGATACAAGTGCAGGATGTGCGGGTTTGTTACATAGGTAAACGTGTCCCATGGTGGTTTGCTGCACCTATCAACCTATCACCTAGGTATTAAGCCCCACATGCATTAGCTAGTTATCCTGATGCTCTCCCCGCTACGGCCCCTGCATCAGGCCCCAGTGTGTGTTGATCTCATCCCTGTGTCCGTGTGTTCTCATTGTTCAGCTTCCGCTTACAAGTGAGAACATGTGGTGTTTGGTTTCCTGCTCCTCTGTTAGTTTGCTGAGGATAATGGCTTCCAGCTTCATCCATGTCCCTGCAAAGGACATGATCTCATTCCTTTTTTAAAAAAAAAAACAAAATTATTTCCATAGGTGTTTGGGGAACAGGTGGTATCTGGTTACATGCGTAAGTAATTAAGTGGTTACTTGTGAGATTCTGGTGCACCCATCACCTGAGCAGTATACACTGAACCCAATTTGTATTCTTTTATCCTTCACCCCCCTCCCACCCTTTCCCCTAAGTCCCCAAAGTCCATTGTATCCTTCTTATGCCTTTGCATCCTCATAGCTTATCTCCCACTTATGAGTGAGAACATACAATGTTTGGTTTTCCATTCCTCAGTTACTTCCTTTAGAGTAATAGTCTCCAGGTTGCTGTGAATGTCATTAATTCATTCCTTTTTATGGCTGAGTAGTGTTTAGGTGAGGTTATTTGTAAGTAATTAATATTGAGTAAATAAGATTCATCCATAGTGGCAAAGCCACATAACTTCTAAGTATCTTAAACTATATCTAAATGGTACCAAAACATGCAGTCAATTCTAAAAGCTCAGCTAATGATATTTCATAATATAGGAAAATATTCACAACATATTTTTGTGTAAAAAAAAGCAGACTTCAAAATGGAATATGCATTATGATTCCAATCATGTAAAAGCTATACATGAACACATACAAAGATTAACAGATATAAACAAATGGAAGAATGAATGGAGAGATAGATGATAGACAGATTGAGTGGTGGTGGAGAATAACAGATTTAAAAAGAAATTGTGCCTTTCTATATTTTCAAAACCATTTAAATAAGTATTACCTTTGGAGTTAGAAAATGATATGTATTTTAAATCCATAATTCAACTACTTATCTATATGATGTCAAACTGGATTAGGCTGAATTATCAGCAAGTGAATAAAACAGTTCCTTCATCCATGGAGAAACATCCATTTATGACATTCTTGGAATTCCTCTTGTTAGAATTCTTTATGAATTTAAAATAGAAACATGGCCAGACTCAAGATTTCAATACAAACATTACTTTTTCACGTTCAGTAATAACCAATTAAAAGAATTAATGAAAAATCTGATTCACTGTATCACCAAAAGCTGTAATGGCTGCACTGCACAGTATTCCATGGTGTATATGTACCACATTTTCTTTATCCAGTCTATCTTTGATGGGCATTTGCTATTGTGTCTTTGCTATTGTGAAGAGTGCTGCAATGAACAAAAATGTGCATGTATCTTTATAATAAAATGGTTTATATTCCTTTGGGTATATACCCAGTAATGGGATTGCTGGGACAAATAGTATTTCTAGTTCTAGATCTTTGAGGAATAGCCACACACACTTCCACAACGGTTGAACTAATTTACATTCCCACCAACAATGTAAAAGTGTTCCTACTTCTCCACAGCCTCGCCAGCATCTGTTGTTTTTTGACTTTTTAATAATCACCATTCTGACCGGCATGAGATGGTATCTCATTGTGGTTCTCCTTTGCATTTCTCTAATGATCAGTAAGGTTGAGCTTTTTTTTATATGTTTGTTGGCCACATAAATGTCTTCTTTTGAGAAGTGTCTGTTCATGTCCTTTGTCCACTTTTTGATGGGGTTGTTTTTTTCCTTGTAAATTTGTTTTAAGTTCCTTGTAGGTTCTGGATATTAGACCTTTGTCAGATGGATAGATTGCAAAAATGTTCTCCCATTCTGTAGGTTGCCTGTTCACTCTAATGATAGTTTCTTTTGCTGTGCAGGAGCTCTTTAGTTTAATTAGATCCCATTTGTAATTTTTGCTTTTGTTGCAATTGCTTTTGATGTTTTTGTCATGAAACCTTTGCTTGTGCCTATGTCTTGAATGGTATTAAATAGATTTTCTTCTAGGGTTTTTATAGTTTTAGGTTTTACATTAAGTCTTTAATCTTGAGTTAATTTTTGTATAAGGTGTAAGGAAGGGGTCAGTTTCAATTTTCTGCATATGGCTAGCCAGTTTTCCCAGCACCATTTATTAAATAGGGAATCTTTTCCCCATTGCTTGTTTTTGTCAGGTTTGTCGATGATCAGATGGCTGTAGATGTGTGGTCTTCTTTCTCTGGTCTCTATTCTGTTCCATTGGTCTATGTGTCTGTTTTTGTACCAGTACCATGCCATTTTGGCTACTGTAGCCTTGCAGTATACTTTGAAGTTGGGTAGTGTGATGCTTCCAGCTTTGTTCTTTTTGCTTATTGTTGTCTTGGTTATACGGGCTCTTTTTTGGTTCCATTTGAATTTTAAAGTAGTTTTTTTCTAATTCTGTGAAGAATGTCAATAGTAGTTTAATGGGAATAGCAATGAACCTATAAATTACTTTGGGTAGTATGGCCATTTTCATGATATTGATTCTTCCTATCCACGAGAATGGAATGTTTTTTCATTTGTGTCCTCTCTTATTTCCTTGAGCAGTGGTTTGTAGTTCTCCTTGAAGAGATCCTTCACATCTTATTAGCTGTATTCCTAGGTATTTTATTCTCTTTCTAGCAACTGTGAATGGGAGTTCATTCATGATTTGGCTCTCTGCTTGTGTATTGTTGGTGTATAGAATGCTTGTGATTTCTGCACATTGATTTTGTATCCTGAGACTTTGCTGAAGTTGCTTATCAGCTTAAGGAACTTTTGGGTGGAGATAATGGGGTTTTCTAGATATAGTATCATGTCATCTGCAAACACAGTTTTACTTCCTCTTTTCCTATTTGAATACCCCTTATTTGTTTCTCTTGCCTGATTTTCTTGGCCAGAACTTCCAATACTATGTTAAATAGGAGTGGTGAGACGGCATCCCTGTCTTGTGCCAGTTTTCAAGGGGAATGCTTCCAGCTTTTGCCCATTCAGTATGATAATGGCTGTGGGTTTGTCATAAATGGTTATTATTTTGAGATATTTTCCATCAATACCTAGTTTATTGAGAGTTTTTAACATGAAGCAACGTTGAATTTTATTGAAGGCCTTTTCTGTATCTATTGAGATAATCATGTGGTTTTTGTCTTTAGTTCTGTTTATGTGATGAATTATGTTTCTTGATTTGCGTATGTTGAACCAGCCTTGCATCCCAGGGATGAAGCCAACATTCCAAACATTTTATTTATTATTTATTTATTTATTTATTTTTGAGACAGAGTCTCGCACTGTCGCCCAGGCTGGAGTGCAGTGGCAAGATCTCAGCTCGCTGCAAGCTCCACCTCCCAGGTTCATGCCGTTCTCTTGCCTCGGCCTCCCAAATAGCAGGGACTACAGGCGACCGCCACAACGCCTGGCTAATTTTTTGTATTTTTAGTAGAGACGGGGTTTTACATGTTAGCCAGGATGGTCTTGATCTCCTGACCTCGTGATCCGCCCGCCTTGGCCTCCCAAAGGGCTGGGATTATAGGCGTGAGCCACCGCACCCGGCCTCCAAACATTTTAATCTCATAACAATGCATCACTTGGGTTAACTAGGTTGAGATAAATATAAACTGTCAATTTTTTTTCCCCTCACATAAAAGTCCAGAGGTAGGTAATTAGGGCTGACACAGTGATTCCAGTGATTCTGCTCCTTCGTGCCCTCATCCAACAAGGCTTCTTGCTGCTCACTACCCAGCTACCCCTACGTGTGGCCCGTATCTTCATGGTTCAAGATGGCAGCTAGAGCTGCTAGGTAGTTAAGATCTCTCTCACACACTTTCCTTCTGTCATAATTAACACAGGGTTTTAGCTCATGAGGCCAAGCATACACATTACTTCCCACTGGCACCCCTATGTAATATTAAATGCAAAGATACCCTCAGGAGTCCTGTGCTCAAAACAAGTACAAAATAACTTTTTGTTGTTGTTTGTGGTGCTGGTGGTTTTATTTATTTATTTTTTCTGAAACAGGGTCTCACTCTGTCTCCCATGCTGAAGTGCAGTGGTGTGATCACAGCTCATCACAACCTTGACCTCTCTGGGCTCAGGGGATCCACTCACTTCAGCCTCCCAAGTAGCTGGGACTACAGGAACACGCCACCACGCTCAGCTAAATTTTGTCTTTTTTTGTAGAGATGGAGTCTTGCTATGTTGCCCAGGCTGGTCTCAAACTCCTGGGCTCAAGTGATCAGTCCACCTCAGCCTCCCAAAGTACTCAGATTATAGGTATGAGCCACCATGGCATCAAAATAACTTGGAAAGTAGGAATAATTGCTTGTTGTTCCTGAAAACTGTCTCTTCGACACTTTTCAGACTCTGTTACATGATCATGACAAAATATACACAAATAGACATACAGATACACATCAGTTAAAACCTCAAGAAATAGAAAAATAAATAAATCATAAAATATTTAAAAAGTGGTATTCTGACACACTGCCCAGAGGTACCCCTGTTCAGCAATTTTAAAAAATTTTAAAAATAGCCCTCTCCCCCTCCCTCTCTTCTCCCTCTCCCCACGGTCTCCCTCTGATGCCGAGCCGAAGCTGGACTGTACTGCTGCCATCTCGGCTCACTGCAGCCTCCCTGCCTGATTCTCCCGCCTCGGCCTGCCGCGTGCCTGCCATTGCGGGCGCCGCCACGCCTGACTGGTTTTCGTATTTTTTTGGTGGAGACAGGGTTTCACTGTGTTGGCCGGGCTGGTCTCCAGCTCCTGACTGCGAGTGATCTGCCAGCCTCGGCCTCCCGAGGTGCCGGGATTGCGGGCAGAGTCTCGTCCACTCAGTGCTCAATGTTGCCCAGGCTGGAGTGCAGTGGTGTGATCTCAGCTGGCTACGGCCTCCGCCTCCCAGCCGCCTGCCTTGGCCCCCCAGGGTGCCGAGATTACAGCTTCTGCCCGGCCGCCACCCCGTCTGGGATGAAGTGAGGAGCGTCTCTGCCCGGCCGCCCATCGTCTGAGATGTGGGGAGCGCCTCTGCCCCGCCCCCCCGTCTGGGATGTGAGGAGCTTCTCTGCCCGGCCACCCCGTCTGAGAAGTGAGGAGCCCCTCCGCCCGCAGCTGCCCCGTCTGAGAAGTGAGGAGCCCCTCCGCCCGACAGCCACCCTGTCTGGGAAGTGAGGAGCGTCTCCGCCCAGCAGCCACCCCGTCTGAGAAGTGAGGAGCCCCTCCGCCTGGCAGCCGCCCCGTCCGGGAGGGAGGCGTGGGGGTCAGCCCCCGCCCGGCCAGCCGCCCCGTCGGGGAGGGAGGTGGGGGGTCAGCCCCCGCCCGGCCAGCTATCCCGTCCGGGAGGGAGGTGGGGGGCGCGTCCGCCTGGCCGCCCCATCTGGGAAGTGAGGAGCCCCTCTGCCCAGCCGCCACCCCGTCTGGGAGGTGTACCCAACAGCTCATTGAGAACAGGCCATGATGACGATGGCGGTTTTGTGGAATAGAAAAGGGGGAAAGGTGGGGAAAAGATAGAGAAATCAGATTGTTGCTGTGTCTGTGTAGAAAGAAGTAGACATGGGAGACTTCATTTTGTTCTGTACTAAGAAAAATTCTTCTGCCTTAGGATGCTGTTGATCTATGACCTTACCCCCAACCCTGTGCTCTCTGAAACATGTGCTGTGTCCACTCAGGGTTAAATGGATTAAGGGCAGTGCAAGATGTGCTTTGTTAAACAGATGCTTGAAGGCAGCATGCTCCTTAAGAGTCATCACCACTCCCTAATCTCAAGTACCCAGGGACACAAACACTGCGGAAGGCCGCAGGGTCCTCTGCCTAGGAAAACCAGAGACCTTTGTTCACTTGTTTATCTGCTGACCTTCCCTCCACTATTGTCCTGTGACCCTGCCAAATCACCCTCTGTGAGAAACACCCAAGAATGATCAATTAAAAAAAAAAAATTTAAAAATAATAATAGGCCAGGTGCAGTGGCTCACACCTGTAATCCCAGCACTTTGGGAGGCCGAGGCTGGTGAATCACCTGAGGTCAGGAGTTCAAGACCACGCTGGCCAACATGGTGGAAACCCTGTCTCCACTAAAAATACAAAAATTAGCCGGGTGTGGTGGCAGGAGCCTGTAATCCCAGCTACTCGGGAGGCTGAGGCAGGAGAATCGCTTGAACCCAGAAGGCAGAGGTTGCAATGAGCCAAGATGATGCCACTGCACTCCAGCCTGGGCAGCAGAATGAAACTCTGTCTCAATAATAATAATAATAATAATAATAATAATAATAATAATAATAATAAGCAACTCTAATGATATTTCAAACAATGGTCCCCTTTTAGGTCACACTATCAAATCAGAGAAAGATATACTTGACTAGCTGTAAAATGCAATTTGAGGTCTAGGTGAATGAACAAGTAACCTCTAAATCATAAGGCTATTGTTACAAACTGAATGTTTGTATTCCCCCCAGAATTCAAAGGGGAGACAGTATCCCCAAAGTGACAGTATCAGAAGGTGGGGCCTTTGGGAGGTAATTAGGTGATGAGGGTAGAGCCCTCATGAATGGAATTTGTGCCCTTAAAGATATACTTGAGAGTTTGCATCCTCTTTTTCTGCCATGTGAGAACATCAAAAGACTGACATCTGGTAAGATCTGGAAGCATGCCTTACCAGACACCAGATATGCTACCACTTAGATGTTGGATTTCCCAGCCTCCGGAACTGTGAGAAATAACTGCTGTTTAAGTCACCTGGTCTATGGTAATTTGGTATAGTTGCCCAAATGGACTGTGATGGTTAATACTGAGTATCAACTTGATTGAATAGAAGGATGCAAAGTGTTCCCGGGTACATCTGTGAGGGTGCTGCCAAAGGAGATTTAACATTTGAGTCAGTGGACTGGGAAAGGCAGACCATCCTCAATCTGGGTGGGCACCATCTAATCAGCTGCCAGCACTGCCAGAATAAAAGCAGGCAAAACATGGAAAGACTAGACTGGTGTAGTCTTCTGGCCTCCATCTTTCTCTCATGCTGAATGCTTCCTGCCCTCAAACATTGGACTCCAAGTTCTTCAGCTTTGGGACTTGAATTGGCTTCCTTGCTTGCAGATGACCTATTGTGGGACCTAACCCTGTGATCATGTGAGTCAATACTCCTTAATAAACTCCCCTTTTTATATACATGTATCCTATTAGTTCTGTCCCTCTAGAGAAACATGACTAATACATTGAGTAAGATAGTTCCTGTCCTTTTTTTTTTTTTTTAAAGAGATGGGATCTTGCTATATTGCCCAGGTTGGTATGCAGTGGCTATTCGTAGGCACAATCACAGCATGCTATGACCCTGAACTCCTGGGTTCAAAAGATCCTCCCACCTCAGCCTCCCAAGTAACTGGGAATACAGGTACCCACACCCACACCCAGCTAATTTTTGTATTTTTACTAGGGACAGCGTTTACCATGTTGGCCAGGCTGGTCTCGAACTCCTGACCTGAAGTGATCTGCCCTCCTTGGCCTCCCAAAGTGCTGGGATTACAGGTGTGAGCCACTACGCCCAGCCTTTTGGTTTCTTATGTGTAGGAGAGGATAAGTTTCTTTCTCAGAGTGTGCTGCAGCCAGACATAATATTTCTCCTTGGCAGAAACTCTGCTGTTCCAATCATACATGTAGCCATTGAGTTCAATGTGAAGATCCAGGAGTGGGCGTTTTCTGGAGAAAACAAGAAAGGCAAAATTTAATGCCATGCAAATATCAAAGAGAAGACTGTCATTAGGGCGAAATGAGCCAACAGATGTGAAAGTTCTTTGAAACTGTTCCTTTCTGAAGGCACCACAAGCTGCTTAGCAAATGATCCAAACTAACTTGCAATACTCTGGCCTGATGGCCACCATCCCCTCCCTCAAGGGGCTGCTGAGTTTCACTCTGGGAACATACCAGCCAGATGATAACCCACGTGGATCATCTATGCAAATGGGGATGGGCTCAAAAGGCCAGTAATACCACCGGCCCATGGAGTATCTATCTTGGAAGGCTGAGTGGCTCCTGCTCTAACCCCCGCTTCCTGCTGGGCCACCACTAAGGAGGCCAGGTAAAGAAGGCCATGAGATTTATTCCTGGGGTACGCAGAGGTACAGCCCAGAATGCATTTGACAGGTGGCTCAGAAACATCATTCTAAATTGTAATTAGAGTGCAACTGAAAAAGGCCAGTTAATCTTATACTTGAGGTACATTGTGGCTTCATTCAGCTTAAATGGAAACCAGCTCACTGATGTTTCTCTTAGAAAAGTATTCTTGCCAATAAACATTAAAAAAATGTTTATATAACAAAGCCTTCCAGATCTGAACAGTCAGATACCACTTTTCACCTATCAAATTGTCAAAACTTGAGGAAATATAAGAGCATGCAGTGTCAGGGAGAATTCAGGGACACAGCTACTCTCCTATAAAGCTGATATGACCATCCTATAGGACATCTAGTAAGATGCATCCGAGGCTTGAAAAATGCATGTCCTTTGACTCTGTAATTCCACTTCCGGGAATTGTCCCCCTAGAAAACAATTAAGGATAAGAACAAATACTAAGTTACAAGGATGTTTAATACTTACTTCGTATGAAAGCAAACACTGTGCAACAACTGAAGATTGATCAAGTAAATTAAGCTATGGCCATATTATGGGCTATTGTGCATACATTAAACTGATGCTGTAGAAATGTGACTACTGACATGCAAAAATGTTTGTGATCTACTGTTAAACAAACTAAAAGCAGGTTATAAAGTGATGGCAGGCTGTGAGTGTCTTTTGGGTGATACATGGGATAGAGGGGTGCCTGTCCTTGTCCTCTCCCTGTGTGCCTCATCGCCATGCCTTGCAAAATTGAGGAAATCAAGGACTTTCTGCTCACAGCCAGGTGAAAGGATGCCAAATCTGTCAAGATCAAGAAAAATAAGGATAATGTGAACTTTCAAGTTCAATGCAGCAGATACCTTCAGAGAAAGAGAAGGCAGAGAAACTGAAGCAGTCCTTGTCCCCTGCTTTGGCAGTAAAGGAGCTGAAATGAGCCAGACATGGGGATTTGAACTGTATTAAAATTTTTTTAATTAAAAAAAAGAAACAATAGATGATGATTCCATCTGGGCTTACAAACATACTTCCAGGCTGGGCGCAGTGGCTCACTTTTGGGAGGCCAAGGCAGGAGGATCACTTGAGGTCAGGAGTTCGGGACCAGCCTGGCCAACATGGTGAAACCCCATCTCTACTAAAAATACAAAAATTAGCAAAGCCGTAGTGGTGTGCGCCTGTAGTCCCAGCTACTCAGGAGACTGAGGCAGGAGAATTGCCTGAACCCGGGAGGTGGATGTTGCAGTAAGCCGAGGTGTGCCACTGCACTCCAGCCTGGACAACAGAGTGAGATGTCATCTCAAAAAACAAACAAACAAAAAAGATATACTTCTACATGACTGTGTGGGTATCAAATAAAAAAAGATCTGGAAGGTGGCTGAGCATGGTGGCTCATGCCTGTAATCCCAGCACTTTGGCAGGCCGAGGTACGTGGATCACTTGAGGCCAGGAGTTGCAGACCAGCCTGGCCAACATGGTGGAAACCCTGTCTCCACTAAAAATACAAAAATTAGCCAGGTGTGATGGCGGACGCCTGTAATCCCAGCTACTCGGGAAGCTGAGGCAGGAGAATCACTGGAACCCAGCAGGCGGAGGTTGCAGCGAGCCAAGATCATGCCACTGTACTCCAGCCTGGGCAACAAGAGTGAAACTCTGTCTCAAAAAAAAAAAAAAAAAAAAAAAAAGAAAAATTAAAAATAAAAATTTGTGGCCAGGCGCAGTGGCTCACGCTTGTAATCCTAGCACTTTGGGAGGCTGAGGCAGGCAGATCACCTGAGGTCAGGAGTTCAAGACTGGCCTGGTCAACATGGTGAAACCCAGTCTCTACTAAAAATACAAAAATTAGCCAGGGCGTGGTGGCACATGCCTGTAATCCCAGCTACTTGGGAGGGTGAGGCAGGACAACTGCTTGAACCTGGGAGGTGGAGGTTGCAGTGAGCCAAGATTGCGCCAATGCACTCCAGCCTGGGCAACAGAGCAAGACTCCATCTCAAAAAAAAAAATAAATAAAAATAAATAAATTTGTTATTTGTATTTATTTATTTGTTTATTGGAGACAAGGTCTCCCTCTGTTGCTCAGGCTGCAGTGCAGTAGTGCAATCACGACTCACTGCAGCCTCAAACTCCTGGGCTCAAGCAATCCTCCTACCTTAGCCTCCCAAGCAGTTGGGACTATAAGCGCACACCACCACACCCAACTAATTTTAAAAATGTTTATAGAGCAAGTTCTCACTTTGTTGCCCAGGCTGAAAATTTCTTAATTTTAAAGAAAAGTATTCAAACTACAAACTAACTAACTACAAAGTATTTATAAATCATGCCGGGTCTATACTGTAGTCCTAGGGCAAGCCCAATGCAGGAGGGAAAATCTCTTTTCCTCCCGGAAGAGATGGGCAGCAAATGTGGCACAGTGGTAATTCCCATCCTGGTGGCACGAAAATAAGCAGGTGGTCCGGAACTGACCACCTCCTGGGGGCTCACCTTTCTTGTCTCAGTT
Organism: Homo sapiens; assembly: GCF_000001405.40. Classification (NCBI taxonomy): domain Eukaryota; kingdom Metazoa; phylum Chordata; class Mammalia; order Primates; family Hominidae; genus Homo; species Homo sapiens. The sequence goes on along the minus strand of NC_000002.12, from coordinate 201,160,926 downwards.
TCTGGGAGAGGCACTGCAGGTACAGGGATGGTGAGCTGTGAGACTGCTCCAGCAGGGACATGTCCGCAGTACACAGGCTCCAGAAGAAGTCAGCTTCTCGGTGAACTGTGCACAGCCCTCGCTTCTGAGCCTTGAATTCCACATTCTTCATCGCTGGCCCATCCACCTCCAAGAGGCTGCTGTCCTCCAGCTGGCCCTCTGACACCACATAGTTCTGAATAAAAAACATCTTTGGCTTCCCTGCTAGATAAGGGCATGAATCTCCCATGAACATCCTCCTGATGTGATGCAGGGGGAGCCCTGAGTGAGTCTGATCCACACCATACACACTCTGGGAGCCTCCTCGGCTCACCAGGACACACACAAAGCTGTCGTAGTCTCGGTGCTCGGGCATACAGGCAAATTGGCCAAGAATCTGGGATATACCATGCATACTGAGATGCAAGAATTTCTGGACTTCATAGCCCAGGGAAGTGAAGGTGTCTCGAAGAAGCTCTGGGGAAAACAAAAAACAAACACGGAAAACAACACTGGAGTGAGGAGAGCTCAAGAGGACTGGGTAGGAATCCTAGACATGGTCTAATCTCCATTATGAAAAGCTTCTGCTTTTGTGTCATATTTTGATGTGCCTGAGTCCTGGGCAGTTGGAACAAGAACCACATGAATCATGAAAGATGTGATTTTAGGTCCCTAAATATGGTCTATACCCTGCTATACCACTGTTCCTGCCTGATGCCAGCCACAGGCACAGACTGAGCCCACTCTAGTCCAATCAAACCAAGGGGGGACAAAACCTTTTTTTCTTCAACAATCTTCTTATTGAAGTCCAGACCTCACAATCTTTCTCTCTTCTGAGTGGCTCACTCTGGGAGAAGCCCACCACCACATCATGAAAGTACTCAAGCAGTCCCTCAGAGAGGCCCACATGAAGAACAGGCTTCCTGCCAACAGCTAGCACCAACTTCTCAGTCATGTGAGTGACCACCATAGAAGTGGAGCCTCCAATCCCAATCAAGCATTCAGATGACCCAGCTGACAACTGACCACAACTTCACTAGACTCTGGGCCAGAACAGCCCAGCTAAGCTGCTCCTAAATTCCTCACCCACAGGTGAGGATATAATTAAATTAGTAACTGTGAAGATATAATTAAATTAGTACTGTTGTTTTTAGCCACTAAATTTTGGAGTGATTTGTATACATTTTTAGGTAAATAATTCACCAGGTAAGTCCTTTGACCTTTCCTATCGGTAAAAGGAAAAGGCTTCTTACTTTTCTCCTTTGCTTGGCCCACAACTAAGGATTAAACAATGAATTATTGGCTGGGCGCAGTGGCTCACCTGTAATCCCAGCACTTTGGGAGGCTGAGGCGGGCAGATTACCTGAGGTCAGGAGTTCAAGACCAGCCTAGCCAACATGGCGAAACCCTGTCTCTACTAAAAATACAAAAATTAGTCAGGTGTAGTGGCACGCACCTGTAGTCCCAGCTACTCAGGAGGCTGAGGCAGGAGAATCGCTTGAACCCAGGAGGTGGAGGTTGCAGTGAGCCAACATTGTGACACTGCACTCCAGCCTGGGCAACAGAGTGAGACTCTGTCTCAAAAAAAAAAATTAATTATTATATCATGTAAGAATGAAGAGCTACAAAGGAGGTGCTGATATTCCTAAGTCTATAATCAATAAGCATCATTAACAAGGAAATAGGAGACATGATTCACAGGTTGCAAATAACCCATTAAATAGTGAGGGCAACCAGCCCCAGTGGCTCACATCTGTAATCCTAGCACTTTGGGAGGCCGAGACGGGCAGATCACCTGAGGTCAGGAGTTCGAGACCAGTCTGGCCAATATGGTGAAACCCCGTCTCTACTAAAAATACAAAAATTAGCCAGGCGTGGTGGTGCTCACCTGTAATCCCAGCTACTAGGGAGGCTGAGACAGGAGAATTGCTTGAACCCGGGAGGCAGAGGTTGCAGTGAGCCAAGATTGCGCCACTGCACTCCAGCCTGGGCAACAGAGCAGAACTCCGTCTCAAATTCAAATAATAATAATAATAATAATAATAATAATAATAATGATGAGGGCAAATGCCGTTACAGGATCTCTGGGTAGCTGTTATCAGGACTGTAATTTTGCACAGCCTTTTTGAAGAGCAATTTGGGAGTATCATTAAATTTTAAATGTGTATACCCTTTATAAAAAAAAGAAAACTCTGTGTGGTAGAAGAGGCCTGGACGCACTGTCCCCTAGCCATCTCCTCTGAGGGTGCAGGCTTGTTTCGATACCCAGTGCTGAATCCAGGCTGAACAAGGAGAGAACCTGGACTAGGACTCCAGTTCCATCACTGCTATTCTATTCCAAAGGACTCACACGTCTCTAATCATGGAGTATTTGCTCCTCCAGGGGGCAGAAGCAAACAGGGAAACACCAGACTCAAAGCTCTTTTGTGTACTTATCTCAAGATTGGTTCACTTCCCTCAAAACCTCTCTTCACTGATAAATGTCCTTCCTTATCAAACAAAGTCCTTGAAAGAAAACTTCACCACATTCTCCCTGCCCATGCTGATATGTAAGGCTTGGACAGAACAAATGCTGTACTGTGCCTTCCAGCTCTTTCCTTTATTTGTGCTCCCTGGAGGTTCTGGCTGGGGAAGCCCCTGTCACATGACTGTGAGCAGACAGCTGTGTGGTGCAGGGCAAAAGAGGAACCAGCCTTGGAATCACAAGATGTGGGTTTAAGTCCTAGTTCCTCCATCTCCTCCTACTAGGGTCTGAATCTTGCATGGTCTTGGAAGAGACTGAGCTATAACAGCAGAGAAGCTAGGAAGGAAATGGGAATCTGAGGTCTGGGGCAGAAAATCCTTACCTAAAAGAACAGAAGAAAAATGGCTAAAGCTGGAGGTGAAGCCAAAAACCATGCAGGTCCCAAGTGCCAATAAGAATAGCAGGTCTGAGCCTCAGACAAGACACAGCATTGCTTAAATATCCTGTGGCAAGGGAGTCACTCCACAGGCCCAGCCTGAAGACATTACCGCTGACATTTCCCATTAACGTCACAATTTTCCTCTATGAGGTGGTGAGGTGGAGTGGGAAGGGCTGTTAGCTGGCACTTGCAACTTTATTGCGCCAGCAAGAACATGCATACAGCCCAGTCTAACGTACAGGATCAAAAAGGTAATGACAGTGTGACTTTGAGTCAGTTTGAGTCAGCCCCAGTTTATTCATCTATAAAACAAGATTAAAACTAATGCTTGGCCAGGTGCAGTGGCTCACACCTACAATCCCAGCACTTTGGGAGGCTGAGGTGGGAGGATGGCTTGAGCTCAGGAGTTTGAGACCACCCTGGGCATCACAGGGAACCCCGTCTCTACAAAAAATAAAAAAACTAGCCAGGCATGGTAGTACAAGCCTGTAGTCATCACAGCTACTCAGGAGGCTGAGGCAGGAGGATCTCTTGAGCAGGAGGTTCTTCAAAAGGTGACTGTGAGGGCAGGGTACAGTGGCTCATACCTGTAATCCCAGCACTTTGGGAGGCCAAGGCGGGTGGATTGCTTGAGCTGCAGAGTTTGAGACCAGCCTGGGCAACATGGCGAAACCCCATCTCTACCAAAAATACAAAAATTGGCTGGGCATGGTGGCACGCATCTGTGGTCCCAGCTACTTGGGAGGCTAAGGAAGGAGGATCACTCGAGCCCAGGAAGTGGAGGAGCCAAGATCGCTCCACTGCACTCCAGCCTGGGTGAAAGAGTGAGACTCTGTCTCAGAAAAAAGGTGACCGTGAGGATCCAATGAGATTTCTGTAAAGATGCTTTGCAAACTGTGTTTATTCAAATATAAGATATTGACTTTAAAGGAAATAAAGGCAGCCATTTCAAAGTACAAATCACCAACCTTATGGTGTTGCACATCTCTCATGGAATCTCTCTCTTAGGACCTGGAGGGAGGTCTCTATATTCTAAACTAAAATGGGCTCAGAGCAGACAGAGTCCATATCCTATGTAGGTAGGACAGTAACTGTTTTGTCCTTGCACATAAATAGAGGAAGAAAAACTTGGGGGCTGGGTTTGGAAAATAAAATTTCAACAAACTACAGAAGACCCACTTCTCCTTCTAGAACCCACCCTGGAAATCCCACACTCAACCCAGTCTGATCTCCGTAAATTTCAACTGTTCTTTAGAACTTCTGGAAATGATGTGGGGGGGTGGGGAGGGGAAGGGCAGGGGTTCTTCTGGCCTTGCAGTTAGTACAGGGCTGTTCATTCAAGGCTAGGGTCAGCACTACTCACAGGTTTGAGGACTTCACAGATAAACCAAAAAAACCAAAATACAGTAAAATGTCATGACTTCATTAATTTAGAATTTGTTTTGATCTAAATGAGGATACATTTATCTTGACAATTTCTATGAAAAGGGCTTCATTAAATAAATGTATAAAATAAACAAGAATGAGGGAATGCTTCACCAGTTAATTTACAATCACATATTGAGTACCTTTAATAAGCCCAGTGTTAACTGCTATAGAGCACATGGGTAAAACATAAGATGGGCAAAACATTCTTAGTGAAAAAGGGAGTTCTGAGGTCAAACGTGTTTGGGAAATGCAAGGTGGACAAGGCTAAAATAGGTTTCTTCGCAGGAAGAATTCTCAGAGCCTTTAATAGGTCAATATGCATTGCAAATCTCTGAGGGGGAAGAGATTAGGCAGCGCTTCTCAAATTTACTTGACCGGAAAACTCTTGTTTTACAAAGTTCCCCTTATTGCCTACAGAAACACTTGGACAAGAGAATACATATCAAATATATGATGTACTTCAATCAAAGAGCTTATAATCTTGTTGGGGAAGCAAAGCTTATAAATACGCATAAAACAAAGATTACGTGGTGGCTCATGGCCATAATCCCAGTGCTTTGGGAGGCCAAGGCAGGAAGATCACTTGAAGCCAGGAGTTCAAGACCGCCCTGGGAAATACAGCAAAAGACCCTGTCTCTATAAAAAACAAAGTTAGCCAGACATGATAGCATGTGCCTGTAGTCCCAGCCACTCAGGAGGCTGAAGTGGGAGGATTGCTTCAGCCCAGAAGTTTGAGACCAGCCTGGGCAACATAGTGAGACCCTGTCTCTACAGAATATTTTAAAAATTAGATGGATGTGGTGGCGCCTGTGTGTAGTTCCAGCTACTTGGGAGGGTGAGGTGAGAGGATTGCTTGAGCCCGGGAGGTGAAGGCTGCAGTGAGCCATGATTGTACCCCTGTGCTCCATTCTGGGTGATAGAGCAAGACCCTGTCTCAAAAAAGAAAAGGAAAGTACAGAAAAATGTTCAAGCTTTTCAGAAAGAGCAGGATAGAAAAAAAAAATACTTCCTCTTGGCCAGGTGCGATGGCTCATCCCCGTGATCCCAGCACTTTGGGAGGCCGAGGCGGGCGGATCACCTGAGGTCAGGAGTTCAAGACTAGCCTGGCCAACATGGTGAAACCCCATCTCTACAAAAATACAAAAATTAGCCGGGCATGATGGCGGGTGCCTGTAATCCCAGCTACTCAGGAGGCTGAGGCGGAGAATCGCTTGAACCCGGGAGACAGAGGTTGCAGTGAGCCAAGATAACGCCATTGCACTCCAGTAGCCTGGGTGACAGAGCGAGACTCTGTCTCAAAAAAAAAAAAAACTTCCTCTTAAAATCTGCAAACATCGTCTTTTATTTTTATTCAAGGGCCTTAAAAACAACCAGAGCTTTAGGCCAAGCCGTAAAGCCCATCTGTCAGAGATGTGAGACGCTTGCTTCTATATTCCTAACAAGATAAAAGTCCAGTGCTTAAAGATGACCCACCAGGGCCTAGCACAGGTCCAGCTTTGCTGTCACTGACACAGATGACACAACACCAAAGACTTATTTTTCAATTCTACCAAACTGAGATAATTAGTTCCCAAATCCCTGAGCATTTACTTCTGCCTCAAGAAGAGGTTACTGAACTCCATAAGAATTCTTCTCAAGAAAGAACTACCAAAGAATAACCTTATTTCATGCACAACACAGCTCTGAGATCAGACTCCACCTCATTGCCTTAATATTTGCTTCACACAGGGCCAAGCATGGTGCTTTGCACATAGTAGGCCCTCAACGAACATTTACTGGACAAACAAAGAAATAAAGCTTTAAATACTTGGGGGACTTGCATGCTTTTTGGATAAAAGTCTGGTTTTTTGAGGAGAGAAGGGAAGATAGGTAGAAGAGAGTCTGCTAAACTCTAAAGATAAAAAGGAATGGCTTTTAGAAACACACTGACACTGGGAGAGCTTATTCCTTCATTCATTCACCCAACAATTATTTATTGAACACCTACATAGCAGGTATTCTTCCAGGTACTGGAGACCCATAGTAGGAGATAGATAAACTCCCTCACCTTCATGGAAATTATATTGAGGCAAAGTAGTTAAAAGCATAGGTTTTGGAGTCCAGCTTTTGAATCCCAGCTCAATCAGTACTAGAGAAGGTAGGAGTGTAGTTCACTGCTCAGCTTCCTCACCTTGAAAATGGAGAGAATAAGCCAGGCATGATGGCTGACGCCTGTAATCGTAGCACTTTGGGAGGCTGAGGTGGGCAGATCACAAGGTCAGGAGATCGAGACCAGCCTGGCCGACATGGTGAAACCTTGTCTCTACTAAAAATACAAAATTAGCTGGGCATGGTGGCACATGCCTGTAATCCCAGTTACTCAGGAGGCTGAGGCAGGAGAATCGCTTGAACCTGGGAGGTGGAGATTGCGGTGAGCTGAGATTGCGCCATTGCACTCCAACCTGGGCAACAAAAGGGAAACTCCGTCTTAAAAATAAATTAAAAATATAAAAAGAAAAAAGAAAAATTAGCTGGGCGTGGTGGCGCATGCCTGTAATCCCAGCTACTCAGGAGGCTGAGGCAGAAGAATCGCTTGAACTTGGGAGGGAGAGGTTGCAGTGAGCCAAGATTGCACCACTGCACTCCAGCCTGGCGACAGAGCAAGACTCTGTCAAAAAAAAAAAAAAAAAAAAAAGAAAGAAAAGAAAATAGAATATTCCTAGCAAATTAGTTCTAAGTAGAACAAAAAAAATTTAATGGAGAGAATAGTACCTATATTATGGTATTATTCATGAGGATTAAGCAAGAATCCGTGTAAAGCAATTAGCAAAGTACCTGGCACGTAGTAGATTTTTAATAAATTATATACTCTGAGCACAGCTATGCCTAGGTTAGTCCTATCATGTTCTTGTTTCTTTCTTTCAGAGACCTTATTTCGGCTGGCAATTACCTTACCCGCTTGTTCATTATCTGACTCCTGCACTCCTCCCAAGTGTTCAATGTTAACCAGATGGCAAAGTTAACCAGACAGAGGAAATCCACATAATTACTCTAGATGAAGCCCCCTAACTGCGGATTAGAAGGAAAAGAGATGAAGGGTGCTGCACTAATAATAACAACCATTTTCAACCAAGGCAGGATTCTGGGCCTAGAATCTTCAGTGACAAATTACCAGGAGAGGAGGAGGGAAATGAAGAGCTGGAGGCCTAGGGAGATGGTGTGAGGAGAGGAGACTGTGCCTTTCCACTTCTTAATAATTAATGTTCTCCTGCTGCTCTGAGTCTGCATGTAAGTGGATTTGTGACCTCTCAGCTGATGAAAACCATAGCACAAGAAGAGTAAAAGTGTGCTGCCTTGTTTCTTACTTGCTAATTAGCCACCTGAGCCCAGGGGGGTTTATAAGTGGCCTCAAGCCCAATTACTGATTTTGTTCCCAGAGGCAGAGAAGGCTTGAGTCAAATCACCCTGATTCTCAGGGGAAAGGCAGCACCGAGCATCCAGGGTACCCTCTAATGGCCCAGGCCTACTCTTGTCCAGCAATGTACCACCAAGATGTTGAACTTTAAAGGACTATGTCTGACCAGGAAGGACCTGCTGTCTAGAGCTGCCATTCTGATTCTTGGAGCTCGTATACAGATACATCCGCAACCATGGGGCAGGAAACAGATGTACCAGTGCAGTCAAGACCAATACCTGCTCATACCTGTGGCCAAAAGCATGATGCCCCAGGCTCTGCCTCCAATTCTACCATCTTCTTCCATCTTTCTCTTTTATCAGGTCTCTGCCCTCCTGTACTTTGTACTTAGATTCTCCTCTGCCAAGCCCATTCAGACTGTGACTGGTAGGAGTGCTGTGCTCAGCTTTCCACTTGAGTGTTTATCCAAGAAGTTGGATAACCCTCTCAAGTTATGGCCTCCATTCCAGTGCGCCTCAGTCTATGGGGATGCATTCCACTCACCCTTGGGCCTAGGGCAGGCCTCAGTGCCCTGGTCTCTCACTTGTCTGAGATCAGACTCTATGTACCAAGTGCAAAGCCATGGTGAGCTCTTGCTTAGGTGGTTTATGGCTAGAATTGAACAAGCAAATGAGGAAATAATGCTAGTTGGCATCTAGTACATGCTCACACTGTGCCAGGCATTATTCTAAGCCCTTTCCAAGTATGAACTCTCATTCTGCCCAACCTCCCTATGAGGTAGGTCCTGTTATTAACCCACTTTACAGAAGAGAAACTGGGACTTAAGAAGGCCGAGAACTCAGCACTACAGGAAAAATAAAAATAAAATTTAAATTAAAAAAAATTAGAAGCCGAGCGTGGTGGCTCATGCCTGTAATCCCAGCACTTTGGGAGGCCGAGGTGGGTGGATCACTTGAGGTCAGCAAGTTCGAGACCAGCCTGGCCAACATGGTGAAACCCCGTCTCTACTAAAAATACAAAAAATTAGCCAGGCATGGTGGCGGGCGCCTGTATTCCCGGCAGGGATGTACTCGGGAGGCTGAGGCAGGAGAATTGCTTGAACCCAGGAGGAAGAGGTTGCAGTGAGCCAAGATCGCACCATGGCCCTCCAGCATGGGCAACAAGAGTGAGATTCTCTCTCAAGAAAGAAAAAAAAAAACATTAAAAAAAATAAAGAGGCCAGGGACATTGCCCAAGGTCACAAGCTAGAACATGGCATAGCCATGATTCAAACCCACACTGTCATATTCCATTTCTCAACTCTGATCATGCTCCTATAATGCAGAAAAATTCAAATATACATTCAGCCCCCGCCCCCAAGAGGCCCATAACCCAGCAACAGAAGCAAGCACAGACATTGAGTTTTAGCCAAAAAACTTAGTTTTTCAATTCACAGCAGGTCATGGCTTTTTTTTTTTTATGATTCTCTCATACAACAGATATACGTACAACATCTACTGATGAATGAAACAAAACTGACCAAAACCAGAAGTACAGGACAATTACATAATCTCTTAAAACAGGAAGTGACTCATTAAGAAAATATTTTCTCATTCTTATATGGGTACTAATGGCTGAAAAGAAGACACTTATCTTTCTCACATCTAACCAAAAATAGGACACGACCAAGCAGGATCGTATCTGAAATCCTGGAAAATTTAGTATTATATTTGCTAATTTGACCTTCTCTTAGCCTTTCTTCCCATAAAACTCCCCATGGTAACATTTTAAGTGAGCCTGAAAGATAGTTCTGACTCATTTTAAGAGAATGTTGAGAAGCTCTAAAACTGGAAATACAATGATCGATCCTCTTAAGGAAGAGCTAAATAATTAAACAGAATGTCATTCCACTTATCTAGGCTCTTCTCATTCTCTTTTGATGCAGCACCAGTGATTCAGTTTGAGTCAGACATCCAACAACAACTGAGCAAAAGAATCATCTCAGATCCAAGCAATGGTGACGCGCAGATAGAAGAGACTGAGGCCAACGACCAAAGCAAAGGACAGCAGAACTGACTGACACAGCTCAGAAAATATCCAAAGCTCTGTAAGTGAACACACATTTATTATGTCTTTAATGTTCCCAGGAAAGCTTTTGTCGTCTATCTAGGTGAAATGATGGGGCATGTGATAATATGTGAAGCCAGAATGCCTTCCATTAATATTAATGCCCCTCTGGGTTCCAGGACTCCTCCCTGCTTCAGCATCCAAAAGAAAAGGCAAGACTAAGGCTCACCAACTACCGTAAATGATGTCTTTGTGCCAGAGACACTGTTATGTGTCCCCCAAATCCATTTCATTTCCTCCTGACACACAGCGAGACTAATTTCTCCATGTCCACTACAGTTAGATGGAGCCACATGACTGAGTTCTGACCAATCTAATGGGGTGGAAATGATGCACATTATCACTTTTAGGCCTGGTCCCTAAAATCTCTTGTGAGATCCTTCACACATTCTCTCTTCCCTTATCTGCTAGCCAGATGCAAGGGACTCTGTAGAAAACTCCAAGACCTCAGAAGATAATGGAGCCACTGAATAGCCACATGAACAAAGCTCCCCCAGCCCGATCCACACTAGCCTGTGACATGAATGAGAAACAAGTCTCTATTGTGTTGTAACACATATTCATTTTTTTTTTCTTTTTTTGAGACAGGGTCTTGCTCTGTCACCCACACTGGAGTGCAATGCCACCATCTTGGCTCACTGCAGCCTTGACCTCCTTGGGCTCAAGTGATCCTCCTGCTTCAGCCTACCATGTAGCTGGGACTACAGGTGTGCACCACCACACCAGCTAATTTTTTTTTTTTTTGAGACAGAATCTTGCTCTGTCACCCAGGCTACAGTGCGGTGGTGCGATCTCGGCTCACTGCAAGCTCTGCCTCCCAGGTTCAAGCAATTCTTCTGCCTCAGCCTCCCAAGTAGCTGGGACTACAGGAACCCACCACCATGCCCAGCTAATTTTTGTATTTTTAGTAGAGACGGGGTTTCACCATATTGGCCAGGCTGGTCTTGAACTCCTGACCTCATGATCCGCCCGCCTCCGCCTCCCAAAGTGCTGGGATTACAGGTGTAAGCCACCGTGCCCGAGCCCACACCAGCTAATTTTTAACTGGGCTCAAGTGATCCTCCCATCTCAGCCTCACAAAGTGCTGGAATTCCAGGCATGAGCCACCGCACCCAGGATGAAGCACAGATTCTTGAACTGGTTTGTCACGGCAGTTGGTGCTGATCACTCCAATGAATACAGCTTGCCTGTGCCATGATCTCAATCTGGGGGCACCAGTTAATCTGCAGCTTCCACACCTACCTGTCTCATTGCCAATGCAATCGATTATCAGGCAGATTCCTAGGGGCTTGCTCTTCATCTTGTATCTCTCTTCAGGTATGCTCTGGAAAGGAAGACAAGAAATGCTAAAGACTCTGGATATTGCTCTGTTTCTATAAGGTCCCACCCATATACCATCTCTTCTTTTGGATTTCCTTTGGCAGGTGAGTCACTCAACAGACACAGCCTGAAGTTTCCCATTACGGCAAATGTTTCCCATTAATATCAAATTTTTCCTCTATTAGGGTAATGTGCTTAAGACAAATTATTTTCATTTTTATTTAATTTTAATGAAAATCCCACTCTCTTTATTGGCTTTGTGGAATAAAGATAATTTGAAAAAGAGAGAAAACATGAGTGATTTGTCTCCACAGTAACCTGAAGTTATATAAGTGGCATGTTCCCAAGTACAAAGGGAGCCCTTCTATTGCTTCTGCTTACAAAGAGGTGTCAACCTAAGAAAAAGCCAGAACAAGCCAAAGTTCAGGGAAGTATCACTGCTGACTAATATGTTCAGCAGTCACTGAGTTGAGATGAGGAGTGCTACTTTGGAACTTCCCTGCATTCCAAAGTTCACTAATGCAATCCACTTTAACATCTTTCTCTTTGTTATTCAGGGTTCCCTTGTATGGAAGTTCTCAGGAGAACAACACTCTCAGAGTCCCACTGTCTCAAAGAATTCTTAATGGACAGGTATTTTTAAAGAAGTCAGGGTTATCCACAGCTATGTACATATAATACCAAATCAGATCATTTATTCTGTACCTGAGGCAAAAAAGCTTCTGATTCCTGAATGGATTTCTTCACTGGTTCTTCTGGGGGATGAGAGAGAGAAACCATTTACAAAGCTGAAGGAGAGCTAAGTCCACCCCTACACTGGCTGAGTTTCTTTGTATAACAACTGTTCTCCCTTCCTATTTTCTTCAATTATCTCTTCTTTCCCCAGCTATACTTGGCCCCAAGGTTTCAACCTCACACTGAAGAAAGTGACATAAGAAAACACAAGTCCCAGTGCTATCAGGGGCTATCTGGAAAAGCTGCTTAAACAGCAAGTGAAAGAAGGCTCTCCCCTACCCCGTTCTAGGTGAGGAACAGGTGGCTGGTGAGTTTTTAACTTGATAGGAGAATCTAATAACCTCACCACCCAACAATACTGATAGCTTTCCTATATGTGCTGAAACTGTTGACAATACCTAAAGGGAACAGCCTTAGAGAGTGCAGAGCAGGGAAAGTTTATATGTGTTTGCTAGTTATAAAACAGATGGCACTGTTTTCATAGTCCAGTGATACTGGGAGATCATAAAATAAAATGTCAATGGCAAGACAGTGACAATGGGGGCAGTGAGCCTGGCAAATGGAGATGAGCCTAAAGCTAATTTGCTAGAAAAAAATGACTTGATTAGGTCAGGGAGGTGGAAGAACAACCAGTTTTGAGCAGAGATTGTGCCACTGCACTCCAAAGTGGGCAACAGAGCGAGACTCTGTCTCCAAAAAAAAAGAAAAAAATTAAAAAAAGATACACAGGATATATTAAGTGAAAAATGGATTATTAAAAATATGTATAATATTGATTCTGTGAACTTAAAAATGTATATTTGTGTACATATACTTACACATGTATTAATATATGCTTAAATATAAAAGAATCTGGAGGCATAAAAATCAAACATTAATAGCAGCTATCTCTGATACTTGAAAGAGGAAATTTCATTTTATATTTTTTGTATTTTAGCAATTATATATTAACAGAACAAACAAACAAACAAAGAAAAGCCACAAAATAATCTATGTGATATATCTATCTCAGTTTAAGGCATTTAGCAAGAAATTACTAAATTGAAGTTATCACCATCCTCATCAAATTCAATGATGGCTGAACAGTTCAAATCTATTTGGAAGTCCAAATTAATATAAATATTTGGTTTGATTATTATTATTTATTTATTTATTTAGATGGAGTCTCGCTCTGTCACCCAGGCTGGAGTGCAATGGCACGATCTCAGCTCACTGCAACCTCCGCCTCCCAGGTTGAAGCGATTCTCCTGCCTCAGCCTCCTGAGTAGCTGGGATTACAGGTGTGTGCCACCACACCTGGCTAATTTTTATATTTTCAGTAGAGACAGGGTTTCACCGTGTTGGTCAGGCTGGTCTCCAACTCCTGACCTCGTGATCCGCCTGTCTCGGCCTCCCAAAGTGCTGGGATTACAGGCGTTAGCCACCATGCCTGGCCGAGTATTTTAAACTTCTATTAAATTAAGCCCAAGTTATTAGAAAGCTTTTCTGGGGTGGGGGGCAGGGTCTTGCTCTGTTGCCCAGGCTAGAATGCAGTGGCAAGATCTCGGCTCACTGCAACCTCCACCTCCCAGGTTCAAGCAATTCTCCTGCCTCAGCCTCCCGAGTATCTGGGACTACAGGCATGCACCACCATGACCAGGTAATTTTTGTATTTTTAGTAGAGACGGGGTTTCACCATGTTGCCCAGGTTGGTCTTGAACTCCTGACCTCAGGTGATGCACCCACCTCGACCTCCCAAAGTGCTGGGACTACAGGCATGAGCTACCATGCCCAGCCCAGAAACCTTTTTCTTTTATTAGCAAATAAACCAAGTCCAAGCAAGAGCAAGTAAGCAGCTCTCCTAACAGGATCATAGGGATATTTGGATTCTCACTTACCTCATCTGTACAATTATGACCAAGGATAAAATTGCCATCAGGGAGCAAATGGAAAGAACACCAATTGTTTTTAATTCCTATGCAAATCTACTAGGTCTCCTATTTTCCCTTTAAACAGGCTTCGGAATACTAATTCTCATCACCTCACCAGTGTTTTAAGAAACATGCTATCATTTCAGGAATTAATTCGCTTCTCAGTAGTTTTTGCTGGAGAGCACAATATTAGGTAGAGAATGACAGACATGAGCTACACCAGCTGACTAATCCGGGCAAAATAAGTTTCCAGGTGCAGATAGCACAAAGACTGAGTCGTAAGATATCTGTAAGGGGACTGCCACACAAAGAGGGCTTCTATTAGGCCACTGCCCTACTCAAAACATTCATGATGTCCCACCACACACAGGACAGATTCCAAGCCTCTTGGATAAGACTGAAGCCCTCCATCACAGCCCATCAATCCGTTTCCTGGAGTTCGGAACCACAGCCATGTGCCTCATCAGTGTAAGACTGAGTCTCAGCTCTCACTTCAAGGAGGACTCAAGACAAGCAAAAGAAGTAAACTTTTGCTGGGTGCAGTGGCTCACGCCTGTAATCCCGGCACTTTGGGAGGCCAAGGTGGTGGATTACTTGAGGTCAGCAGTTTGAGACCAGCCTGACCAACATGATGAAACGTTATCTGTACTAAAAATACAAAAATTAGGCTGGGCGCCATGGCTCATCCCTGTAATCCCAGCACTTTGGGAGACCGAGGTGGGTGGATCACCTGAGGTCAGAAGTTTGAGACCAGCCTGGGCAACAGAATGAAACCCCATCTCTACTAAAAATACAAAAATAAACTGGGTGTGGTGGCACAAGCCTGTAATCCCAGCTACTCAGGAGGCTGAGGCATAAGAATCACCTGAACCCAGGAGGCGGAGGTTGCAGTGAGCCGAGATTGCACCACTGCACGCCAGCCTGGGTGACAGAGCAAGACTCTGTCTCAAAAAAAAGAAAAGAAAAGATAAGAAAAAAATTAGCTGGGTGTGGTGGTGCGTGCCTTTAATCCCAGCTACTCAGGAGGCTGAGGCATGAGAATTACTTGAATTCAGGAGGTGGAGGCTGTAGTGAGCCAAAAGTGTACCACTGCACTCCGGCCTGGGTGACAGAGTGAGACCCCGTCTCCAAAAAAAAAAAAGAGTAATCTTTTAAAAAATGATCTATGGGATCAAGTGCTAATGTTTTAAGAGAGAAAACAGCTCATGCGGGTTGAAATGACCCATCTTTAAATTGCACGTTTTCTTTCTTAGGAAAGGGGGGATATCATCTGTAGAGTATCCAGATTTATTAAATAGGCTGTAAGACAAGAACTTATTTACCATTCCTCTTCCTGCTGCTAGATATTTGGTTTAACATGGTTCATTATCATGGTTGGATCAATGTTTAACATGGCCTGATTAGAGCTCCATTCCATTTCAGTTATAAACATCACATCTCTTAACATACGGCCAAGATGATGAAGCTGATGGAGTACGATGGTGTTCAAACTTAGATAAGCTAATTCAATAGACAACTAGAAATGCCAATGAGTCTATCGTAAGAGTTTAACCAGTTTTTATTTTGAGAGCTTACTTAGATTATGTAGATAAAGGAAATGACCAACTCTAAAAATGCAATATTTGTACTAGAATTATCAAGCATTTATAAATAATGAATATTAAAAAAAGGTGGTCTTACGTTGAGCGCCAAGCTGTTCCTTAAGTCTTTGTTCTTTACTTCTCCCATTATGGAGCTTCAAATACAAAGAATAAGGTCATACTTCCTGTTAGTTATTTCAGAGGTACACTATACATTACACCTCTTTAAATGTCTCAATAGGATTCTTAACTCAGGAAAAAAATAAAAATATCGTCCCAACAGTTAAATTATCTAAAGAATAGCAAGAGCTGTTAACTCCATAAATCCCGTATCATATTACCAAAGAACAGGGAAATTCTGCTTTTAAAAGATGAAAATAGGCCGGGAGCGATGGCTGACACCTGTAATCCCAACACCTTGGGATGCCAAGGTGGGTGGATCATCTGAGGCCAGGAGTTCCAGACCGGCCTGGCCAACATGGTAAAACCCCATCTCTACTAAAAATACAAAAATTTGCTGGGCATGGTGGCGTGCCCCTGTAATCCCAGCTTCTCAGGAGGCTGAGGCAGGAGAATTGCTTGAACCTGAGAGGCAGAGGTTGCAGTGAGCTGAGATGGTGCCATTGCACTCCAGCCTGGGCGACAAGAGTGAAAAGTGAAACTCTGTCACAAAAATTAAAAAAAAAGAAAAGAAAAATATGCTAAGCTAGCATATTAGAATGTTTCAAAACAGCCCAATAAAATCTGATGTTACAGTATAGTATAGTTGCTAGCATAGCTCCAGGTTAGGATAAGCTGTTGGAACATGAGATTGACATTCCACCTGTTCCTTCAACACAGGGGCAAAGTACAGCATGGTTAAGAGTCGGATTTCTAGGCCAGACAGACCTGGCTAGGAATCCTAATTCTGCCACTTATTAGCTATGTAACCTCGAGCAAGTTATTTAACTTCTGTATGTGTGTTTCTTCATATGCTAAATGAGGATAATAATAGATACCTTACAGATTTTGTATGAAGATTAAATGCACACAAAGCACTCAGCACAGTGCCAAGCACATGGAAGTACATAATAAATGTCCAGTTATTGCTTTTCTATCATTGCCTAGCTACACATAAGCAACATATGGTCCTGATTCTTGATAATCAAATATTCTTGATAAACCACTTCTGAGGGCTAGAGTAAGAGTAATCAGAGAATGAAAGATTAAACCGACCCTTTCTCTTCTCAGATGACAGGTCCTATGTAAGATACACATACCACATGCTGTCAACCCATCTGAGACACTCAGCTTTCAAATGACAGTTCTTCTCTGAAGCTAACCTAGCCAAAAGAGTGAAATACACTATCTGTTAAGCTGTGTCAGTAGCTAAGTCTGTGTGTCTAAATTAAAAACATGTAAGTTGCCTTTTTCACTAATAATTAGTAACTTAGCCAGAGGCTGATCATATCAGATAGAAATTGGCCGCATGCATGTGTATTCGCTTTTACATATTATTAGAGAGAGGTAACATATCAAATCAAAGATGGATTTTAAAAGCATTGTATTGTAGCCAAATAATTTTTAAATTCTTTTTTTTTTTTGAGACAGAGTCTCACTCTGTCACCCAGGGTGGGGTGCAGTGGCGCCTGCAACCTCTGCCGCCTGGGTTCAAGTGATTCTCCTGCCTCGGCCTCCAGAGTAGCTGGGATTATAGGCGCCTGCCACTGCGCCTGGTTAATTTTTGTAGTTTTAGTAGAGACAGGGTTTCACCATCTTGGCCAGGCTGGTCTTGAACTCCTGACCTCATGATCCACCTGCCTCGGCCTCCCAAAGTGCTGGGATTACAGGTGTGAGCCACCATGCCCAGCCATAATTTTTTAATTCTATAATATCTTGTGGTATCCTGTGGCATTTAATCATACAGTAATTTTTGAAGCACTTCTGCAGCCTCATATGAATTAACTTCTAGGTATTCGGCTCCTAAACCTTTTAAGAAAGTCACTGCATTCATATGCCATAGTGCCTGCTTACTAAATGAATGAATGAATAATCAGGGTCACTTTTTTTTTTCTTTTTTTGAGACGGAGTTCCACTCTTGTTGCCCAAACTGGAGTGCAATGGCACAATCTCGGCTCACGACAACCTCCGCCTCTCAGGTTCAAGTGATTCTCCTGCCTCAGCCTCGCAAGTAGCTGGGATTACAGGCATGCACCACCACACCTGGAAAATTTTGTATTTTTAGTAGAGACAGGGTTTCTCCATGTTGGTCTCAAACTCTCGACCTCAGGTGATCCACCTGCCTCGGCCTCCCAACGTGCTGAGATTACAGGTGTGAGCCACTGCACCCGGCCTTAGGGTCACATATTAAATATAGAAAGTTTAAGGAGAAACTAATATGCAAAGCATATGGGCTCACAACAGGCTACATAGCAATGAATATGCTTCATTTACAAAATAGAAACACAATAGTAAAAATATGGCAGGTTTTTTAACTAAGAATGACAATATAATTTATATTAGACAGACAATAGCAGAGAAAGCTCAGAAAACCTGGATCTGAATCCTAAATCTGCTTTTTCTCATTATTTGGTATTACAGAGACTCAGAAGGACAAAACAAAGCACATTTCATTCTTTTAAAAAATATATGCTAGGCCAAGTGCAGTGGCTCATGTCTGTAATCTCAGCACTTTGCGAGGCTGAGGCGGGCAGATCACCTGAGGTCGGGAGTTCAAGACCAGCCTGACCAACATGGAGAAACCCCATCTCTACTAAAAATATAAAATTACCCGGGCGTGGTGGCACATTCCTGTAATCCCAGCTACTTGGGAGGCTGAGGTGGGAGAATCGCTTGAACCCGGGAGGCGGAGGTTGCGGTGAGCCAAGATCGCGCCATTGCACTCCAGCCTGGGCAACAAGAACGAAACTCTGTCTCAAAAAAACAAAAAGTATGCTCTAAGATATGGTATGACAAGTATATAGTTTATTATATACATCACAGTGCAGTGAAAGGAGTATGGGCTGGGCCCAGCTCTGCTAGTAGTTAGAAGTAGACAATCAGTTAATGTTCTTTAGGGCTAAGTTTCCTTATTTTGTTCATTAAGGGAGTTGGATAATATAATCCGTAAATCCATTTTAGCTCTGAAATTGCATTGCTCAGTAGTGTCTCTTACAGACATATTCTCCAAGAAACCATTTATATTACAAGAGTGGGTTTTCATTACATATTTTAAGGAAAGCATTTATATATATATATATAATATTTTTTTTTCTTTTAGAGACAAGGTCTCACTCTGTCACCAGGGCTGGAGTGCAGTGGCACACTCACACCTCACTGCAGCCTCAACCTCCCAGGCTCAAGCAATTTCTCCCACCTCAGCCTCCCAAGTAGCTGAGACTAAAGGCACACCATCATGCCCAGCTAATTTTTGTATTTTTTGTAGAAATGGGGTTTTGACATATTGACCAGGTTTGTCTCGAACTCCTGGGCTCAAGCGATCCGCTTGCCTCGGCCTCCCAAAGTGCTGGGATTACAGGCGTGAGCCACCACACTCAGCCAAAAGCATTTTTTTCCTTCTTTTTTTTTAGGGCTTTCTGGCAAAAACTGAAAAGCCTGCTAGACAAATTCTAAAAGAGCTGTTAACACTGCCAAAAGCATTTCTAATTTAACCATGAAATTGTACCCGGCTCTAAGTCCTCACTACAAACTCCACATATCTTTATATGAACATGAGGATAAGATTACACCAAGATTTAACTTCTCAAGATAAAAGATTAACTAAAGAACAATTCCGATACCTTGTACTAAGTACTAGGAACACAACAACCATAAGTGACTATATGATACACTTATGCTCATGAACACCCTCAAAAATCTTTTGTTTCATCACTCAATAACAAAATAACTTTTGCTGAAATCATTAAAATTAGCTCAGTAAAAAAACAAATGCACAAAGAAGTACAAGGATATTTATTTTATAGCATTATTAGTAGTAACAAAAGATTGGAAAGCATCTAAACATACAGCAACAAGAAAGGGCTAAACACATTATAACACATTTAGAAAATGAAACGATTTAATCATTCAGAATGATTAAGTAGAGGCAGTTCCATGTTAATCACATGGAACAATTTCCAAGAATTTTCAGATCAGGACAATGGGCATAGGGTGTTATCATCTGTAGAAGAGAAAAAAGCAAAAATGAAATATATGTGTAGACTATCTCTGGATAGTTACAGAATGAACTAGTTCACAACAGCTGCCTTTAGGAAAAATAATTGGAGGTCAGTATTATAGGGGTAGGAAGAAAACATTTTTTTTGAGACAGAGTTTTGCTCTTGTCACCCAGGCTGGAGTACAATGGCGCGATTTGGCTACTGCAACCTCCACTTCCTGGGTTCATATGATTCTCCTGCCTCAGCCTCCCAAGTAGCTGGGATTATAGGCACCTGCCACCATACCTGGCTAATTTTTGTATTTTTTAGTAGAGATGGAGTTTCACCATGTTGGCCAGGCCAGTCTCGAACTCCTGACCTCAGGTGATCCTTCCGGCTCGGCCTCCCAAAGTGCTGGGATTACACGCATGAGCCACCGCACCCGGGCAAAAAAATACTTTTAAAACCTCTTGTAGTACATTTAAATTTTTTTCCATAGGCATGGTGCATCTATTTTTATTTTTAAAGTTACATTTTCTTTTTTTAAGTTACAATTTCAAGTGAATAAATGAACAGTGAAAAAAATGTCCAATTGTCCAACTGTATGTATGTATGTATGTATATATATATATATATACATACATACAGATACAGATGCAAACCCACATAAAAAAGAGTCTAGAAGGAAATATACCAAAATACTAACAGTGGTTGTCTTTGGATAGTGGAATATAGGTGATTTATTTTCTTTTATCTTTCTCTATAGTCTCCAAATATCTCAATGAACATGTATTAGCTTTGAAATATAAGAAGTTACACGTTTTTAAAACAAATACACATTTCTATCACAATTTTTTCAGATATTAAATAAAGTACATGCTGTGAGAATATGCATATTTTTATTAGAACTCTGAAACGGTTTCATGCTGGGATTCCATATGTTTTCTCCAGACTCACCCTGAAGTTATTTGAAGGATCCTTGAGACTCTTTTGGATTGCTGCTTGGAGAACATTCCTGTAACTTGTCCCTGCTCCTTGAACTATAAAAGCAGAAGGGAGGTACTGAGTTAAAACTTACAAATTATTATCAAATAAATCTTCAATAGTGGTTCAGTCCAAGGTCAATCACCATCTTTCAAAATACCCTAAACTTTCTAGCCACCTTACTGAATTCAAAATTTCAGATGACTCTTCGACCAAACATCATGAAGAATGGAGTATAGGGCGCCCTGGCCCGCCCCGCCGCTGCCGCAGCCCCCGCCCCCAGCCCACCCAGCCCACCCGGCGCCTGGCTGCAGCGTGGCAGCGGCGCGCCTCCGCGTCGCAGCAGCTGCAGCGTTTATGTCGGGTCGCGGGGTCTCGCGGCAGCATGAGGGACTACCTATCAGCAGCAGCACCGGCTACGTGGTCGAGGACGGGTTCACTGCGCTGAAGGGGTGGGTTGCCCCTCCACACCTGTGGGTTTTTCTCGTTAGGTGGAACGAGAGACTTGGAAAAGAAAGACACAGACGCAAAGTATAGAGAAAGAAAAAAGGGGGCCCAGGGGACCGGCGTTCAGCATACGGAGGATCCCGCCGGCCTCTTAGTTCCCTTAGTATTTATTGATCATTTTTAGGTGTTTCTCGGAGAGGGGGGTGTGGCAGGGTCATAGAATAATAGTGGAGAGAAGGTCAGCAGATAAACACGTGAACAAAGGTCTCTGCATCAAGAACAAGGTAAAGAATTAAGTGCTGTGCTTCAGATATGCATACACATAAACATCTCAATGACTTAAAGAGCAGTAGTGCTGCCCGCATGTCCCACCTCCAGCCCTAAGGCGGTTTTCCCCTATCTCAGCAGATGGAACATACAATCAGGTTTTACACCGAGACATTCCATTGCCCAGGGACTGGCAGGAGACAGATGCCTTCCTCTTCTCTCAACTGCAAACAGGCGTTCCTTCCTCTTTTACTAATCCTCCTCAGCACAGACCCTTTATGGGTGTCGGGCTGGGGGACGGTCAGGTCTTTCCCTTCCCATGAGGCCATATTTCAGACTATCACATGGGGAGAAACCTTGGACAATACCTGGCTTTCCTAGGCAGAGGTCCCTGCGGCCTTCCGCAGTGTTTGTGTCCCTGGGTACTTGAGATTAGGGAGTGGTGATGACTCTTAACGAGCACGCTGCCTTCAAGCATCTGTTTAACAAAGCACATCTTGCACAGCCCTTAATCCACTTAACCCTGAGTTGACATAGCACATGTTTCAGGGAGCACAGGGTTGGGGGTAAGGTTACAGATTAACAGCATCTCGAGGCAGAAGAATTTTTCTTAGTACAGAACAAAATGGAGTCTCCTATGTCTACTTCTTTCTACACAGACACAGTAACAATCTGATCTCTCTTTCTTTTCCCCACACCGTGCAGCAGCTCTTCGCCAGTGACCAGGGACTCACCTACAACGACTTCTTGATTCTCCCAGGATTCATAGACTTCATAGCTGATGAGGTGGACCTGACCTCAGCCCTGACCCAATGGTCACTCTGAAGACGCCGCTGATCTCCTCCCCCATGGACACTGTGACAGAGGCCGACCTGGCCATCGTGATGGCTCTGATGGGAGGTACTGGTTTCATTCACCACAACTGCACCCCAGAGTTCCAGGCCAGTGAGGTGCAGAAGGTCAAGAAGTTTGAACCGGGCTTTATCACACACCCCGTGGTGCTGAGCCCCTTGCACACTGTGGGTGATGTGTTGGAGGCCAAGATGCGTCATGGCTTCTCTGGCATCCCCATCACTGAGACGGGTACCATGGGCAGCAAGCTGGTGGGCATCGTCACCTCCCGAGACATCGACTTTCTTGCTGAGAAGGACCACACCACCCTCCTCAGTGAGGTGATGATGCCAAGGATCAAGCTAGTGGTGGCTCCAGCAGTGTGAGGTTGAAAGAGGCAAATGAGATCCTGCAGCTTAGTAAGAAAGGAAGCTGCCTATCGTCAATGATCGCGATGAGCTGGTGGCCATTATCACCTGCACCGCGCTGAAGAACCGAGACTACCCTGTGGCCTCCAAGGATTCCCATGAGCAGCTGCTGGGCGGGGCAGCTGTGGGTACCCATGAGGATGACAAATACCACCTGGACCTGCTCACCCAGGTAGGCGTCAATGTCATAGGCTTGGACTCGTCCCAAGGGAACTCGGTGTATCAGATCGCCATGGTGCATTACATCAAACAAAAGTAACCCCACCTCCAGGTGATTGGGGGGAACGTGGTGACAGCAGCCCAGGCCAACAACCTGATTGACGCTGGTGTGGATGGGCTGGGCAGGGGCATGGACTGCGCGGCTCCATCTACATCAACCAGGAAGTGATAGCCTGCAGTCAGCCCCAGGGCACTGCTGTGTACAAGGTGGCCAAGCATACCCAGAACTTTGGTGTGCCCATCATAGCCGATGGTGGCATCCAGACCATGGGGCATGTGGTCAAGGCCCTGGCCCTAGGAGCCTCCACAGTGATGATGGGCTCCCTGCTGGCCGCCACCATGGAGGCCCCCGGCGAGTGCTTCTTCTCAGACGGAATGCAGCTCAAGAAGTACCAGGGCATGGGCTCACTGGATGCCATGGAGAAGAGCAGCAGCAGCCAGAAACAATACTTCAACGACGGGGATAAGGCGAAGATCACGCAGGATGTCTTGGGCTCCATCCAGGACAAAGGGTCCATTCAGAAGTTCGTGCCCTACCTCATAGTGGGCATCCAGCATGGCTGCCAGGATATCGGGGCCCACAGCCTGTCTGTCCTTCGGTCCATGATGTACTCAGGGGAGCTCAAGTTTGAGAAGCAGACCATGTCAGCCCAGATCGACGGTGGCATCCATGGCCTGCACTCTTACGAGAAGTGGCTGTACTGAGGACAGCGGTGCAGGGCGAGATGGTGGAGGGAGTGCACCCCAGTGTCCACCTTCAGGCACAGCCTCCCTCCATAACTGAGTGGTCCACAGATTTGCACTATGGGTTCCCCAGCTCCTTTCCAGGGAGAGAGGAGGGGAGGCTCTGAGGGGTCTGCAGCCCCCCTTGCTGGGCATCCCCTGCAGAGTCAGGACTGCTCCCTGGGCCAGGCTGCCCTGGGAGCCCCCCTGAACCCAGGCAGCTGGGCTCTCAGGCCCTGTGCCTGCCTCAGGTCTTTCTTGCTGCAGCCTGCTCCAGCCCAGCCCCCACCTCAGGGGCAGACGGCCCCTCCTGGCTTCTCCTATAGGGCACCTCCCTGTCCCCAGCCCCCCAGGAAATGGTGCTCTCCTGACCCTGCCTCTGGCCCTTCCCAGGCCGCTGCCCCCTCAGGCATGTGGCACTTCTGAGCTCCAGACCTAGGCCAAGGGGAGGTCTCTGCCCCCTTCCCCAGCTCTGGGCTACCCTTAGGTCCTGCTCCTTAGGCCACTCCCCAGTCCCTGGCCCTGGGGAGGAGGCTGCCCTGGTCATGGCTGCCTGCCTGTCATTCCTGACTCACCACCGTCCCCATTCCTGCCCTCTCCTCAGCTGCAGTTGAAGGCTTTAACTTTACACACTTTGGGATCACTGTTGCGTCCCTGTGTGTTAAATAATCGGAATAAATCAAGCAGGTCTCAAAAAACAAGAATGGAGTATAAATGCTCTTCTGTTTTTGATCTTTGATCAGTCATTTAGAGTATGTTGGGGTAAAAGAGTGCTCTATAGATCAATGAGTCTCAGCCATGCCCTTTAGGCTGTGATGCTATGGTGGCAGTGAACTTGCTAACAAAGCCCAAGCTGAGGCTGAGTCTAAAAGACAATGAGGAATGCAAGTAAAGCAGAAGGCCAATGTGAATCTGGTCCCTTTTATCAAGGAAGAAATCGAATGTGCTCTTTTCCATAAGGAGGTTTTGTGAAACTTGGGACACATGCAAGGAAGGTATGAGACCCAAGTGACATCACCCGAAGTTGGACAGTGGTTGTGAGGCCAAATACCAGAGCAAGGCAGTAGGGTTCAGCATACATGCAAAACCCCTGAATGTCCATAGCTCTGCCAGCCTGTGCAGATCCCAGATTCTTTCTTGAAGACTGAAATGTTAAGAACTGCTTGGCAGCATTTTGCAGAGATCATGAATATACAGGGCAATGGAGTTGGCAGATCTGGGATATGAAGAATATAAAGGGACGCGATTTCTAGCCACAAGCTAAAGGAGGCTTTGGTCATCCAGGTTCCATTCCATCCACCTATCCAACAAATGAATATTTATCAGTCATGATGCCCACCCCCATGCACAGAGTACTTCCCCTAGACCACTGAGAGGCCAAAATTCTTACCAGACTGCTTGTACTTCTGGATTTTTGTCTTCAGGTCTATTCTGTGGATGTTCTTTAGGCATTTTTCTAATAAATCCAGTTGATCTGGGGCAACCAGATTTAGTTTCTCCAACTCAACCACAAGGTCCAAGAAACTCTAAGAGAACCACCAACAAAAAACAAATGTCAATAGAGCTAGCTAGGCCAGGTGCAGAAGTTCATACCTGTAATCCCAGCACTTTGGGAGGCTGAGGCAGGAAGACTGCTTGAGCCCAAGAGTTTGAGACCAGCCTGAGCAAAATAGTGAGACCCCCATCTCTACAAAAAATAAAAAAAATAAGCTGAGTGTGTTGGCACACACCTGTGGTCCCAGCTACTCAGGAGGCAGAGGTGGAGGATCACTTGAACTCAGAGGTCAAGGCAGTGAGCAGTGATTGCACCACGGCACTCCAGCCTGGGCAGCAGAGCGAGACCCTGTCTCAAAAAAAAAAAATAGAGCTGACTAATAAGCCCCAAATGCAAACCTCAGTCCATGTGATTTATAGCAGTAAGAAAATGTGACAAGATGAGCCCTTTCAGTGACCTTCAGTGATCTTAAACCAGACATCTCTGTCATGAGCAACTTAGACTCCTGATTTTTACTCAGAACAGAGGTGGTGGTAAGTCTTTTGGTCATCAATCTGCTCCTTGGTTGCAGAGAGACACGTGTGCCATGTTGTGTCATTGAGAAGGACCGTGAAAGAGCAGGGCTGAAAAGACAATCCTCCTAAGTTTATTATTTTCCAAAAGGCCAGGCTGGTGTCATAGTGAAAAACTCTAAGGGCTTCTCTGAAAAAGGAGAAGAAAGGTAGCTGGGGAAAGACTTTATGAGAAAAATCACATGTTATAGTTTTAAAGTTTCCAAAATATTTGAATCAATATTGGGCCTTCCAACTCATTCTGACGTTCTGACTCAGGGGATTATAAAAAAGTGAAATTACAACAAGGTTTGAGTATTCTGCTATTCGTTTACCTTGGGCCACAGTGATTATGAACGAACGATATTTCAGAAACAGGCATTGCTTTGGGATCTATTTCCTTTGCATTTAACATTTAGTTACTGAAGTGCTATCTTTATTTTTGAAAATAATAATCATAATTTAGATATATATAAATGGCTGGGAGAGACAATTACTAGGAGAAACCAAAAAGGGAGTTCTAGTTTCATTTTCCTTCCCATTTTGCATTTGATGGGACTTAAGAAACAAAACTATAATCATTAGGAACATGAGGAAATTCTCAAGCAATGACTTATCTGAATCGTTACAGGCAGGCACTGGCCTGCCTATTTTGAGGACCTATTGTCATATTTTAGAAACAATAGGTTCTCAAACATTTCCTGGCCTATCCTTAGGTCAACAGTACCATGTAGGGCCAACTAGAATGTTATTTTATTTTATATTTTTTTATTTTATTTTATTTTATTTTATTTTATTTTATTTTATTTTAATTTTTGAGATGGAGTCTGGCTCTATAGCCCAGGCTGGAGTGCAATAGCACAATCTTGGCTTACTGCAACCTCTGCCTCCTGGGTTCTAGCAATTCTCCTGCCTCAGCCTCCCAAGTAGCTGGGATTACAGGCGCCCACCACTACGCCCAGCTAATTTTTGTACTTTTAGTAGAGATGGGGTTTTGCCATGTTGGCCAGGCTGGTCTTGAACTCCTGACCTCAAGTGATCTGCCCGGCTCAGCCTCCCAAAGTGCTGGGATTACAAGCATGAGCCACTGTGCCCATGAGCCATTGTGCTAGGCCAACTGGAGTTAAAAAAAATTTTTTTTTTTGAGACAGAGTCTTGCTCCGTCGCCCAGGCTGGAGTGCAATGGTGCAATCTCGACTCACTGCAACCTCCGCCTCCTGGGTTCAAGTGATTCTCCTGCCTTCACCTCCTGTAGCTGGGATTATAGGTGCCTACCACCACGCCCGGCTAATTTTTTGTATTTTTAGTAGAGACGGAGTTTCACCAGGTTGGCCAGGTTGGTCTCAAACTCTTGACCTCAGGTGATCTGCCCACCTCAGTCTCCCAAAGTGCTAGGATTACAGGCGTGAGCCACCGTGCCTGGCCATGGATTTTAAATATTTTTCTAGCAATCATGACATCCCCGAGATCTTCACCACTACCTGGTCTTCTTTTCTTCATTTTTTTTTTTTTTTTTTTTTTTTGAGATGGAGTCTTGCTGTCACCCAGGCTGGAGTGCAGTGGCGCCATCTCAGCTCACCGCAAGCTCTGCCTCCCAGCTTCACACCATTCTCTTGCCTCAGCCTCCCGAGTAACTGGGACTACAGGCGCCCGCCACCACACCCGGCTACTTTTTTTGTATTTTTAGTAGAGATAGGGTTTCACCGTGTTAGCCAGGTTGGTCTCGATCTCCTGACCTCGTGATCCACCCACCTTGGCCCCCCAAAGTGCTGGGATTACAGGCATGAGCCACTGCGCCCGGCCTCCTGGTTTTCAACTCTAAATCTCTACTTTTACCATTTCCCAGATACACCAGTCACAAGAACCTCCCCCCACCCCACTCCTACATGCAGCCTAGACCCCACAATGACCTTGAGTCAGCTGAGGAGAAATAGATGGCAGTAGGAGAGTGATACTATAGTGGACTAGCACCTCCTTCCTGTTTTCCCCCAGCACAAGCAGATGGGATGTCTTCCCCACAACCCCATCAAACCAGGGAGGGAAACACATATGAGCCAGACCTATGAATTTTACAGAAACAAGGATAAAATCCAAGGATGAAAGAAACATCCAAGACCACACCAGAAGATGTTATAATCCTATTTCTTCAATTCATAAACCAATTCTCTTCCCATTCATGTTGTTTAAAAGCCACCTGAGATGTCTGACTCCCACTATAGTGGCGGCAGACTGCCTGCTTCCCTCTCTCTGTATCAACAAGAGTAGCTCCCACTTCTGATAGGCTCCTGGGGCCATGAACCAAAAGAAGAAAACTCACCTTCTCCTTGCTTATCTTGCCTCGGCCCATGTAATCCTTCATGAGGAAAATTAATGAGGACACATCAGATTTATCCAAATCCTCACCAATCTCTGCCATCAGCACTCTGCAAACCAGACAAGTTCATTTAGTTAATTCAGACATCAGTCCTAAGACAACTCCAAGTGCCCACGCCTCCCCTATGCAACAATGGATTAAAAGACTAGTTCTTGCCCCTGTGTAAATATGTCCCTCCCTCATAAAACAGCAAGCCTAGATCACCCCAGGAAGAGATCTTAAGGGACCTCAGAAAAGGGAACTTGTCCTTGCCCGTTTAATAGGAGATGGTACATCCTTTGCCAACTAACAGTTTCTGAAAACAACTCAGAGAATGGAAACTTCCTTAAAGAATCCCCTAGCTCCCCCAGAGGTTACAGTGAAATGACTTAAGAACCCAAATGACTAACATAAAAGACAGAAATAGAATTTGAAGTAGCCTTCTCTGTTTAACAAGCTCTCAGGTGATGTTGATTCAAGGACCATATTTTGAATTGCAAGATGCTAAAGGAAAGAAATACCTGAGATACCCTGGCCCACCTCTGAACTCAAAGGGTACAGGCATCTGGATCACAAGGATTCTGAACTTAGATGTCTTTGCCTAGAAAGCCTCTCCTGACTCACTGGTGGCTGGAGCTAACACTATATATATATATATATATATATATTTTTCCCCCCCTAGGAAATAGACTTTGAGAACCAACAACCACACTTTTCTGGGGCTCCTAAGGACACCCTGTGGTTAGTATTGTTACCATGACATTGTCATCAAGGCCATTTTCCCAGTTAGGCTCTCAGATTCTTGAGGATGGCAGACTTTTCATTTTGTCCTAGAGCTTACCAAAACACTTAGCACCAATACACAATGAAGCCCACTCACCAGATGAATAAATAAATCTAGCACTCCTCTTCAACTGCCCCCGCAACCCTTCCCAGAGGGCCTGAAGAATCTCCACTCATCATAGCAAGGAAATGGGAAATGGAGAGATTGCCCTATTCACTGAAACTCAGTTGGTGCCTCCCGGAAAGTCTGAAGATTACTGACATTAAAACTGATGGCTGAATAGGTGGAAGATTAAAAAAATAATAATAATAACAATGATAATAATCCCTTCTATCTGTAGAGTGCTTCACAGTTTAAAAAGTACTTCACATAGTAAATTATTACAACTGATGCTCACAACAACCTTGTAAAGTCAGGTATTATTATTTTTCGCTTTACAAGTAGGAAAACAGAGGCCCAACAAGGTTAGTGATTGGCCCAGCCTGCCTGGCCCATAATTGGTAGATCTGAGGCTTGAAACAGGTCTTCCAGCTACAATGAGCTATGATCATGCCACTGCACTCCAGCCTGGATGACAGAGCAAGACCCTGTCTCAAAAACAAACAAACAAACAAAAAAACAAAAACCAAAAAAACAGGCTTTCCAAGTTCAAATCTCATATACTTTCCAAAGCCCACACTGCTTTCAGCTCTCTTTAGTATAGTTCTTGATAATAATTATCATCTCCAAATACACATTATCAACATAATAAAAGGCTGGTGGTCGAGAGAAAAAACACCGGCTGGGCATGGTGGCTCACACCTATAATCCCAGCACTTTAAGAGGCCAAGGAGGGCAGATCACTTGAGGCTAAGAGTTCAAGACCAGCCTGGCCAACATGGCAAAACCCTGTTTCTAGTAAAAATACAATAATTAGCCAGACATAGTGGTGCGTGCCTGTAATCCCAGCTACTCAGGAGGCTAAGGCAGGAGAATCACTTGAACCCAGAAGCAGAGGTTACAGTGAGCCAAGATCGCACCACTGCACTCCAGCCTGGGCTGCAGAGCGAGACTTTGTCTCAAAAAAAAAAAGAAAACACCAACTTAAGGTTACAAGTTATCTTCCTTTCCCCAGGAAGTCAGTCTCTCAGTAGCTTCCATGCCCCTCTGAACCTCTAAAGACATTAACATGTGAACAGGAGGAAGGAGCAACCCAAAGCTTGTGGGAACTAAAGCAGACTCCAGTGGCCATTTCCTCTTTGGACTGAAGGGACTTAAATGTGGTTAACTGAAGAGATTTTCAATGTGGGCTCTCCAATGTCTCCAAGCGCAGGAAGTGCAGGAAGGGAGCCCACCCTGATAAACTTCCTCAGCAGGGTAGGGCCAACAGGGATTCAGAAGGGATGATGGAGTCTCTACAAAGGTAGGAAGATTACTGTCAGACTTGTTATTTCCTTTCTTTGTACCACAAATTATCAAGGACTGACTTCACAGAAAATGAACTAGTAAACACTGCTGCAGATCTCACACTGTCAGAGGCTGGCAAGAATGACTAGCTCTTAGTCATTCCTATCTTTCTTCACGTCTTGTCATTCTATCCTTCAGGCAAACACATACCAGCTGCCCTTCTACCTGCATATGATCCCAATTCCTTTGAGAAAGCATGTTTCAGCTGGAGGCAATGGCTCATGCCTGTTATCCCAGCATTTTGGGAAGCCAAGGCAGGTGGATCACTTGAGGTCAGGAGTTCAAGACCAGCCTGGCCAACATGGTGAAACCCCGTCTCCACTAAAAATACAAAAAAAAATTAGCCAGGCATGGTGGCGCACGCCTGTAGTCCCAAGTACTTGGGAGGCTGAGGCAGGAGAATCGCTTGAACCCAGAAGGCGGAGGTTGCAGTGAGCCAAGATCACGCCACTGCACTCCAGCCTGGGCAACAGGGTGAGACTCTGTCTCAAAAAAAAAAAAAAAAAAAAAAAAAAGAAAGAAAGAAAAAGAAAGCAAGAAAACAAGTTTCAAGAATTTAAAGGGCTCACAGGAATGAAGTGACATCATCTGGCAGTTGGATAAGTGGGCAGAGACAGTAAAGTGGCTGCACTTCTTATTATCCTCGTTTCTGCCATTCAGTAGAGTCTGAGACACTTCACTCCCTCCCACCCACCCAGCCTCAGGAAGAGTTGATGAATTACCTATAGTCCGAAACAAGGTGAGGGTTCCTGAGCAGGTGGGTCTCCACAGCTTTTCTGTCCATCTTCAAGATACGTTTGAGCAGGTCAAATCGCCTCACTCTGTAGAGCAGTTCAGCCAAGTCCCCGACAGACAGCTTACCTCTTTCCCGTAAAATATCCAGAAGGTCCCTGACATTAGGTGGAACCACATCTATAGCAACATCCCGGCACAAAAAGAGCAGCATCTCCTTCTCATCTGTATCAAGTGCTTCTTCAACCTGATGGATGACTTCAGCAGACATCCTACTCTTAGACTAGGGAAGCTCACAAGGGTCTTGCAGTACAGCTCCGGGCCAGTCAACAGAAAGCCAGCAGGCAGTCAACTTCATTTCTGAGGGCTGACTTCATTTCTTTCAGAATCCTTTCCAGTGGGGGAGTTCTGTGGTTAAAAGGGAATTTTTCTGAAAATCTTATCAAGCTAACTTATGCCTAAGATTGAAAGTATGGGCTCTTTCCTTCTGGGTGGTCTCCCTGACTTAAGTAGATTAAGTTCTATAGAAAGGGATCTATAGAAGTCTAAAGAAAGGGATCCTTGGTAGACAGAACCAAAAACAGACTAATCCAAAAAGACAGAGAAGAAAACCTACATTGTAAAGGAAATGAAACAACAGATGAACTCATCTGCAAGGAAACCCCACATTCTTTTTCAGAATTCATCAGAATGTAAAGCATGTTCAGGGAAAATTACAACTAAGGGTTTAATGGCCTCAGTAGGAGGAATAGGGAAGAAGTACGTAGTAGAAGGAAGTGGGAAAAGCCCAACGACAGACAGCCTGACTAAATCAGGGAAACTTATGTCACAGAGTTAAACCTCCACCTCAATGACTCCACCCACGTGGCCTTGAACAAACAATGGAGAAAAGAAGTTTCTGTCCCTGTGCCACTCCTTTTTTCTAGTTGCTCTCCTACTTCAAAAGCCCCTCACTCACACCTGAGGGCAGAAACCTCTGCTGCCATCCTCCTAGACCCCAAGCCCTTTTCACAACATCATGAATGCTCACAGAACCTGCCACCAAGTTGTCAGGTTTGGATCACGTCTTCAGACCCTGAGCCCCATGGAGGTGCCAGAGGCCCTGACTCTCAATGCACTGCTACATGGCAGCAATTGCCATTAGTGCTTCTGATGTTCTCAGTGGAACATCTGGAAGTTACAGAGGATCTGGGGAAAGATCTCACTCCTGGGAGGGGGCTGGGTAGGAGGGGTAAGGAGCTCATGCAATGGGTGTGTTCTTAATTTCTTCCATTGAAACTCATCCTATTTTCTTTCAAAATTTAAGTTGCTAACCTATCTACTCTAAGTTTCACAGCTAAAACTTATGTTAAATCACCTCTTGTGTTCTTTATCTGTTCCTACAAGACAATATTTCAGGTTAAAATCAAATTTATTAACAAAAAATAAGTGGAAACACAACCCAACTCTAAATTGCCAATGGTTGCTTTGTATTTGTGTTCAAGTATATTTATATATTTATCTAGCTGTATTTAGTGAAAGAAGCACTGAATCCATTTATTTATATACATACAGTATCAGTCCACAAAAGATTTGAGCTATCTTAAAATAAAAACACATAAATAGAAAAATTTTATATGAAAACAAGAGGAAAAATTAGGTTAGAAATTTGAAATGGGCTTGCCCATTCATCCCAACTTCACTTAAATATGATTATTTGTAAATAACTGGAGAAATTAAATTTGCTAAGTTAAATTTACTAAAATTAAATGTGCTCAATGAAAGTGGAAAAATTGGCACTCAGACTATTTTACTTTTTTTTATCAGAAAGATAAATACAAATTTTATGTGTTCTGGACAGCCCAAATCTATACTCCACTCGCAGGCCAACAGTGCTTTAATCTCATCATCAGCTTCCATGAAAAGGAGGCCAAGTTCTTTTCTACTGTATTAATGAATAGTCACAATTTTGTCAACAGTTGTTATTATAAATTAAAGTATAAAATATATGCAGTAGAAGGAATTATAAAAACACAAAAATAAAATCATTAAACACAAGACTAAGAAATGAGATATTATACAAATTCACTGACATATTTGAAAAAGAACCAAACAGAACTACTAGAAATGAAATGCTTAATTCTCTATTTTTTTACAGTCATCTAACTTTTGTAATTCATAAGTATCAACAATATAACAATGCCACCAAGAGTTAACAAAATGAGATAATCATTTTAAAAAACATTATCTGCTCAGTTTGTTTCTTCCAACCATCACACCCATGACTGCTTTCTGCCAGTCACGCACACTCAGCAAGAGCACTGGCATACTGTCTTCCCTCTGTGCTAACGGGGGTAGAGTTTGGCAGCAAAATCTAGATTACTCAGTGGTAGCATCTGGCACATTGAAAGAAAATATCAAAAGGAAACTACAGATCCCGTGTGGAGCCAGCCCACTCAGATGCAACAAAATAGCAGCGTGTGTGTATGCTGGAGGCAGTTCACTGTGGCTAGAGGTGGTGAGTACTTGAGAAAGGAGAGCATACTAGGGAGAGGTAGGGCTGGGGTCCGAATAATCACCACTTTGTTGGGGTTTAAGCCCAAGCCAAGAAATTAACATAAAAATTACTCTTAGACTAGGGAAGCTCATAAGGTCTTCAGTTTTTTGTAGGGAAAGGGTCCCACTGTGTTTCTCAGGCTGGTCTCAAACTCCTGGGCTCAAGTGATTCTCCTACCTCAGCCTTCCGAAATGCTGAGATTACAGGTGTAAGCCACCACACCCAGATGAATGAGTTCTTTAGAGCCCAGTAAAAGACTTGTGCCCATCAGTTACCAACTCCACCCTGCCTGAGCTGCTGGACTCAGTGTCCCATTCGCCTCTTCTGAAGAGTCACTTGCTTTCACCTTACTCAGATGAAGGGGCAAAGGAATATCCAAGTCCAATTATTTTTCTTCCCTGCTTTCAAATACCCAATCCTCCTGACTGATCAAGATACCATTAGCTTCATTTCTCCCCCCAAGTGTTTTCAGCAGTTTACTTTTCCCTAGCCAGACAAAATTGGCACCTGTGTGTGTTTTCTAGAATTTTAAAGGAATTCCCCTTAACTCCCCTCACAGGCATATTCTAATTTAATGACTATATCTCCCCTTCTTTTCCACACCCACACCCTGGTACAAACTGTCCCTGACCTTCACAAGAGCAACTAAAACTTGAGACCAATTTCTGTTTCATTTCTCTTGCAGAAGTCAAGAGACTATCGCCAATTATTATTCAAAACATCAACAAAGCTTAGGCAAGTCAGAGTTATCTTTCACACACTAGCTAACAGGAGCATCCGGTTCTGGAAACAGAAATATTCCAGGCATTTTTTGTAGAAATTACACTTAATACTGGAACTAACAAAACTGCTGAGAGGACTGGAGGAAGGAGCTCTGGGGTGGGATTCTAACAAAGACTCCTGGGGCTGCTGCAACAACCTTGCCTCAGCCAGGGAAGTGAGGATCAGGAGGCTGCCACTAGAACTGAGCTCAAAGACCCTCTGACAGTGGAGACCCAGTGATCATGTAATGCCCAACCTTGTTTTTACTAACGCTGTTTTTAGACTCTCCCTTTCCTTTAATCACTTAGCCTTGTTTTCACCTGAATTGACTCTCCCTTAGCTAAGAGAGCCAGACAGACTCCATCTTGGCTGTTTCACTGGCAGCCCTTCCGCAAGGACTTAACTTGTGCAAGCTGACTCCCAGCACATCCAAGAATGCAATTAACTGATAAGATACTGTGGCCAGCAATATCCGCAGTTCTCAGGAATTCGTCAGATTGATAACGCCCAAAGCCCCGCGTCTATCACCTTGTAATAGTCTTAAAGCCCCTGCACCTGGAACTGTTTACTTTCCTGTAACCATTTATCCTTTTAACTTTTTTGCCTACTTTACTTCTGTAAAATTGTTTTAACTAGACCCCCCCCTCCCCTTTCTAAACCAAAGTATAAAAGAAAATCTAGCCCCTTCTTCGAGGCTGAGAGAACTTTGAGCGTTAGCTGTCTCTTGGCCGCCGGCTAAATAAACGGACTCTTAATTCATCTCAAAGTGTGGCGTTTTCTCTAACTCGCTCAGGTACAACAATCAGACAGCGCATGCTACAAACTCTGGCCAGCATTTTCAATTATCTGGCCTTTTT